>NC_000002.12:48372170-48675200 GCF_000001405.40 Homo sapiens
GGTCACATTTTACTTGGGGAAAAAGAGGTAAAGTATTATGTGCTGTTTCATAGTGGCCAGCATCTGATTTACTTAAGCCTGTTAGTGTTATCAATAACAACAGCATTTCCTACCTTAAGAGAGTTTATGGTCTAGTTGGAGAGAAAACAAGTCATTATCTTCATGGCTTTATTATCTACAATAACTTTTAAATTAGACATTGAAAGTAAATAGGAAATCTTTATGGTAATAAAAATTTCCACCTTTGAGATATAGATTAGAAATTTCATATCTGAGTCTTATTTTAAATGTCTTTTTGTAAGCTAAAATTTATAAACATTTTCTAACTTTTCTAATTATTAATGGTGTAATTTAGATTATACCATTTTACTTTTCTTTAGTTATTCAGACTAGTATATCACCAAGATGAAGAACTTACAGCAGTAAATATAAGTAGGTATGAGAGCATAACTTTATCTGTTGTAGAACCTGCTGATTTTGCCAGTCTTTTAAAGCCCATTTTTAATGGAGTATCCATTTGACTTCATGAATATTATATAAATTTGTCGTACATGTAGGCTTGTGTATAATCATGACTAAAAACAATAATAATTATTTTTGTTTCTGCATAATTATTCACTTAGCATTTATAGGTTTACATGACCTAGACTGACGAATTACATATTTTTATCTCCTGTAACTGGCATGTAATTAACATAGTACTTCATAACTGCAGATATGCATAGGTAATGATAGTATTCAAGTAAAAATGCAAAAAAAAAAAAAAGGAGTAACGATGTACATTCTTAGCTAATTTAATCTGTTTAAGGGGAAACCTTACTGAAATACAGTTTAAGTTTTCGTTTTCATTGTGAATAATTAAAGAAGAGAACTTGCATTATTTCTGGTATCTCTCCATCTCTTTTACACTGTATTGTTCACAAAACTGTTTCGTGATTTTAAGTGAACAAAATCAGACTTCAGAATAATATATAATATCTCATTTTTGTTTGATGTGCGTTTATGCTTTCTTAGAATATACACCAAAATTGTAACGCTGGTTATCTTCAGGGGCATGCAAATACTTAGAATAGCCTCTCCTTTATAAAGAACATTAATATTATTACTTTTTCCCTTTTCAGAATCTGATATTGATGCTGCTGCTGCAATGATGCTTTTAAATACTTCTATAGAACAAGGAATTTTAGAATGTAAGTAATCATGCCTTTTTTAAAAAAAAATTTTAGTGCCTTTTCAAATTTAACCTAGACTATAAAATAACTATTACAGACAAAAATTACTTCTTTCCAACCAAATTGTATTTTGATCTGAGTAACTCAGTTTCTGTTTTATTATACTTTCATTAATTTATGTGAGCAATTGAGAGATTGAAGTTAATGCTTCGATTTTTCTTACATTGACCAAGAAATGAAGAAAAATATATTTAGAAAATGAACTCAAAGAGCTAAAAGTAAAAATGAAAACTATAAACAAGAAAATATAATAAGTAAAGTATATTTATGAACTTGGACTAGGAAAAGCTTTCTTTAAGATACAAAATGCAAAATCCATGAAGGAAAAAAATGGGTAAATTTAATAAAACATCAAAATTTTAGCATTCTGGTCAGGCATGGTGGCTCACGTCTGTAATCCTAGCACTTTTGGGAGAACAAGGCAGGTGGATCACTTGAGACCAGGAGTTCCAGATCAGCCTGGGCAACATGGCAAAACTCCATCTCTACAAGAAATACAAAAATTAGCCAGATGTGGTGGTGCATGCCTGTAGTCCCAGCTACTCAGGAGGCTGAGGTGGGAGAATTGCTTGAACCTGGGAGGTGGGGGTTGCAGTGAGCCATGAGCACTGCAGTGAGCTGGAGAGCACTGCACTCCAGTCTGAGGGACAGAGTGAGACTCTGTCTCCAAAAAAAAAAAAGCATTCTGACAACAAAATATATCTAAGAAAAGTGACATAAAATGCTGGAGACATGTTTTTTCCATATATAACAAAGGATTAGTATCAAGTATATACATAAAAAGGATTCTGCAAGTAAGAAATAAGAAAACAGTTCAACCGGAAAGTCAGCAAAATATATGACTAGGTGGATCTTAGAAGAGGAAATATATGTGGGCAATACACATGTGAAAAGATGTGTAACTTCGCTAGAAATTCGGGAAACACAAAATGAAATAATATTGAGGTAACTTTTTTGTCCATAAAATTATAAAAAATTTAAGTAATTGAGAATGGTGTTAAGTAGGGAGTAAGTTTTGTCATACACTGTTGGGAGTAAATTGGTACAACCACTTTGGAGGGCAATTTGAGAATACCAATTATAATTTTAAATGTATATATCCCTTAGCAATTTTTTCATATCTCTTTTTAAAAATTACTTGCATATATTCAAGAAAAGGCATCCAGAAGGATTTGTATTGCAGCATGATTTATACTAATGAAAAATTGGAAACAGCCTAAATATTAACACGGAAGTGATTAGCTAAACAGTGGTACATTCATATTGAGGCATTCCTTGTAAGCAATTCAAAATAGTTACATATGCTATAGAAAAGTCAAGACATTGTTAAATGGTTTTTAAATGTTTCAAATTAATGCTTGCAAAATGATGTGATCTGGGTAAAAAAAAATAAAAAATCTACAAAGCATCATGAATCTAAAACATTTGTTGCTCAAGAGTAATGTAGTAGTTTAAAATTGGTCTGTTTTTGCAACCAAACACATTTGACCTATTGATGGAACTTTTATTTTCCACAGGTGAGAAGCCTCTTCCTCTTAAAACAGCATTGCAAAAAAAGAGGAGTTACGGCAATGCATTTCATCATCCCAGTGCTGTACGATTACAAGAGAGTGATTCTTTAGCCACCAGCATTGATCCAAAAGAAGATCACAATTACAGTGCAAGTAGCATGGCAGCACAGCGTTGTGCATCCAGGTCTAGCGTGTCTTCCCTGTCTTCTGTGGATGAGGTATATGAATTTATCCCAAAGAATAGTCACGTGGGAAGTGATGGCAGTGAAGGATTTCACAGTGAAGAAGATACAGACGTTGATTATGAAGATGATCCTCTTGGAGACAGTGGCTATGCATCACAGCCTTGTGCAAAAATCTCTGAAAAAGGGCAGTCAGGCAAAAAGATGCGAAAACAGACATGTCAAGAAATTGATGAGGAGCTCAAAGAGGCAGCTGGATCTCTGCTCCACCTTGCTGGAATTCGTACATGTTTAGGTTCCCTAATAAGTACTGCAAAGACACAAAATCAAAAGCAACGGAAAAAATAGAAATACTTAAAGTGTGGCAATACTCTTTCACTTAATTCTTTACAAGGGATATCAAAGCCATAATGGACTTCATTAGTTTTAGGGTAGGGAAGGGATACTAATTACTTATTTCTTTCAAAACATTTTTGGTTTTTGGTTTTTAAAATTTTTATTAAACAATTGCTGTTAGGATCATGCCTGATCAGAAATACATGATGTGAAGTCCTAAAAGCATAATTTTTGTGATAAATGTGTCCAAGATTTGAAAATTTTTATATAAGAAAATCCCCAGCCTCTGTCTTAAACTTGTGGGACAAAAATCCTTTCTTCTGTTAATATGTCAGAATGTAAGATTTGGCAACTCGATAAATTTTTTTCATTTTCTTTTCCAATCTGTAACTATAGTTACTGAACCAGCTAAAAATTTTGCTGATGTATTTTTCATATACTTCTCTCCTGACACGCAATCCGGTAACATAAGATTGAAATTTTTTTACTTTGTCTTAATTTGTTTCTAATTTTTTTTTTGTTGTCGTGTGAGCAAAGACAAACATAAATTGAAAAACATCCTGATGTTTAGAAAGTTTCTTTTGGTTACGTAGGTAGAGAATACAACAAAGAGTTCTAAGACTTAGAAAAGACAATTTTGTGGTGTCATTTCATCCAAGAACACTCCCAATTCCTATTAGAATGGTAGCTTTGAAGTGTTTTTACTTCAGAGATCCTGCATAGCATTTATTGGGGCCTTTTATTCTTTCCCAAAGTGCTTTGCAAACATTAAGTTTTAGCCACTAGCTGCCTTTGTTGAGTATAAGTTATCCAGTGAGAGGATATAGCCAATTAAGTGTGTTATGGAGTACACCCATTTTGACACACTTGTAATAAGAGAATCTTTCATTTGCCTGCCATGTGTACTGTATTATGAGAATCTTATAATCGGAATGGAGTGAAATGAAACATTTTGAGTACTGATGGCATGTTATCATACATAAAGTAGGTCATTTAGGAAAAAACTTCTGTCCAAGCTTTGTATGAATTAAATTCATAAGTATACCAAATTAAATCTTAATAGATTTAATGCAATTTTACAGACACAATACCTTCATGAATTTCAAAATTCATATAAAATTTGATCTTATGCAATACACCTTTTTGAGGAGGCAGTGTAACAACCTATAGTGCCATTGATCCATGAGAAAAAGATTTTCTGGTACTACTCCAAAAGTGCTTTGACTAAGTATCTTAACTATTTGAACAGTCTGCTTATATGAGACAGTTTTTCATAGTATCATTTGTATAATTTGATTAGATTATTCAGAAACAATAGGATGCTAAACTAATTCATTGTATCTTTTTTTTACAATGGTGGAAGCAACTTTCTGAAAGTTCAGTCTTATGCTACATCCTAAGTCATAGACAATGACCTTGTTTTCATTATTCTGATAGATTGTATACATATGTACACATACATATACACATATGCACAGTCAAGGTCATGATGTTGATTTGCTTTCAGCTGTTTCTGTGATTATAAAGCATTTTTTAAGAGACAAATTTTAACTTTTAATTTTTATTTTGGCAAAACTGTCAAATGAGAAAAATGATTTTAAAAACTTTTTTTTCAATTGACAAGACTTTAAGTCAGGGATAACAGTATTAATGTTCTCTGTTCTGTTTCCATGTTAAATTTAATTTAACCTGGATAGCCACATTAATGAATTGGTGCTGTCAAAATATAGTAATTTTTAAATTTGTTAATAATGAAAACCCTTAAGCATGCAGGATGAGGTATTTGGGTTTTTTTTTTAGATCGATCACATCTACAGAAAATGGCTAAACCAAGTTAACTTTTATTATAGACAGTGAATAAAACACCAAAAACCCAAAAATGCTTTAACCACAGTATAAATAATAGATTATACACATCATCTTAATAACTATTTTTAAGTTATTTACCATAGCCTCTGTATAGACCTTAGGAACAGTGTTTCAGTGATCTGGCACCAGTTTATTTTGTTCTGCTGAAATTCTGTATCACAAATGTGCTACCTGGTTTTTGTCCATTAGATAATTACTCTTTATAAGGAAAGGAAAGAGAAGCAGAGTTAGTTCCAGCTCTAATAGGGATCTTCAAAGTTATTTTGTCTTGATGTATGTAACAGTAATTCTTTACATCTTTTGATTTTTCTCTTCCTTTTTATTCACTCTTCCCACGAATTTAAATGTTTAAGTTATATTCATCACTAGCAAGGATGATAAACACTTGTGCACTGAAAGCTAACAGGGAGAGGTTACACAATATTTTACAGTTTCTTAAACATAATTTAATGCATCACCTTCCACTTGCTAACATACCAAGTCAGTTATTTTCAAGGGAAGAACCTTTTAAATTATGGTCCTCCATTTACTACTTCCACTGAGAGTATGCTCTCATTCCTCAGGTGTTTTGAGAAACATGACTAATAACCACACAATTAAGTAGAGTCATTCCAAGTCCTATGGCCTGGAAATTGTATTCCCTATAATATACAAATTTTCCTGTAATAAAGTCAACTTAGAAACTCCAAGGAGGTTACATGTTTTCCAACATATCCTAAAAACTGTGATATAAGCTAACATATAATTTGCCTTACGTCAAAAGAATATGTTTTGTTGCAGCTGATTCCAGTTTATAATAGATCCCTAGTAAAAAGCTTTGATTCAACACAATTGTTCATCTTCACATCCCAAACAGAATCACTGTTTCTTGAATATATATTTTTGAAGTTTTTTTGTGCAATATATTACTAAATCAGTTATTATTTTACTTTTCCAAATTCAGAGAAAGAAAACAGATTACCTGAATTCATGGAAAAGGTGGATCACCTCCCTTTTTCCACCTTCAAGCCTTTCCTGTCCTCATAGCCAGCATGACTTCTTTTAACTTGGATTCCTTTGTATATAGTAAAGTTTAGTATATATATATTTTTTTCTTTTTGCTACTTTCTGAGGCATTATGTAAAGGGCTCATACTAGATGTTCAGTTAAATATACTTTAGCACAAAGTCAAACTAGAGAATGTGTTAAGGAGGGAATGTATATGTCTTGGTAGACCAGGAGGCCTTTGCCAGCAATTTAAGCAACAGATGTGAATACTTCACAAAGCTGTAAAGACCATTGTCTTAAATACTACAACAACTTAACACCCTTTTGTGAAGATCACAGCATTTATCTAAGAAACTGTGAGGCTTTCTGGTTTACATATATCTTACAGGTGTTTTTTTGTATTTTTTTTTTTTTTTAGTTTGAAATGTGTAAGCTTTGATTTAAACCAAGTTTACTTCAGTATGTTAATGATGTAGTAAAAATATTTATTGAAAGGTGAATTCGAGTATTTTAATGTTATACCTGCCATTTTTTTTCTTAAAGCATATTCTTTGCATCTAACTGCCAGTGCCATTGTCAAAACTTATTTTTTAAATCGTTGTACATTTCTTATTAAACTAAGTGCTTAATTTTAAAGTATTATGTTGCCATCATATAGTGTATAAAAATGTATAATTGCCAATTGATTGTAACTATTATTTATTTTTAAATGAAAGTGTAAGAATGCTTTCTGATTCAACAAATTTGTTATCAAACTGTTTCCTTATCCTCTTTTCTGATGTAGCATAAAAATTGTCCCGGTTTGAGTTATAACTGCCAGTAGATGACCAGTCACAAGTGAACCACTTCTCAGTTGCCAATCTTTGCTCATATTAAAAACAACTTACAAATACTTAGTTTTTGTATCTAATCTCTGATTATTAAAATGTTTATAAAGTTTATTTTTACCAAAGAGATGCAATTCATTATGAGAAAGTATTGCATAATAAATTTTGTTTTATAACTTTTTTTGTGCTTTCTCTGATCTTTTGTAGGATAGGGTGGGACAGGAGAAGGATGGTAGGGCAGATGTGATGGCTATACTTCTACACACACTTTCCATTCAAATTGGAGTCAAGGAAATGAAAAATGCAGTTTAATTTCAATTTTTTTAAAAGTATTTTTTATGGTTTTTAGATGTTAATTACTGAAAGCTAAAATGACATTAATTAAATTACTATCTTCCTAAAGTTAAACTTCTTTTCCTATTAATTTACATGTATCTGAAATATTTTGAAATATAACTGGGAAAAATGGAGTAGAATATGAAACGAGCCTGGCCAACATAATGAAACCCCGTCTCTACTAAAAATACGAAAATTAGCCAGGTATAGTGGCGAACGCCTGTAATCCCATCTACCCAGGAGGCTGAGGGATGAGAAATGCTTGAACCCAGGAGGCGGAGGTTGCAGTGACCTGAGATCCCACCACTGCACTCCAGCCTACACAACGGAGTGAGACTGCATCTCAAAAAAAAAAAAAAAAAAAAAAAAAAAAAAAAAAGTCATCAAGAGCTTTATGCCAATAAGTTCAACAACTTCGGTGAATTAAAATGCAACAATAAGAAAACCCAATCTAAAAATGGGCTAAATACCTGAACGGACACCTCACCAGAAAAGATAAACAGATCACACTCATTGATATTTACCCAAATGAGTTGAAAACATGTCTAAACAAAAACCTGCACACAATTGTTACAGCAGCGTTGTTCATAATTGCCAAAACTTGGAAGCAAATAAGATGTCTGTCAGTAGGCAAATGTATAAACTGGTACATCCAGACAGCAGACTATTATACAGCAATTTTTTTTAAAAGCTATCGACATCCCAAAGAAGATATACAAATGGCCAAAAAGAACATGAAAATATCCTCGACATCACTAATTACTAGGGAAATGCAAATAAAAATCACAATGAGATACCACCTCGTATCCATTAGAATGGCTACTATTAAAAGGTTAAAAACGCCACCAAAACTAAGTGACGAGTGTTGGCAAGGATTGGAACACTTGTGCAGCCACTATGGAAAGCAGTATGGAATTCAAAATAGTGCAGTCACTGAAAAGCAGTATGGAAGTTCCTCAAGAAATTAAAAATAGACCAGCAGATTTACTTCTGGGCACATACCCAAAAGAATTGAAAGCAGGTTCTCAAAGAGGTGTTTGTCTACCCATGTTTAGAGCAGCATTATTCACAATAGCCAAAAGGTGGAAGGTTCACAAATGTTCATCGATAGATGAATGAATAAAATATGGCACATGCAGACAATGGATTATTATTTCACCTCAAAAGGGAAGGGAATTTTGACGCAAGCTACAACATGGATGAAACTTGAGGACGTTATTCTGAGTGAAATAAGCCAGTCAGAAAAAGAAGGATACTGTATGGTACTTACAGTAGTCAAACTGATAGAGACAGAAAGTAGAAAGATGTTTGCCAGGGGCTGGAAGAAGAGGGGAATGAGAAGTTGTTTAATGGGCATGGAATTTGTGTTTTGCAAAATGAAAGAGTTCTAGAGATTGTTTTCACAACAGTGTGAATGTACTTAACACTATTGAACTGTACACACAAAAATAGTAAATGTTATATATATTTTACCACAAATAAGAAAAACAAAAAAATGAGATATCAAGCTATGATGGAAATTTAAACACATATTACTAAGTGAAAGAAGCCAATCTTTGACTTAGTTGAAAGGTTCACTTACTGAGCCTTAGAAGGCTCATTTCTGTGATTCCAACTACGATCTTGTATCGCTTAGCAACAGGAATACCTTCTGAGAAAAGTATCAGGCTGTTTTCTTACTGTGGGAACATCATAGGGTGTACTTACACAAACTTAGATGGTATGGCCTACGACACAACTAGACTATATAGTAGATAGCCTATAGCTCAGGCTACAAATCTATGCAACATGTTACTGTCCCAAATACTGTAGACAGTGGTAATGCAATGGTATTTGTGTATCTTAACCATATCTAAACATAGAAAAGGTACAGTAAAAACACAGTATAAAAGATAAAAAATGCTACACCTGTATAGGGCACTTACCATGAATGGAGCTTGCAGGACTGGAAGTTGCTCTGGGTGAGTCAGTGAGTGTGAGTGGTGAGTGAATGTGAAGGCCTAGGACATTACTGTACACTACTGTAGACTTTTTAAACACTGTACTCTTAGGCTATACTAAATTCATTTTAAAATTTTTTCTTCAACAATAAACATTAGCTTACTGTAACTTTATAAACTTTAATTTTTTTTAACTTTTTGACTCTTTTGTAATAACACAGCTTAAAACACAAACACGTTGTACAGCTGTACCAAAATATTTATTCTTCATATCTTATAAGCTTTGTTCTATTCAAATTTTTCTTTTTACTTTTTAAACATTTTTCTTAAAAACTAAGACACAAACACACACATTATCCTAGGCCCACACAGGGTCAAGATCATCAGTATTACTGTCTTCCACCTCCACATCTTGTCCCACTGGAAGGTCTTCAGGGGCAAAAATATGTATGGCGCTATTATCTCCAATGATAGCAATGCCTTTTTCTGGAATATCTCCTGAAGGACCTGAGTTTGTTTTACAGTTAGCTTTTCTTTTTTTTAATAGGAGTATACTGTAAAATAATGGTAAAAAGTATAGTAAATATATAAACCAATAGCATAGTCATTTATTTTCAAGTATCCTGTACTGTACCTTATTGTATGTGCTATACTTTTATATGACTGGTAGTGCAGTAGGTTTGTTTATACCAGCATCACCATAAACACAATATATATAATATGATAATATGAGGGCTAAGGCATCACTAGGTGATAGGAATTTTTCATCTTCATTATGATCTTATGGGACTGCTGTTGTCTATGTGGTCTGTCCTGGCCTTTGACCGAAACATCATTATGCAGCTCATGGCTGTATATGACATTCTAGAAAAAACAAAACTGTGGAGACAGTAAAAAGATCAGTAGTTACCAGGGGTTGTGGGGGAGCATGGGCTTTTTAGGGCAGTAAAACTATGCTTCATGATACTGTAATGGTGTATATATATCATTATACATTTGTCAAAACCCACAGAAATTAAAACCAGACAGAGTGAAACCTAATGTAAACTACGGATTTTAGTTACTAGTGATGTATTAATATTGGCTCATCCATTGTAATAAGTGTACCACACTAATGCAAGACATTAATAATAGGAGAAACTGGGGCTGTGGTGGGGGCACAAAGGAGGGTATAAGAGACCTCTTGGTACTTTCCACCCAATTTTTCTGTAAACCTAAAACTCCTCTAAAAAAATAAAGTCTATTAATTAAAAAACAAAACCTAAAACAACTGGCACTTGAAAATACTTCCAATGGCCAAAGCTAGAACAATATGAGCACCAAAATAAAAATGTAGTCTTGGCCAGGTGCGGTGGCTCACACCTGTAATCCCAGCACTTTGGGAGGCCGAGGAGGGCAGATCACGAGGTCAGGAGTTCAAGACCATCCTGGCCAACATGGTGAAACCCCGTCTCTACTAAAAACACAAAAATTAGCTGGGCATGGTGGCGCGTGCCTGTAATCCCAGCTACTCAGGAGGCTGAGGCAGGAGAATTGCTTGAACTGGGGGTTGCAGTGAGCCGAGATCATGCCACTGCACTCCAGCCTGGGCTAAATTCCACCTTCCAGAGCGAGATTCCATCTCAAAAAAAAAAAAAACAAACAAAAAAAAACAATTGTAGTCTTATATCTTAATGTATAAAATATCTATGAGTCCATACTGATACAAATAAATGATTGAATATGTTAATACATGAGGGAAAAGAGACAAATCTCCCATGCAGAACAATTCCACATAAATTATGCAGCTACTCCACCCTAAAGGAGGAAGCATAACTTCCCATTTCTTAAATGTGGGTTTGCATAAGGGCTTCCTTCCAGAGTTTAGTGTGGAAGGGACAGTGATGCGGGTAGTACCTTCATGGTGGAGAAACCTGACAGACACTACTTCAGTCAGGCATGCTAGGTCAACATCAGCAATCATGACTGACGTTGATAGCACGTGTTCTTGATATTATATAGAAATGGACTTTCCCTCTGTGATCTGCCTCCCAAAACTCATAGCCTAATTTTTAAAAAGAAATCAGACAAATTCTAGTAGTTTGGCATCCTACAACAAGCCTGACCAGTATTCCTCAAAGCTGTCAAGATCACTGAAAACAATCAGAGTCTGAGAAACTTTCATAACCAAAAGGACCCTAAAGAGACACAGCAACTTAATGGGATGCATCCTGAATGGGGTCCTGGAATAGAAAAAATGGTATTAGTTTAAAAACTAAGAATACCTAAATAAAATATAAACTTGTGTTAATAATAATGTATCAATAGCAGTTCATTAATTGTAACAAATGTATCATACTAGTATAAGAGGTTAGCAGCAGGGAAAACTGTGCAGGGCAGAGGGTATATGGAAAGTATCTGTATTATTTGCTCAATTTTTTTAACTCTAAAATGACTCTTTAAAAAGTCCAGTAAAAAAAAAAAAAAACTGAAAGCAAACTCCAAGTTCACATGGCTTCACATGAATTACATTTATTATTTAAGGAAGAAATAATACCATTATACCCAAACTCCTTAAAAGCAATAAAAAAAAAGAAGACAAGAAAATATTTCATAACTTGCTTTATGAGGCTATAGGTTTAGCATTAACCTAATATTAAAACTGAGTAAAGACATTACCTGCTGGGTGCAGTGGCTCATGCCTGTGATCCCAGCACTTTGGGAGGTCGAGGTGGGTGGATTACTTGAGGTCAGGAGTTCAAGACTAGCCTGACAAATATGGCGAAACCCCGTCTCTACTAAAAATACAAATATTAGCCGGGAGTGGTGGCACGTGCCTGTAATCCTAGGTACTTGGGAGGCTGAGGCAGGAGAATCATTTGAACCTGGGAGGCAGAGGCTGCAGTGAGCCGAGATCACACCACTGCACTCTAGCCTGGGTGATAGAGTGAGACAGTCTCACAGGAAAAAAAAAAGACATTACCAAAAAACTACAGACCAATATTCGTCAAGAATATAGACACAAAAATTCTTAACAAAATATCATCAAATAAAATTCAGTAGTGTAAAAAAGAGACAATAACCAATGGGGCCGGCCCTAGGAGTGCAAGTTGGTTCAATACTAAAAATCATCATTATAATTCATCATATCAACAGAGGCAAGAAGAAGAATGTTGGGAACAGGCCCCCAAAACTGGCCATAAACAAAATCTCTGCAGCACTGTGACATGTTCGTGATGGCCATGACGCCCACACTGAAGGTTGTGGGTTTACTGGAATGAGGGCAAGGAACACCTGGCCCATCCAGGGCACAAAACCACTTAAAGGAGTTCCTGAACCGCAAAGAACAGAATGAGCGATCTGTGCCTTAAGGACATGTTCCTGCTGCAGATAACTAGCCAGACCCATCCCTTTGTTTTGGCCCATCCCTTTATTTCCCCTAAGAAATGCTTTTAGTTAATCTATAGAAACAATGCTTATCACTGGCTTGCTGTCAATAAATATGTGGGCAAATCTTTGTTTGGGGCTCTCAGCTCTGAAGGCTGTGAGACCCCTGATTTCCCACTCCACATGCTATATTTCTGTGTGTGTGTCTTTAATTCCTCTAGTGCTGCTGGGTTAGGGTCTCCCTGACTGAGCTGGTCTCGGCAAGTGGCGCCCATACGTAGGGCTCGAACCCAGGTTGAAGGGTCGCCAGAGCGACAGTTGGAGAACGTGAAACTAAGCTGGAGGACACTCGAGTACTCTTAAAGCAATTCCTGTGGTGAGTAAGAAGGGGAGCTCGGAAGCATCAAGGGGAGCTCGGAAGCATCAGGGTAACAATGGGACAAGTGTGGGCTCTGGTTCGTTCCACCTTGGAACCTTTTCACACTGATGATGAGGAGGAAGGAGAGTATAACGAAGTAACAGAGCAGGTTTGTTTGCCAGCTAAAGCTAAAGTGGCAAAGGAGGGAGAGGTTCATCCCTACCCTTCTGCACCCCCTCCTTATTTTGAAGAAAAAGAGTGGCCTGACCCTCCAGATCTTTCTTTTCCAGAGGACACTGGGCGAAAAGTAGTTGCCCCAGTGACTGTTCGAGCAGCACCTTGAGCGACCACTCTCAGTTCTACTCAGGCAGGAATCCAGCAAGCTAGAAGAGAGGGTGATTTAGAGGTTTGGCAGTTCCCTGTTAGAATACACCCCCCAGATCAACAGGGAAATATTAAAGCTACATTTGAGCCTTTTCCTTTTAAATTAGCTCGGTTACAGGAGTCTCTTAAAAAGGTGATTGCAGGCAGCATGGGGGCTCAGTGGCTCACGCCCCTAATCCCAGCACTTTGGGAGGCCGAGATGGGCGGATCACGAGGTCAGGAGATCAAGACCATCCTGGCTAACATGGTGAAAGCCCATCTCTACTAAAAATCCAAAAAAATTAGCCGGATGTGGTGGCAGGCGCCTGTAGTCCCAGCTACTGGGGAGGCTGAGACAGGAGAATGGTGTGAAACCAGGAGCTTGCAGTGAGCTGGGATCATGCCACTGCACTCCAGCCTGGGGAACAGAGTGAGACTCCGTCTCAAAAAAATAAAATAAAAAAAAGGTGATTGTAGATTTGGCTGCTCAGGATATAGTGTTGCGGTTATTAGCTTTCGACAATGCTAATCCTGATTGCCAGGCTGCTGTGTGACCTATTAGACGGAAAGCACATTTAGTTGATTATATCAAGGCCTGTGACGGTAGCGGAGGTAATCTGCATAAGGCCACTCTGCTAGCCCAGGCAATGGCAGGACTGAGAGTGGACAAAGGAAATACTCCATTTCCTGGAGCTTGTTTTAACTGTGGGAAGCATGGTCATGCTAAAAAAGAATGTAGAAAAAATCAGCAAGTCAGGCCACCAGATAGGGGAAAAAAGAAAACTGCTGAGCCTGAAATATGTCCAAAATGTAAAAAAGGAAAACATTGGGCTAGTCAGTGTCATTCTAAGTTTGATAAAGAAGGGAACCTGATTTTGGGAAATGCCATGAGGGGCCCGTCCCATGCCCTGTTCCAAACCGGGGCATTTCCGGCTCAGGCCATTTCCTCACCCCTGTACAATGTCTGTCCCCTGACACAGCCGGTAGTGCTGCAGTAGATTTATGCTACACAAAAGCAGTGAGCCTTCTGCCTGGGGAACCCCCACAAAAGGTCCCACCAGGAGTCTGTGGACCCTTGCCAGTGGGGACGATAGGATTACTTCTAGGAAGGTCTAGTTTGAATTTAAAAGGAGTACAAATACATACAGGAGTCATTTATTCAGATTACAATGGGGAAATTCAAATTGTGATATCTACTTCTGTTCCCTGGAAAGCAGAGCCAGGAGAGCGCATAGCACAGCTCCTGATTGTGCCATATGTGGGAATGGGGAAAAGTGAAATTAAATGAACAGGAGGATTTGGAAGCACAAATAAACAAGGCAAAGCAGCTTACTGGGTAAATCAAATTACTGATAAACGTCCTACCTGTGAAATAACTATTTATGGAAAGAAATTTAAAGGTTTGGTAGATACAGGAGCAGACATTTCAATCATTTCTCTACAGCACTGGCTGTCCACGTGGCCAATTCAATCCACTCAATGTAATATGGTTGGAGTTGGTAAAGCCCCTGAAGTATATCAAAGTAGTTATATTTTGTGTTGTGAAAGTCCCGATGGACAATCTGGGACTATTCAACCAATTATAACTTCTGTACCTATAAATTTATGGGGGAGAGATTTATTACAACAATGGGGAGCACAAGGTCTAATTCCTGAACAATTATACAGCCCTCAAAGTCAACATATGACATGAAATGGGGTATGTCCCTGGTATGGGACTAGGAAAAAATTTGCAAGGTTTGAAGGAACTGCTTCAGGCAGAAAGACAAAGTTCCCACTAAGGTTTATGTTATCATTTTTGATGGTGGCCATTGTTAAGCCTCCAGAACCTATACCTTTAAAATGGTTAACAGATAAGCCAATTTGGATAGAACAATGGCCACTAAGCAAAGAGAAACTGGAGGCTTTAGAAGACTTAATTACTGAACAGTTAGAAAAAGGACACATAGCTACAACATTTTCCTCTTGGAATTCTCCAGTTTTCGTAATTAAGAAAAAATCAGGTAAATGGAGAATGTTGACAGATCTTAGAGCCATTAACTCGGTTATACAACCTATGGGGACATTACAGCCAGGATTGCCTTCCCCTGCTATGATTCCAAAAAATTGGCCTTTAATCATCATAGATTTAAAACACTGTTTCTTTACTATCCCCTTAGCTGAGCAAGACTGTCAATGGTTTGCATTTACAATTCCTGCAGTAAACGACCTGCAGCCTGCTAAGTGTTTTCATTGGAAAGTGTCCCACAAGGCATGTTAAACAGTCCAACAATTTGCCAGACTTATGTAGGACAAGCAATTGAACCTACTTGTAAAAAATTTTCACAGTGTTACATTATTCATTATGTGGACAATATACTTTGTGCTGCCCCCACTCTAGAAATATTACTCCAATGTTATGATCACTTGCAAAATTCGATTTCTTGCACTGATTTAATTATAGCTCCTGACAAAATTCGGACTACTACTCCTTACTCCTACTTGGGGACCTTAGTAAATGACACTACCATTGTGCCACAGAAAGTAACCGTACATAGGGATCAATTGAAAACATTAAATGACTTTCAAAAATTACTAGGGGACATTAATTGGATACAACCTGCTGTAGGCATTCCTACCTATGCCATGAGTAATCTATTTTCTATTCTTAGAGGAGATACTAGTCTCACTAGCCCTCGGCAATTAACAAAAGAAGCTAAGGCAGAGTTACAGCTGATTTAAAAGCAAGTCCATAAGGCTCAAATAAATAGAATAGATCCAGAGAAGACTCTAGATTTGCTAATTTTTCCAACTCACCATTCACCTACTGGTGTTATTGTCCAAGAGCAGGACTTAGTAGAATGGCTTTTTCTTCCACATACTAATTCATGGACTCTAACTCCTTATTTGGATCAAATTGCTACTATGATAGGTAATGGGAGAACTAGGATTGTTAAATGACATGGATATGATCCTGGAAAAATTAATGTCCCTCTCACAAGGGCACAAATACAGTAAGCTTTTATAAACAGTCTTACTTGGCAAACCCATTTAGCTGACTTTGTGGATATTCTTGATAATCATTTTCCTAAAATGAAACCGTTTCAATTTTTGAAATTAACTGATTGGATCCTCCCTAGAATAACTAAATTTAAACCAATTGAAGGTGCTGAGAATGTTTTTACAGATGGGTCTAGTAATGGTAAAGAATAGTAAACACATTACTGGCATCCCATATAATTCTCAAGGACAAGCCACTGTAGAACAAATGAATCTCTCCCTGAAACAGCAGTTGCAAAAACAGAAAGGGGGAAACAGGGATTACGGGACAGCCCATATACAATTGAATCTAGCATTATTAACTTTAAAGTTTTTGAGCCTGCCTAAAGCCCAGATGTTGTCAGCAGCTGAACAACATCTACAGAAACCAGCTGCAAAGACAGAAGCAGAACAACTTGTTTGGTGGAGAGATCCAATAACAAAAAGTTGGGAAATAGGTAAAATAATAACTTGGGATAGAGGTTATGCTTGTGTTTCTCCAGGACCGAATCAACAGCTGATTTGGATACCATCAAGATGCCTGAAACCTTATCATGAACTAGATGCTGAAGAAGAGATTCCAGGAGGATCCTGAGGTCCCCCCGGTTGGTTGCAGCCATGTTGAGACTGATGCTGAGGAGGACCCCAACTGTCACGAGCAACACCCATTGAACACAGCCACCTACTTGGGGACAGATCAAGAAGCTGTCACAGATGGTGGAAGAAAACCTGAGGAAAGCGGGACAACCAGTCACAATGAGTAATTTAATGATAGCTATGATAGCGATGATCACCATTGCTGAGAGTATTCCTCAGCTGACACAGAGAACAATTATACTTATTGGGCATATTTATCAATCTTGGCTGGCAATAATGCCTGGATATAATCACTCTATGACACATTTACACATGCTTTCTGATCTCAGCATTTATCATAATAAATCTGCTCCTATAATTGAGGCATACTGCCCTCAAAAACCTATTTGTAAACAGAATTGGACCTGGCCAGAAAAAATGAACATACTTGTTTAGGAAGATTGCATTGCAGAACAGGCAGAGGTTCTGCTCAACGATTCCTATGGTATCATTTTTGATTGGTCCCCTAAGGGGATATTTAGCTTAAATTGCACCATTCAGTCTGCATGCCATGGCCACACTATGTTCAGCGGGTCTGAACAAAACGGTCAGATGGTAGAAATGGTAAGAAGTATGGCAAGAGTTCCTATTTTGTGGAAACATGGCAGTATAGTGGCACCTCAACCTCAAATAATACGGCCTGCTGTAGGAGCTAAACATAAGGATTTGTGGAAACTCTTAATGGCTCTTAATAAGATCAAAATTTGGGAAAGAATAAAAAAGCATCTAGAAGGACACTCTACAGACTTGTCTTTGGATATTGCAAAATTTAAAAAAACTAATATTTAAAGCATCCCAGGCACACCTGACCTTAATGCCAGGAACTGGAGTGCTTAAAGGAAATGGATAAAAACACTTGGAAGGTCTGTGATTTCAATGATGACTGTGCTTTTAATCTGTGTTGTTTGTCTTTGTATAGTCTGCAGATGCAGATCCTGACTCCTGTGAGAAGCAGCTCACCTTGACAAAGCTGCCTTTGCTTTTATCGCTTTGCAAAACAAAAAAGGGAGACATGTTGGGAACAGGCCCCCAAATCTGGCCATAAACTGGCCCCAAAACTGGCCATAAACAAAATCTCTGCAGCACTGTGACATGTTTGTGATGGCCATGACGCCCACACTGAAGGTTGTGGGTTTACCAGAATGAGGGCAAGGAAAACCTGGGCCACCCAGGGCAGAAAACCACTTAAAGGCATTCCTGAACCACAAAGAATAGAATGAGTGATCTGTGCCTTAAGGATACGTTCCTGCTGCAGATGGGTCTAGCCAGACCCATCCCTTTGTTTCGGCCCATCCCTTTATTTCCCCTAAGAAATGCTTTTAGTTAATCTGTAATCTATAGAAACAATGCTTATCACTGGCTTGCTGTCAATAAATATGTGGGCAAATCTCTGTTTGGGGCTGTCAGTTCTGAAGGCTGTGAGACCCCTGATTTCCCACCCCACATGCTGGATTTCTGTGTGTGTGTCTTTAATTCCTCTAGCGCCTCTGGTTTAGGGTCTCCACAACTGAGCTGGTGTCGGCAGAAGAAAAAATACGACCATTTCAATAGATAGAAAAGCTTTTAACAAAATTCAGTATCATTCATAATAAAAATTCTAACCAAACCAGAAATTAAAGGAGGTGCTTTTATTGGAAGACAATTTTCTACGGATGTATTTTTTTTGCAATTTTTTAATTCTAGCAAAATACGTAACATAAAATTTTAATCGTCTTGAAGTGTACACTTCAGTAACATTAAGTACATTCATGATGTAATGCAACCATCACAAATACCCATTTCCAGAACATTTTCATCATCCCAAACAGAAACTGTATTCATTAAACAATAACTCTCCATTCCCTGCCCCACTCCTGTAACCTCTTTTTATTGTTTGTCTCCATGAGTTTGCCTATTCTAGGTACCTCATTATACATGCAATCAATCATACAATAACTTCCCTTTTGTGTCTGGCTTATTTTCACTTGGCATAAAGTTTTCAGGTTTCATCCATGTGGTAGCATGTGTCAAAATTTTATTTCTTTTTAGGCTAAATAAAACACCATTGTTTGTGTACAATATATTTTGTTCATCCATTCTTCTGTTGATGAACATTTGGGTTGTTTTCACCTTTTGTCTCTAATGCTGCTATTAACATTGATGTATAAGTGACTGCTGGAGTCCCTGCTTTCAATTTGTTAGGATACCTAGAAGTAGAATTGCTGAATCATATGGGAATTCTGTGTCCAACTTTCCGAGGACCCACCAAACTGCTTTCCACAGCAGTTAGACGCTTTATATTCCCACCAGCAATGCACAAGTGTTCTACTTTCTCCGTATCCTCTCTAACACTTAATTTCTGTTTTTATGTGTTTTATTTTCATAATAATCATCCTAATGAGTGCAAAGGAGAGTGTCATTCATTTTTGCATGTCTTGCAAACAGAGGCACTGACAGTGTTTTTTTCCAGACTATCTTTTCAAGAATGTTTGTATAGTGAGCAGCCATGAAAAGTAGATATAGTATCTCTCTTCAGAGAAGAGGACAAGTTTGTTTGCTGTCCAGTATCATAAAGATAATGGCTTACTCTGGGGCAAAGGTTGGACAAGTTTGCTTGTACCCTTTATAAAATATTTAGATTTCCTAAGCAGCATCCCCCTGGGCTACTCAGCATAACCCCAAAGGAGTGATGAGAGCCAATGTGATCATAAAGCTGATGTTGCTTGCTGAGCTATAATAAATTCTTTGGTCTTTGACCCAGAAGTCTGATGTCTCTTTCCAGCATCCATGAAACTATTGCAGGCTAGCCTGTTAGCTTGAAAGTAATATAAAAGCTCACACTCTTCACAGTTCTGGACATTCTTCTGCCTGATAAAGGCCATCTATTGAAAATCTACAGCAAACATTATACTGAATGGTGAGAGACTGACTTCTCCTTCTCCCAATAATGAACAAGCCAAGTATGTCCACACTCACCCCTTCTATTCAATATTGTACTGAGGGTCTTTGTCACTGCAATAAGGTCACAAACTAAAAAAAGAAGGAGGAAGAGGAGGAAAAAGAGGAGCAAGAGAGAAAATAAAAGGCATACAGCATGGAAAGGAAGAGATAGAACCATCTTTATTTACAGACACCATGATTATGTATGTAAAAATTCCTAAGGAATCTATAAAAGGCTATTAGAACTAATAAGTACATTTAGCAACGCCACAAGATACTAGGTCAGTATTTTAAAAATCAATTGTATTTATATTAGCAACAAACTGTTGGAAAATTAAATTTTAAAAAGCAATACCATTAACAGTAGCATACAAAAAATGAAATACAAAGGGGTAAATTTAACAAAATATGCACAACACATGTACAATAAATGAAAACCAGAAAACATTGCTGACAAAACTTTAAAAGATCTAAATAAATGGACAGATAAACACTGTGTCCATGGATTCAAAGACTTAAATATTGTCAAGATGTCAATTCTTTCCAAATTGATCTATGCATTTATTTCAATCTCAATCAAAATCCTAGCTGGCTTTTTTTTTTTAAAGAAATTGGCAAGCTGATTTTAAAATTTGTACAGAAAAGCAAATGACTTAGAATAGCCAAAAGATTTTTGAAAAAAAGAAAAACAAAATTGGATGACTTATACTACCTGACTTTAAAATTTGCTATAAGGCTACAATAACTAAACAGTATGGTATTGGCATAAATCTATATATATAGATCAATGGAACAGAATAGTTCAGAAAATAAAAACTCACATATATATAAGCAACTGTTTTTTGACAAGTACCAAGTTAACTCAAAGGATTAAAGATAATTTTTTTCAACAAATGGTGCTAGAACAATTAGATATATATCAACAATGAGCCTTGACCCCTACCTCTCATCACACATAAGTGTTTTTTTGAAATCAATCACAGACGTAAATGTAAAAAAAAGCTAACAGTGTAACACTTTTAGAAGAAAACATAAGAGAAAATCCTTCTGATTTTGAGGCAGGCAAAGATTTATTAGATAGCACACACAAAAAAATTTAAAAATTAAAAATTAGCCAGATATGGTGGTTGTGTACCTGTAGTCCCAGCTACTCAGGAGGCAAAGGATGTAGTGAGCCGTGATCACACCACTGCACTGCAGCCTGGGCAACAGACTGAGACCCTATCTCAAAACAAAACAAAATTAAAATTAAAAAATAAAAACAGGTGAATAAACACATTATGCTGAATTCCTACAATGGGGCAAAAAACTTTTAATTTTTTTCAGAAATAAAAAGAAACAAACTGCTGATACAATGTGTATGAAACCAATCTCAAAAGAATACACATATGTGATTCCGTTAACATGAAATTTTTAAAAAGACAAATCTAATCCTCTCTATAGTGACAGAAACCAGATCAGTGATTGCCTAGGACACGGGCTTGGGTGGGGAGCATTAAGAATCATGCATATACAGCAGAAGGGAGAAGAGCTTCTTGGTATTCTAAGTCAGTGTTTGCAAAACAAAAATAATTTGTCCTGCTTGACCTGCAGAGTAAGAGAAATAATACAAATTTGTTATTAACATGAAAAACTGAAATAAATTGGACAATTTCTATTACTTCCAGAGCTGATGGCTGAATAAAAAAACCTTCAACTCATACTAATGACTCCCATGTAGAATATGAGATGGATTAGAGAGAAGTATTAAAAGGCGGCTGGGTGCGGTGGCTCATACCTGTAATCCCGGCACTTTGGGAGGCCAAGGCAGGTGGATCTCCTGAGGTCAGGAGTCGAAGACCAGCCTGGCCAACATGGTGATACTCCGTCTCTACGAAAAATACAAAAATTAGCTGGGCGTGGTGGTGTGCACCTGTAATCCCAGCTACTTGGGAGGCTGAGGCAGGAGCATTGCTTGAACCTGGGAAGCAGAGGTTGTGGTGAGCCAAGATCGCGCCACTGCACTCCAGCCTGGGTGACAGAGTGAGACTCCGTCTCAATAAATAAATAAATAAATAAATAAATAAATAAGAAAAAGAAAGAAATATTAAAAGGTTTCTGAGGAGGGTTGGGTGGATGTGGGGAATCAGTCACTAGAAGTTCAATGGCCTTTTTGAAAAAAAACTTCATTAAGAATATTAATGGAATGTAGGCCGGGTGCAGCGGCTCACGCTTGTAATTCCAGCACTTTGAAAGGTCGAGGCAGAAGGATCACCTGAAATCAGGAGTTCGAAACCAGCCCTGCCAGCATGGTAAAACCCCATCTCTACCAAAAATACAAAAATTAGCCAGGCATGGTGGTGGGCACCTGTACTCCCAGCTACTCAGGAGGCTGTTACAGGAGAATCGCTTGAACCTGAGAGATGGAGGTTGCAGTGAGCCAAGATCACGCCACAGCACTCCAACCTGGGTGATAGAGACTCCATCTCCAAAAAAAAAAAAGAAAGAGAATACATGGAATGGAATGGAATAACTACTACCTATTGAGTATTTACTATTTGCCAAGCATGGCAATCACCAAGCCAAGCATTTATATATTGTTTGTTATTTCATTTAATCCTCACATCAACACTATGAAGTTAATGAGGTAAATGTTACCATTTATAGATGAAGAAACACAGACTTGAGGAGTTTAAATTGCCCATGGTTGCACTAGTTAGTAAATGATTAAAAAAACCAAGTCTGATTCCAGAATTTGTGCCTTAATTACCAGGATTTACTGCCTCTAGATTATAGGAATATGCAAGCACAAGAACATGTTTGGCCACTGATTCATTTGCTAAACAAATCAGCATGAAGCACTTTTTTTTTTTTTGAGATGGGATTTCCAGGCTGGAGTGCAGTGGTACAATGTTGGCTCACTGCAACCTCCACCTCCCACATTCACGCAATTCTCATGCCTCAGCCTCCCAAGTAGCTGAGACTACAGTCACATACCACCTTGCCCGGCTATTTTTTTTTTTTTTTTGTATTTTTAGTATAGACAGGGTTTCTCCATATTGGCCAGGCTGGTCTCGAACTCCTGGCCTCAAGTGATCCAGCTGCCTCGGCCTCCCAAAGCACTGGGATTATAGGCATGAGCTACCACACCGGGCCAGAACACGAAGCACTTTTTTTTTTTTAGATGGAGTTTCACTCTTGTTGCCCAGGTTGGAGTGTGATGGCGCAGTCTCGGCTCACAACAACCTCCTGCCTCCCAGGTTCAAGCAATTCTCCAGCCTCTGCCTCCCGAGTAGCTGGAATTACAGACATGCACCACCACGCCCGGCTAGTTTTCTTGTATTTTTAGTAGAGATGGGGTTTCTCCATGTTGGTCAGACTGGTCTCGAATTCCTGACCTCATGTGATCCGCCTGCCTCGGCTCCCAAAGTGCTGGGATTACAGGTGTGAGCCACCGCGCCCAGTACATGAAGCACTTATCAAAGCCCCACCACTGTATTGGGCCTTGTTGGTAGTGAACAAAACGACAAGCCTCTGCCCTCATGGAGCTTATCTTCTAGTGGGAGGAGAATAGATAAAATAAGAAATTGCAATAAAATATCAGAAGTCATAAATGCTATGAAGAAAAATAAGGTGAGGAAGAGGAAGTAGAATCAGGTTGACGGTTGCTATTTTAGACAAGTTGGGCATCTGAGCAGAGCAGGGCATGGAATGATGTGCAGGAGACTGCAAGTATCTGCAGGAGGAGCCTCTAGGCAGGAACCAGGGAAGATAAAGGAAGTGCAGCCCTTTGATGTGTTTACAGGAACTGCAAGAGTAAGAGTTACTGTACCCGGAGGAAACTGCGATGGTAAGACTGGTAGGAGATGACAACTGAGAAACATTCAGGTTCCAGGACCATGTCATGTGTGGAGCTCTGCTGGTGCTGTGGTAAGAACTTAGAACCTAAGATCAGGGGAGCAGGGAACCAAATGTACATTTTAAAAAGTCACCATTGTGTCATGAGATTTGAAGACTGCTCATAGCAAATCTTAAATACAAATTCTTAGTCAAATACCTTCTGACAAAACAGTATATCCTATGTACTATAATCTGTTATAGTTACCCTTCAAGCCAAAATAACTCCTAAATCATGAAACGTACAATCAGGAAGTTAAGAAAGAAGGAGTTGTTTCTCTAAACTGATATCCATATTACTGCACCTTATTTAATGATTTACTTATTTTTTTTTAGAGACAGAGTCTTGCCCTGTCACCCAGGTTGGATTTCAGGGGCACGATCATAGCTCACTGTAACCTCACACTGCTGAGCTCATGCAATCTTCCCACCTCAGTCTCCTGAGTAGTTAGGCCTACAGGCATGCATCGCCATGCCCTGCTAATTTCTTTTTATTTTATTTTTTATTTTGTAGCGATGGGATCTCACTGTGTTGTGCAGGCTGGTCTTGAACTCCTAGCCTCAAGCGATCCTCCTGCCCTGTCCTCCCAAAGATTACTTTACTTTATTAACAAATGGTTTTATATGGTAAAATCTTACCTATTCTCATTTGTTTAAAGGTCAGCCTACATTATTGAAAAGTATATTAAAATATATACTTACTGCTTTTAAATGTAATTGGAACTAAACCATCCAAGTTTTTTAGGACATTAAGGGAATAGAGAAGAGTAACTTTACAATTAGCCTACCTGATAGATTTCATTAAGTAATTCAAGCATTCTCAAGTAAGCCCTTAAGAGAATGCTTACAGTATTGCATCTCTTAATAAGCAGAGTAAAAGTAAGTAAGAAGCTGAATCTTGATCAAATTATAGTCCTATCAATTCTACAACAACATAATTTGGCTGAAACACTTACTAATCTTTCAAGTAACTGCCAGCCAGCACACACTTTAAGAACTCAGATGTTTTGGTATCTTTCTAGTCAAATGAACAAGAAGCATGTCAGTAGGAAAACTTCACCTGACATCATATTGATTTAATTTAAAGGACTGCCACCCACTTTCTGCCTTCACTTGCACACCAATCTGAATTTTTAAAGGAAATTATATATAAATTGTTTTTTCTTGAATGAAAGCATATGATGATAATTCTGTGTTTCCTTGTAATTTGATTCTGTGTAAATACTATCTTTCCCTTCTTTTAAATGAATTTTCCCCAGGAAATGTATAGTCAGCTTTAATTCATTTTAAGAACAATCGTTGATTATTCAAATGAGAAATTACAATGTTTAAATACTTTCAGCCAGCTGTTGGAAGAGGCAATGGTGTACTGATACATTTCAGCTGACATACTACAGTCTCTTTATCAGTGGAGGTAAAAGCATGGCCATATATAATTCATTAGTATTCTCTCTCTCTCTCTCTAATTGCTTTCTAGTAGAATTGCAGAAAGGAATTCTCACTCTCTTCTGTTTCCCTTGGGGGTTTGCCTTTGTTACGACTCAACTATAAGCTCTATATGGAGTTGCAGCTTTTGAAATAGAGCATTAATTGGAAGCAATTATTCAATTATAGCAGCTGTGGCTATGCTGTATCCTGAATATTTACCAAGAAAAGAAAGCAGTTAACAGATGATTTAATATAGCAGCTTGGCAATAATGAACCTGCAACCAACACTGCAGTTGCATAACTAATATCTTCAATGGCTGAAATATTCAAGAGTACATGGTATAAATCTAAAAATAAAATAAGAGACTATCAGGCTTGATTTTTGAAGCACTGCAAAATGTGTGAAGTCAATTCAAAAGTAATCAAAGAACTTATGTTTGTTTATTATCTAAACATGTGTGAGATTTCGCCAACTGCTTGATATTAAAAGTAGATAATGTTTTCAACTTTAATCGATTCTTTTTCTTTTACTCTTTCGATGCCTCATGTAGGTACTCTGAAGTCTTATTATAAGGCTGTCCTTGAAATTGATGCTTTGGAACCACTTTAGGTACTTCTCAGATAAGCACCAAGCAGAACCTCCCCTGTGTGAAATTCCACTCTGTAACCAATGGTGTGATAATGAGCTGCCTGCTAGTCATTTTCTGCCTGTAATCTATTCAGCTTCTCGAGTGCTGACCAAGTGCTTGGCAGAGAATGGCTTTGGCTGCGCTAGGATTGATTAAATTGATGAGAAGACAATCCATATGCTGTCAAAAAATATTTTTATGGGCAAAAATTCACTACTAATACCTGCAATATTGGTTCCGAAAGAAATGGAGAAAATGTTTCATCAAATTTATTAGCTCTATGTTAAAGAAACGAAACAAAGGAACCGAAACACTTTGCTACCAACTCTTGAGTCATCTTATTGGTGCTGTCTTGACAAAGAGATGCCATTCTTTTATTTGCTATGATGTCACCTTTGTCCAATCATAACCTTCCGTATGGGAGTAGGATAACTCCGGAGACAAGGTGAGTGACAGCAGCAAGCAACGCAGCAGTCACTAGGCAACAAGATCCAGCCTTCAGTGGAAGAGAATCTTAAAACATTTAACCCCCACACTGTCTGGGTGTCTCATTGCTGAAATGGCAGTAATCTCTGGACAAAAGCCTAATGTGAATAGGCAGCTTGTTTCTGAAGCCATGTTTTTTCAGGCACTGTGAGGAAACTTCCTTCTTAGACTAAGAACATTACTCAATTTGAAAAGATTGGTAGAGTTAGAAATCTTTAAAACTGCTTTTTCACAGGGTCACAGTTTAAGCCACATGAGGATCCCCCCAGTGTGTTTAGAACTGTTATTCAATTGCTCCCCATAAGCCAGGCTGCTGCACAGGTCTTGTAGTCTGTGCTCTGCACAAAGCCACACTACAGAAGGGGGTGAGTGGGACTGAAATCAGCCTGTGCGCTCTTGCCAAGATATACCCTTGTTAGGGCAGTCTGGAGAAGGGTATCTTTATCTAATTGGTTGCCCTGATGGGGCGCCATTTTGTAATTTGTCTGCCTGGAGGAGGCGCTTTTTCCTAACTTGCACAGAATTGCTCTGTGAGCTCTTAGGTGGGGGGCACTGCAAGTACATCTTGTGGCCCCCACTAGTCAAAAGCTCTGCAAGACTGTCTCTTCTCTTTCACTTGACTCTTGCTGTAGAATTTAGCACAGGCTGGACAGACCCAGGTGTGAACTGGTGGTGTTGCTTTCAAACTGGATTTCCAGAATCGCCTCATTCAGACTGTTTTGGTTTGTTTCCAGAAAAAATGTCCTCTAAAATTTTTCTCATGAAGCAAATATTTTGTCAGTTTGTGAGAGCTAATTGTTTAATATTATTTTCCACCCCCAAACAGTTACACAATATAATGATTTTCTTAAGATAAACCCTACTGTTTCTTAGTCAGATCAAAAAGTGATTGACGGGCATTTATTAAGTGGGCTCTTTGAGAACAGTGGGTACCATGTTTCTCTAACAGTGTCTGGCACAGAGTAAGTGCACATATCTCTTTGCATGAGTGCATTAATCAATTGATTAATTAATTAACAGTATTTACTTAGGGGAATCCAACAGGAGAGTTATATAATACATTGGAATTGTCAGAAAACCTACAGGGATTTTTGTTTTTTGGTTTTGAGAAAGGATCTCATTCTGTTACCTAGGCTGGAGTTCAGCGGCATGATCAGAGCCCACTGCAGCCTTAAACTCCTGGGCTCGAGCAATCCTTGCCTTTAGCCTCCAAAGCATCTAGGACTACAGGCATGTGCCACCATGCCCAGCTAATTTTTGTAGAGATGCGGTCATACTATATTGTCCAGGCTAGTCTCAAACTCTTCACCTCAAGCCTTCCTCTTGCCTCAACCTCCCAAAATGTTGGGATTACAGACATGAGCCACTGTACCTGGCCAAGAAACCTCACAAGTTATCCAGTACAACAGTTTTTATGCAGTTGAGGAAACTGAGACCCAAATAACTAACCAATTCGTACATCTAGTTAAAAGCATAGCCAAGTGTCCCTATAATTAGCACAATATGGAGACTAATTTAGATTGTAATCATGTAGAGAGCAAAGATCATTTCCATTGACGTTGCTATATGCCTTACCTATAGTATCATTAAACCTCTATTCAATGTTGGTGCCAGTACAGTTGATGACTATAATGAGTTTGCAAAAATAAAAATTGGATCCTGTTCAGAAATAACCAGGCTGTGGTTGGCTCATTGTGACCACTTTTCTTCTGGAATATAAACATCTCATATTATAGTGATTATTGCTTTGCAACCTGTATTTTGTTCTGTCATTGAAAGTTTTTACAATCTAATTAAGGAGACAGGACTAACATAAGATAAATTAGAGAAAATACAGCCAAAGATTTACTAAGCCAGGCATTTCACGTCTTATCTAATCCTCACAAAGGGCAGACCCAGGATATCAAACCAGTTTTCTTATTCTGAAAACGTTTTTATCCTGAAACCAATATTTCCCAAACTTGTCCTTCATATTTTTCATACTGTCACCTGTGCTATTTCTTTAATATTTTTCTTTAGACTGACCCACTTTTATCTTAGTGTTATTCTAAGTCATAATACTCCTTAATGTGTATAACAAATACATATTTGTCCTAACGTACAGGAATATATCTAAAAATGTTTATTTGTGCCTTCAGCAGTACAGGGTCACTCCTTGAGAAACAGCAGACTACACTGTGCTTTTAAATGTGCAATGACATTAAACATTATTGAGTGCCAAACAATGCCATAAATTTTCCAAAAAGGGCGAAAGCCAGTACTGACTTATAACTGATTTAATTTCACCCTAACAAGATCTTCATGAAATTATGTTAGATATCACAGTCTTATGTTCAAATTTAGCTGCTAGTTCAAGCTTTGCCATTAAATGGCATGATCTGGTATCCTTCTGTTTCCTCATAAGTCAAAGAGAAGATTGGATTAGACAAATTCTGAAGGCCAACATTCTAGGAGCTCAAATCATCTGCATTACTTCTTTGTCTCTCCAGTTAGACAAAGGATCCTTGCATGCTGGGAGATCCCCACGCAGGAATTTAAAATGTGATGGAAACACAGTGGCCATAGTAAATGTGAATATGCTAAAGTTCCTGCTAACTCCTTTCAAATGATTTCTTTAAAGAACAAAATTAGCTGTCGTTAACAAGACGTATTTAAACAAAACTAAAAACACTAAAAATAAAAATAAAGGACTAGACAAACACAGCAAACAAGCCTCCCCCTGCAAAAAATAAAGGTGGTAAAATTAATATCAGACAAGACAGCATCTAAGGCAAAAAGTTAGAATAAGAAGGGGTATTTCTTTTTTTTTTTTTTTTTGAGACTGTGTCTCACTCTGTCTCCAAGGCTGGATCTCAGCACACTGCAACCTCTGCCTCCCAGGTTCAAGCGATTCTGGTGCCTTAGCCTCCCGAGTAGCTGGGACTACAGGTGCACACCCACCACGCCAGCTAATTTTTTGCATTTTTAGTAGAGACAGGGTTTCACCATGTTGGCCAGGCTGGTCTTGAACTCCTGACCTCAGGTGGTCCGCCCACCTAGGCCTCACAAAGTGCTTGGATTACAGGCATGAGCCACCGCACCTGGCCAGGAAGGATATTTCATTTTGACAAAAGTATAGTCCATGAAGAAGATGTTATAATAGTTGTGAATATTTATAGATATAACAATTAAAGTAAAAATTGTTAGAAATACATAGAAAATTTGACAAAATCGCAATTAGAATGGAAATTTTAATAAATCTTCCTCTGGATTTACAGAATACATAGAGCAAAATAACTAAGATAAGGAGAGTCTGAATTATGGATATACTTAGTAAGCTTGAAAATATATATTCTTGTCAAACAGATATTTGAAAAGGTAAAAATTACACCTTTTTTACTGTCACATTCTCTGACTGCAGTGAAATAAAACAGGAAATCGATAAGAAAAGGCAACTTTCCCTCCCACCCAATTACATTACTTGGCAATATTCATACAAATTTAAGTCAAAGAGGAAATCAAAACTGAAATTATAGATAATTTAGACATTAACAAATGAAAATATATGGTAAAAGATATTAACATATTCAAGGGAAAATCCATAAAGTTAAATGCATTTATTAATGAACATGAAATGTTGAAATACTTGAAAGAAAGTAGAAAGAACAACAAAATAATATGAAGGAGAAATTAAGAATTAATGAAAGGATAAAAGCAGAATCTAATTTATTAGAAAAAGAAAAATAGGCTTCATATATAAAACCAGGAGTTGTTAGTTTGAAGAACAATGAAATAGAGAAACTTCTTACAAGTCTGATTATGAGAAACCACAAATATACAATGATAGAAGTGGAAAGGGAGTGTAATGATAGGCACAACAGAAGTTTTGTTATAAGAATGTTTATGGCCGGGCGCGGTGGCTCACGCCTGTAATCCCAGCATTTTGGGAGGCTGAGGCGGGCAGATCACGAGGTCAGGAGATCGAGACCATCCTGGCTAACATGGTGAAACCTCATCTCTACTAAAAATACAAAAAAATTAGCCGTGCATGGCGGCACGCGCCTGTAGTCCCAGCTACTCACTCGGGAGGCAGAAGCAGCAGAATGGCATGAACCTGGGAGGCGGAGCTTGCAGTGAGCTGAGATCACGCCACTGCACTCCAGTCTGGGTGACAGAGCGAGACTCTGTCTCAAAAAAAAAAAAAAAAAAAAGTTTATAGTTTTATGCTGATAAATCTGAACATTTAGATAAAATGAAAAATTTAATAGAAAAATTGAAAATCCAAACAGACCAATTACCATAGACAAATGAAAAAAGTTTGTCAAACACTACTACTTCCATTCCCAGGAAAACACCAGTCCAGGTGTTTCACAGTGAATACTACCTGTTTTTTCTAGGAGTTTTGCTCTTGTTTCAGCTATTCCAAAGAATAGGGAAGGAAGGAAGGAAGGAAGGAGAGTGTCTTAGTTTATTTTATAAAGTTATAAACACCTGGTACCAAAACCAACAAAACATCACAAAAATGCTACAGATTGATCTCCAGAATTGGCCTTTTTCACCTATAAAACTGGCATGGCCGATGTAACTTAACATTGGCTCCATGTTGGCAGGTGTACACATTGGTACAACCTTTGTGTCAATGAAATTTCGAGTGTTCACACTTAACCTAGAAATTCAATGTAAAGGAGTTTATCCCGAGAAAATAATAAGGCAAGTGTGCAAAAACATATAAATATTTTAAAAGTTCATTGCAACATCCGTGATCTATTAAGTGCAAAAGGATATTATAAACAGAATGTGTAGCACTTACTTATTTGTTTAGCAAAAATCTAACTAATATGATTATATGTGTGTTTATACATTAAAAAGTCATGTTCTAATTCCTAGAATCTATGAATATGTTACCGTTATATGGCAAAGAGGAATGAAAGTAGCAGACGAAATTGTTTGCTAATCAACGAACTTTAAGAAAATTATCCTGGATTATCTGGGTGGGCCGGGTGTAATCACAAGGTCCTTGTGGGTCCTTCAGGGAGGAAAGAGAGGGAATGTCAGAGTGGTGTTATATGAGAAAGACTCACCGTGGCATTGCTGGCTTGAAGATGAGCCGACGCAGCCTCTAGAAGCCAAAAAAGGAAAGGAAACACACTCCCACTTAGAGCCTCCAAGAGGAACACAACAGCCTCACCAACACCTTGATTTCAACCCCGTGAGACCCCTTTCAGACTTCTCACTTCCCAATAATAAATTTATGTTGTTTTTAAGTCATTAAATTTGTGGTAATTTGTTATAGCAGCAATAGGAAACTAATACGATAAATGCCTTGATCTCTTAGCAAGAAAACACATTTTCTAAGATTTCCTCCAAGGGTATCCTGAAAGTATGGGAGAGGATCACTTCTTTAGTGGTATTCTAAACATTTTTCCAGTAGAGTTAATGCAAAAGATAAACACATATTATCTGTAATCATCTATTTCAGGGGCCTTAAAATGATATTATGCCATCAAAAGAAATTATTTGTATGTTGAACTTTTCATTTTTCCCTGTTTTCCAAAATTAATAACATTTTGCATCAGCCAATGACACAGGTTGAAACCTTCCCCTTTTGCCAGTGGTAACTGGAACCCAGGTCCTGGCTGCCTGAATGTGCCTAAGTTCCCCAGTCTTGGAGGGATCATCTTTTTTTTTTTTTTAATGAGACGGAGTCTCACTCTGTCGCCCAATCTGGAGTGCAGTGGCGCGATCTCGGCTCACTGCAAGCTCCGCCTCCCGGGTTCACGTCATTCTCCTGCCTCGGCCTCCCGAGTAGCTGGGACTACAGGCGCCCACCACCACGCCGGGCTAATTTTTTTTTATTTTTTATTTTTAGTAGAGACGGGGTTTCACAGCGTTAGTCAGGATGGTCTAGATCTCCTGACCTCATGATCCGCCCGCCTCGGCCTCCCAAAGGGCTGGGATTACAGGCGTGAGCCACCGCGCCCGGCCGGATCATCTTTTTTAAGTGAAATTGTTAGTATTGAAGTAGAATTGGGCCGGGCGCTGTGGCTCATGTCTGTAATCTCAGCATTTGGCGGGGATCACCTGAGGTCAGGAATTCAAGACCAGCCTGGCCAACATGGTGAAATCCCGTCTTTACTAAAAATACAAAAATTAGCCGGGCGGTAGTGGCGTGCGCCTGTAATCCCAGCTACTCGGAAAGCTGACGCAGGAGAATCATTTGAGCCTGGGAGGTGGAGGTTGCGGTAAGCCGAGATCGCACCACTGCACTCAACAGAGTGAGACCCTGTCTCAAAAAAAAAAAAAAAAAAAAAAAAAAAAAAGAAAGAAAAGAAAGAAGTAGAAAGTAGAAATGACTTCACTTCTCCTGAATATATGATGGTAAATCAACACCATTGCCAATATTTCCAGGGATTCTGAGCCCACAGGGTTGAGCAAAGATGCTTTTATTTTTGCTAGAGATACTGATGACCAAATTTCCACTGATTTTTCTTGATCTCCACTCTGCATTTTGCCTCTCATCTCTGTTCACCATTTTATATACCTTGTTACCCGATTAGATATTTTCTTTTCCAATCTCTTCACTCTCCCAAATACTACTATGACTTAAGGCAATGGCCATAGCAGGCTTTGTTAAACGTTTAGAGCAATGGAGGGTTGCACTGCACAAAACACAGACAACCACTTAACATTGTGTATTAGAATTCCTTCCTTTTAAATGTGTGTTGGCCATTTTCAGGACTGGGGAACAACATCACTTTGACTTGGGCTCCAGCCTCCTGCTATGATACTGGGTCTTCTCTCTTCTTCCCTTGATTGCCCCTTTCCTCTTTAGTTCAAAGTTCTCCAAACCCCAAATTACTGCTCATTGCTCAGGGAGAGCAGTTTACTTTCATCTCTGTCCCAACTTAGGCCACCCAGCTACCTTACAAGAGCCTCATTTTTATTTATTTATTTTTTTGAGACAGTGTCTGCCTCTATCACCCAGGCTGGAGTGCAGTGGCACAATTTCAGCTCAATGCAACCTCTGTCTCCCAGGCTCAAGCAATCCTCCCACCTCACTCTCCCGACCAGCTGAGACTACAGGCACCCACCACCATGCACAGCTAGCTTTTGTATATTTAGTAGAGATGGGGTCTCACTATGTTGCCCAGGCTGGTCTCAAACTTCTGGGATCAAAGTGATCCACCTGCCTTAGCCTCCCAAAGTGCTGAGATTACAGGCATGAGGCACTTTGCCTGGCCAGCCTTATCTTTTTTTTTTTTTTTTTTTTTGACACGGAGTCTCACTCTTGTTGCCCAGGCTGGAGTGCAATGGCATGATCTCAGCTTGCCACAGCCTCCGCCTCCCAGGTTCAAGCAATTCTCCTGCCTCAGCTTCCCAAGTAGCTGGGATTACAGGCATGTGCCACCATGCCCGGCTAATTTTGTATTTTTAGTAGAGATGGGGTTTCTCCATGTTGGTCACGCTGGTCTAGAACTCCCGACCTCAGGTGACCCAACCACCTCAGCCTCCCAAAGTGCTGGGATTACAGATGTGAGCCACTGCACCCAGCCCAGCCTTATCTTTTTAATAAAACTTTTCGAAGAAGAGATGTTCCAAGACAAGACATTTCTTCCTGAGGGTACTTTGTTTTGTCAGCTTGCTGCAACAGTTGTTCTTCTCCCTCACCCAAGTAATTTAGTAATTTAAAATTTTTAACACTTATACTAAATGTCTATTTCATAGAATATGGAATGTATCTCAATTTTTGAAGTAAAACAAGAAATTAAAAAAAAAAATCTCTACTGCACTGGAACTATTTCACACTACAGCCCCAGGCCCCAAAGGAGGCATGTGTACTTTCTCTCCCTTTCGTGGTTAGGGGCACTTAAGTGGAAGCTTCAGAAGCACTGTTCTCTTTCTGTTTCACTTTTTCGTAATAAAAGTTTTCAAGTGAATGCAAAAGTAAGGTACAAAAAGATAATAAATTTTTATATATTTATAACTCAGTTTCAATAATTATTAACATACGGCCAATGTTATCTCAAACAAATGCCCCTCATCTCCACCCTCTCTCATACTAGATTATTTTACAGTGAATTCCAGATATTATATTCTGTCCATAAATGCTTCATTATTTATATCTAGAAGATAAAGACATGGGACCCTAACTGTCCCATGAAAGTCATTTGACAGTTGTTGAGAAGCACTGTTTTCAGGCATTATGGCCTCTTACAATCCAAAAATGCACACATTTATTAGATCCTTTCATGAGAGTAGTTGGCACTCAGTGATGAAAAAGAGATATTGTTCGAAGACTAGTTCAGCTTTGTTTATTTTATTTTTTTCTTTTTCTGGAGCAAGACATCTCCAGAATAGTCTATTCTCCAGGCTAGCTGAATGACATTTTAATTAGCTCCATGAGCAGTCTCGGCCTTACAAACAACCAATGAACTACTTAATCATACACAAGGCCTCCTCCACACCTGGGCCCTCTCTTGCCAAACAGGGGAGGTTTTAGAGAATCTGTGCGTTCAGGAGTCAAAGGAGAGACAGAGTTGTGCAAAGGAAGGCCAGCTGAGGGGATGGACTCTCCAGAGAGGGATGACTACTACCAAGTCAAGGCTTCCTCACTACCTGAATTGCCCAGCTACTGTGTACCAGAAATCAAGTGATTTTACCAAGTGTAATGTAGCCACTGTTTGCCGTGAGCCCCTGTGGGACAGATGCTTGTCTTGTTGACCTTTGTATCTCCAGCGCCTAGCTCCAAGTCTAGCAAACCAGTGGACTCTTAGAAGACTGAGGCTCCAAGTTCAGACTAGTATCTTCCTGAAACTGGTAGAATCAGGTACACTGGGGGAATTGGGGGCCTTGTTGGGGAGGAGGTGTGGGACGTGGTAGCAAGGGTGGGCAACTTGAATTGTGCCAGCCTGGGTAGTATGGCACAGAGAGGTGCCTCATAGCTCCAGCTCTTCGCGGTGAGGCAGTTAGAGGTGAAATACTGATGCAAAGTGAATGGTCAGAGGGATTTGCTGACAATGTTTGCCTGTTTTAAAGATGTGCCCTGATTTGGCTAATTTCTGGGGACAGAAATTTTTTCTTCTCTCCCTCCTTATTTATTTATTTATTTATTAATTTATTTATTTAGAGACAAATTCTCGCTCTGTGGCCCAGGCTGGAGTGCAGTGGCGCGATCTCGGCTCACTTCAAGCTCCGCCCCCCGGGTTCACGCCATTCTCCTTCCTCAGCCGCCCAAGTAGCTGGGACTACAGGCGCCCAACACCACGCCTGGCTAATTTTTTTGTCCTTTTGGTAGAGACAGGGTTTCACTGTGTTAGCCAGGATGGTCTCGATCTCCTGACCTTGTGATCTGCCCGCCTCGGCCTCCCAAAGTGCTGGGACAACAGGCGTGGGCCACCGCGCCCGGCCTTCTCCCGCCTTATTTCAGATGTATGCTGTATGGTCTTTTGTTGTTAAAAAGGCTCTTTAGGGATGGCCCAGGAACTGCCAGAATCAGGGTTGGGGTTGAGGGGAGGGGTAGGCCAAACTGGAGAAGGCAAAGGCTGGGAATCCAGCCCGACATGCCAGATATGCAGGGGGAGTTAGTTGAGAATCCTCTGAATGAGAGTTAGAGGCCTTTCTTACCAGATGTAGAAATTTAGATAAATGTGCTATACTATTAAAGTTCATGACATTAAATGAGGTAATTCAAATATGGTTCCCAGGGCTAAAAACAAGCAAACAAAAATATCTTGGAGGAATGTGGCCTTTGCATCTTCGGGGATGGGTGCAGGACCTGACATATAGTAGGTGCTCAATAAATGTTTGTTGAAGGGACAAAAGGGTAAAATTAAAGAATAGACACAAAAATACATTTAAGTTCTCAAAGCTTTTGTTACACGGCAGATTTGCCTGTATTTGGCTATATTTGCTACAGCCACATGAACCAGTGAACAAAAGGTGGTTTGAAGTCTTGTGAGCTTTTTTAACCAGCAAATAGATGTGTAAAATAGCACTCATTGTCCAAACTAATCCCAGAGAAAGCCTCACAATGAAAATATCATGGTAGGGTAATAGTAAGGACACGTTTGGGTGGATTAAGTCTAAAATATTCTTTAGTTTTATTTATTTATTGAGATGGAGTCTCGCTCTTGTCGCCCAGGCTGGAGTGCAGTGGCGCAATCTTGGGTCACTGCAACCTCTGCCTCCCAGGTTCGAGTGATTCTCCAGCCTCAGCCCCCCAAGTAGCTGGGATTACAGGCACCTGCCACCACACCCAGCTAATTTTTGTATTTTTAGTAGAGACAGGGTTTCACGTTATTGGCCAGGCTGGTCTCGAACTCCTGACCTCAGGTGATCCACTTGCCTGGGCCTCCCAAAGTGCTGGGATTACAGGTGTGAGCCACCATACCCGGCCTATTTTTCAGTTTATTAATTTGAGTCTGGTCGACTAAGGTTTCTTAGAAGTGAACTTTATAAGGAAAGTAGAAAAATAAATGCATAAAACAAAAACCTAATGTGCCAAAATGTGTGGGATGCAGCTAAAGCAGTGTTTGGGGGAGGGGGGCATTTATAGCTAAAAGCCTACATTAGAAAAAAAAAAAAGATCTCAAATCAGTAACCTAATCTTCCATCTTAAGAAACCAGAAAAAGAAGAGCAAACTAAACTCAAAGGAAATAGAAGATGGGTAATCACCATGATAAAAAGGGAAATAAATAAAATAGAAAAACAATAGAGAAAAGTAATGAAACCACAAGTTGGTTTTTTGAAAAGATCAAGAAAATGGGTAAACCTTTAGCTAGCCTGATCAATGACTAAAAGAGAGAGAGAGAGAGAGAGGACACAAATTACTGAAATCACGAATGAAAGTGGAGACGTCACTCTCAACTTAAAGAAATTAAAAGAATTCTAGAGGAATACTGTGAACAACAGTATGCCAATAAACTAGTTAACGTCGGGAAACATTCCTAGAAAGACATGAATTACTGCAACTGACTCACGAAGAGATAAAAAATAAATGTGTGTGCATAAACTTTTTTTCTGGAAAAGTATTTGCCCTTTAAGAATTATTTTTCTTCAGCTGGGCGCGGTGGCTCACGGCTGTAATCCCAGCACTTTGGGAGGCCGAAGCGGAGGATCACGAGGTCAGGAGATCCAGACCATCCTGGCTAACACGGTGAAACCCCGTCTCTACTAAAAATACTAAAAATTAGCCGGGCGTGGTGGCGGGCGCCTGTAGTCCCAGTCCCAGCTGCTCGGGAGGCTGAGGCAGGAGAATGGCATGAACCCGAGGGGCGGAGCTTGCAGTGAGCCGAGATGGTGCCACTGCACTCTAGCCTGGGCGACAGAGTGAGACTCCATCTCAAAAAATAAAAATTAAAAAAAAGGAATTATTTTTCTTCTAACATATGTACAATGCAGGTAAAGAAATGAAGTACAGATAAACAAAAAAGAGGAAATAACTTCATGACCAAAGGTAAGCACACTGACAACTTTTTCTTTTTTTAAAGAGACAGGCTGAAGTGGCACAATCATAGCTCTCTGAAGCCTTGAACTCCTGGGCTCAAGCAATCCTCCTGCCACAGTCTCCCAAATAGTTGGGACTACAGGTGTGCACCACTATGCCCAGCTAATTTTTTTATTTTTTTTGTAGAGATGGAGTCTCACTATGTTGCCTAGACTGGTCTGAAATTCCTGGCCTCAAGTGATTCTCCTGCCTTGGCCTCCCAAAACATTGGGATTACAGGCGCAAGCACCCAGCCCACTAGAACATTTTGAAATGAAACCTGCAAATATGTGAACATGTAGATGTATATAACAGGGTGTTAAAATTGGGCTCTTCTCGCTTACTTTTGGTGAAAGCTCTAAAGGCTGATAACAATACAATAGATACCCAAGGATTCCCACATCTTAAATATCCAAATTGGGTGCCTATTCCTCCTATGTAACCTATGTAGAGGTAACTTGAGAGATTATGAAACTGATTCTGCAGGAAATAAGCAGTCAATGAAAAGTGAGGGCTGAAGCATTAGTGAGCCAAGATTTCATGGAAAGCCTGTGAGTGGGCTGCGTCCCACCTTCCTCCCAGGGGAAGAGGAGGGAGTGCATGCCCTCACCCCAAGCCAGTGAGAGGGCCTTCCAGAGACCCCCTTAGAGAGTTTCACATGGGCTCCCTGAAGTTTGCGGACTGGTGTCTGCCTTTTGCCAAGAGAAGCCTACAGGTGAGACTGTGGCTAGAACTAAATGGGGGTGGCAATAAAGAGACAGAAGTGGCTGACAAAGATGCATGAGTTTTACTGGGAAGTCATGCGGACCTGGGGAGGGCGCTGGCCTGGGTTGTTTTAAAGGAGAACCACACAAGAGGACTCCTGAGGAGGGGGTAAAAGGCCAAAACAAGAGGGTTAATGTAAAGGAGATTGCTGGAAACCCTGGGTTGAAGGGAGAAGTGGAAGCTTCCAGCTGGAGGAGAGACAGCGTCCTCCATAAACGATTTTGGGGGCAACTTGCAAAACCATCTGCCAGAGAAAGAGCCTGCAAAGGTGCCTCTGTCACACCTCCAGGAACTAATGGTGGCTCTGGACAGTGCCTGCCAGGAAAGATGGCGTCCATCCCCCCCATCCCTATCCTCAGGGACCCACCTTGAGGGGCCAGAGACCAAAGGCAAGAGGACAAGCTGTGAGAGGGAGGATGGCAACCACTAACCCTAAATCCTCACTTCTTCAGCTTGCAAGCTTGAAGTAGGTTGGCCTGGAGGAGGAGAGTCCCTTTCAGTTGAAAGCAGTTCAGATTGGGCTGGACATTTTAATTATTGAAGACAGTCCAGCTGACTGAAAGGGACCAGAAGGCTTTGAGATCTGCCTGAGATTTCATGCAGGGGCAGGAAAAGGGCAAATCCCGAGAGAATTTGAAATAAATGTAGGAAAAAGGAAATCATTGCTTTATTATTGCATTTGTGCTTGTCTTGTTCAACAAAGTAGTAACAAATATTTTTAAAAGGTGGGTTTTTTTTTTTGGTTTGTTTTTTTTTTTTTTTTTTTTTTTGAGACAGGGTCATTCTGTCACCCAGGCTGGAGTGTAGTGGTACAATCTCAGCTCATTGCAGCCTCGACCGCCTAGGCTCAGGTGATCCTCCCAACTTCGCCTCCTGAGAAGCTGGGACTACAGGCACCTGCCACCACACCCAGCTAGTTTTTATATTTTTAGTAGAGACAGGTCTCACTATGTTGCCCAGGCTGGTCTCAAACTTCTGGGCTCAAAGTGATCGGCCCGCTTTGGCCTCTCAAAGTGCTGGGATTACAGGCATGAGCCACCATGCCCAGCCTAGAAAATATTTTTAAACAAGTTTTGAATCATACTGGTTTCTTTTTTTTTTTTTTTTTTTTTAGACAGAGTCTCGCTCTGTGGCCCAGGCTGGAGTACAGTGGCGCGATCTCTGCTCACTGCAAGCTCCGCCTCCCAGGTTCACACCATTCTCCTACCTCAGCCTCCCGAGCAGCTGGGACTACAGGCACCCGCCACCGTGCCTGGCTAATTTTTTGTATTTTAGTAGAAACGGGGTTTCACCATGTTAGCCAGGCTGGTCTCGATCCTCTGACTTCAGGTGATCCGCCCCCCTCAGCCTCCCAAAGTGCTGGGATTACAGGCGTGAGCCACCGCACCCGGCCCATACTGGGTTCTTATATAAATAAAATGGCTTAGCGTATGTAGCGCTCCTGGCATGATGTTTGACACATAATAAATGCTCCATAAGTGTTAGTATTATTATTACTACTACTGTTTTGTAATCTGCCTTTTCTCACTTAATATACCCTAAATGTATTTTTATGTCAATAAATACACTTACGGCAGATAACTAGAACATGAGTTCCACACCGTTCTATTTACTAATGTATCCTTCTATTTACAACAGTGCTTGGCACTGTTGTGGATGCAATGTGGTGCTGTATGGAATGTACAATATTTATTCAGTGATCTGTTATTATTGCTTAGAATATGTTGGAAACAACCACATCGAAGTGGATTCCAATCTTCCGTTATTATAAACCAGACTCTAACAAACATCCTTACTTTTGCATCTTTGTGTATATCCTTAATTGTTTTCTTGGTATAAATTCTTAGCAGAGGAACTGCTAGGTCAAAGGGTATGAACATTTTGTTCAAACTTGGGAAATTGTCGCCAAATTGTCCTCCAGAGGGATTTTGAGGTTAAGGAAGAAATAGAAATTTCTAAGTATAGAGATTATTTTTATTATCTTGGCATATCTCTGGATATTTCCCAGTTCCAAGAGTTTGGGATGGCTTTAGCCCAAAAAGGATTTCTGCAAGAAAATCTTTGCAGAAATAAAATAAAAACATATTTCAGTAATTTTTTTCTAGGCATAGTTGACGGAATAAAATGGAAGGGAAAACAGAGCATTTAGCAATAGATGCAGCTGTAACTCCTCAGCCCAAGAAACCTCAGCTCTGAAAAGAACAGAGTCCTCTCCTGGCATTACAGAGAAGAATTACAAGTCAAAATACAACTATGTATTGAGCACTTTCTAGGTATGGCACTGTGCGGCTGTCATGGACAGACACTGCTTGACACATTCCTCCTTCTGCACTGACTTCAGAGTGCACTGGCCTGTCTGTGTTCCCACTCTCTCCCCTTGCCCCATGCCTGGACTGTAAGCTCTCCAGAAAAGGGAACTTGTTGGTTTCATCTTGCATCCCTGGCATACTGCATTGTATGTTTGCAAAACTGAGCAGAACTACCCTAGGAGAATTCCAAAAGGATTGGTGCAAGCTCTGGAAAACACACAAACTTATATGCGTTTGAATGACTAAAGTCAAAAGTGTGAGAGGCTAAATAAAACACTGGCATCTTGATTTCTCACAGAAGAGACTCAAGCAATTTGGGGGATTTTGAGCCCCTTATCCTCAGATGGGTCTGCTGTCCCAAGATTTAGTTTAGTACCAGGATCTAGTCACAATGGATCATGGTGACTAGATCCTTCCCTCTGCTCCCTTGCATAAAATAGCAGCCTAAGATTGAAGCACACAGGAACTTGAGCCCATAACCCAAGCAACCCAAAAGATTGCCTACCTCTCTTAGAACCTGTGAGTTGAATCTGTGTTTGGGGGCTGCAGGAGGTTCCCCAGACATTGTCAGTGGGTGAAACAATGTGGTAGAGATGGCTAGCTGCCTACCCAATATCCCTTCACTTTGGCTTTCTCACTATAGAGCCAATATTATTAGAGACAGCAAAGCACCTAACTAAAAAGTTCTATTTCCAGGCCTGCTTTGAGGACTGGGATGGCCAATGAGATATAAAGAGAGTTGTTGGGTGGGACTTCCAGGGATACTTCTAAAAGAGGTTAATTCATCTACTAGGTGGCTTTGCTCTTCCTGCCTTCCTCCTTTTTTACTTCTTTCTACCTAGATCACAGATGCAATGGTTGGAGCTTCAGCAACCATTCTGTTACCATGGATTTGAAGATGGAAATCAACGCTAAATAGGGGTGTTAAAGCAGAAAAGGTAGGAGGCTTGGACACACCAACCTGAGACTGCTAACTGCCAAATTTATCTTATTTGAGAGAAAAACAAACCCCTATCTTGTTTAAGCTATTGTCAGTTGAGGACTCTGTAGTAATGACCAAAGGTAATTGCTAATGAATGGCTTTCCATGGGTTGAAGGGCACTGTACTAAGGGCACTTTGGAATTTTTTTTTAGAGAGATTGCATTTTTGGTTGTCACAATGAATAGGAAAACTACTTGGATTTAATAGATGAGAGCCTAGGAGGTACCGTCCCAGATGTTCATGTGGGTTCAAAGCAACAACAACAAAATATTGATAATCAATTACCTGTGCCTTGAACCTAACTATATTTTCCATGTAAAAACAACATATTTTTTGCGTGGATTCAGACATACCTAATTTTCCATGAATTTAACTGTTACATAAAACAAATAAATCTTGAACTTTGCTTTTTGGACCTTTACTAGGATTTGTTCACCTTTTACAGAGTTATATTAGCATTGGCAACACTAGCTGTATTCAGTATAACACACCTGTATTAATCTGTGTTTATAGTTGTCCTGTTTATGGTGGATGTATGAATAAGTATAGAATTTGACTCCTTCATCACATCTTCTCGGGTAGCTAGTTCTAAGCATTTCCTTATTGAAATACATATTACTTTATTATAAATTAACTCCCTTTTATTTCTCCTTTGCATCTTTCCAGGGAAGGCCTTACGCTGATTCTATTTTTGAGAAGTTATGTGTAGGTAGATTATATTATCTATAAACTTAATTGCAGGATCATAATAATTGCCCTACAAATTTAGCGGGGAGAGAGCTTTGCTCTTGACCATGCCTGTTGTTCTAACTGATACCAATGAATACACACTCAGCCCTTTGTCTGCCTTCTTTGCTTTAGTGCTAAGAGGCAGAAAGGACTGACAATAGCGAGCTAAGCCTTTGGGGTCTGTATTTCAAATAAAACAGGAGTGATTTTTACATTCATCAATGGCAAGCCTGGGTTTGGACACAAATGCAAAAGATGCCTCCTATGCAATGTCATTTGAGAGCTAATTCTCTCTGAGGGTTAAATATTAATCCAGGATCTTCCATGAACTGTTCTGCACACACTAGTTTATTAGAGGACACAGATTGGGATAGGACTCTCTGTTGATATGGGGGAGGCAGGGCCGACACAGCTCTGGAACTCCAGGCGCTCAGAAAGGGAAAGAGGGGGAGGTGAAGAAACCACACTGGCCATCTGGGGGTAGGAAGGAGTGCCAAGGGAAGCAGCATGCACAGGGCCACTGAGAGGACTTGCGGCCAGTGATACCAACCTCACCGTTTGCCTTGGTCAGCTCGCTGGGGTGACTGAATTAACCACATCTCTCTCTCCTTAATTGGAGCAGATAATTGGCAAGCTGGCTTTGTGCACAGGAAATGTGTTCAGATAGATTTGGCGGAGTGTGGCAGGAAGAATGGGGACCACCTGATTTCATCTTGTGCCAAGGAGGGCGACACAAAGCGCCAGTGTCTCCTATGGAGCCTGGCCCAGGCAGAGCATTGGGGGCAGAGAGCCCTGTGCAAACCCACAGGCCGGTGCTCCCTTCAGGAACCTCAGCTGGCTGGGCTGAACTGGGAGCATGCTGGAGCAGCTGATGCTCAGGAGCCCTGGGGCGGGCTCTGTGGTTCAGCTGCTTTGTGACTTTGGCCATGTAATTTAACCTCTCTGTCTGTTTCCTCATCTGCAAAACAACTGAAAAAGAAATGTTATAACGCCTTTAAGATTATGTCACTCCATCCCATGCAACCCACAGATGCTGCTTGAATGCCTACTCTGTGGGTAGAGCTGCTCTGGGAGCTCTGCCTACTTCCTGTTGATCCCTTGTAGGAGTGAGAGGAGTGTAAAACACAAAGATAAACCATAAACAAATCACTGCAGGGCCATTTAAATCTTCACCTTCTCCCCAGAAAAGTCTTCAGCACTTTCACGCCAGGTTGGAAAATATGGCCAAACCTCCTCCCTCAGCCCTTTGCCCAACTCTTTTTCAGAAGTACCCCCAGGAGAGGGATTATTTAGAGATAGTTGTTGCCAGGGTGACAGAAACCAAACATCAACAGAAGTGTCACTATTTCTAAGGACACTTTGAGTGAAGTGCTCATCTGATGACCGACCCCATGACTGCCAGAGGCTCTTTTCCAGCTTTTTGGAATCTTTATCTTAGAAAACCCTTTGTTGTTGTGAAATGCTCTCAGGTCCAGAAAGGAAGTGAGGGTCAGTCAGCAATGCAATCGCAACCCCCTCAGTACACACAAGCAGCACTGTGGAATAGCAACTGTTTTTGAAGGACTCATCTTCATTTGACCCTGGCTTAGAGTTGGTCTATGAGGGCTGTTTCCTGGGGATTTCCACCTGAACTGCAAAGAGCCCTGGCCCCAGCTCATGCCACGTGGAGGATGGAGACAGCTGTATTTCTTGTGTGACTTTCTCTGTGTGGCAAGAGGTAGATGAAGGGAGTCAAGGACAGAGCAAGTCTCTCTACAATCCTGAGCATCAACATAGCAACAGAAGCATTTTGTGACTTGTGTTCCTAAGGGTAAGTTTAGGACAAATTACCAAAGCACATAGAATACACATTTGTAACTGACATTATTATCATTATTTTGCTTTTAGCTCAAGATTTATTCTTCATGATCTAGCAGTTATTCAAATGAGCATTTTCTTTTAGTAAAATCATTTGGCTTAGAGCTATCCATCTATTAATATTACCATTCATTACAAACATTTGAAAGCAGACATGCATTTGTATTTTTTTAAATTAATCTTAGTTATCATGCATAGTTGGGTTTGAATTACAGACACTTGCAAGCTCATAAAAACTGTAAGGGGGATAAATTCATAAAATTTATTTTGCAAATAAATAAGCTGTAAGAATCATCAAATATCTCCAAAGATAAAATGAATCAGGGAGTCACATGTCATTCTAATGACCAGCTTGTTAATCAGAGATTCCATAATTACATTCCTCACTGCACTGTTGTTGTTGTGAGGCTTCAATAAGAATATCAAGTTCTTGGTGCCCAGTAGGCATCTAATAAATGAGAGTTGTTATTAATATGTTTAATCCTCAAAAACAGACATACCTACAAAGACACACACACACACACACACACACACACACACACACACACACACTTATGGTCCTTTTAAAGGAATTCCATCTTTGGTGGAGACAGATGGATACCCCCTTCAGACCCTGAGCGTGAACATTGAATATCTATTCTTTGCTTTTTTGGAGCCTGGGTCATCTGAATACAATAAATATCCCTGAGAGCCTCTGTGAGTTCAGCCCTGGCTAGGTCAGCCCCTGAACACACACTACCAGGCTAACTGGGAAAACAAAACATCTAAGTAGGAAAAACATCCCAAGACTGCATCTGAGTAAGTAATAACTATTCTGTGGCATAGATGGGGTTTGAAGTTCAAGATCCACCTGGAATACAATTGCAAGTGCTGTGCAGAAAGACTCTGTGGGGCCAGGTGCGGTGGCTCATGCCTGTAATCCCAGCACTTTGGGAGGCCGAGGCAGGTGGATCACTTGAGCTCAGGAGTTCAAGACCAGCCTGGGAAATATGGCGAAACCCCATCTCCACAAAAAAATTAAAAAGTAGCCAGACATGGTGGTGCATGCCTGTCATCCCACCTACTCAGAAGGCTGAGGTAAGAGGATCACTTGAGCCCAGGATGTGGAGGCTGCAGTGAGCCATGATCATGCCATTGCATTCCAGTCTGGGCAGCAAAGTAAGACCCTATCTCAAAAAAAGAAAAAAAAGAATTTTCCTCCCGGTCCTGGAGGAGGAATATCTTCAAAACTGCCTGGAAGTTCTGGCTCCTGTCTGGGGTACACCTGAACAGGACCCTCTTTACCAGCCCTATCTGCTCCCTCTGCTCACATAACTGGTTCAACAGCCACACTCCTCATTTCTGTCCCCAAATAGAATGTATGCTTATGTGTGTGGCTTTTCACATGCTGTACCCTATGCCTAGAATGCCTTTCCTCCCATTCCCCCTAAAACTTCTATCAAAGCTTAGAGCCACCCTGAATTGCTCTCCTCTCATAACCCACATCCTGTCTGCCAAGACATCCAGGTGGGCTTCTATATGCTGCCTTCAGAAAACACCTAGAATCTGCCTTTGAGTCACCATATTGGTAGTGAATACCTAATCTCTGAACATGTCCTCTCTTACCTGAATCACTGCAAGAGCTTCCTAAATGTTCCCTGCTTCTGCCCTTGCTTCCCTGGCCCCCTGTATGCTCTCAACACAGCAGCCAGAGTGACCTCCTTGCAACACAGTCAGATCATGTCATATCTCTGCTCAGAATTCTCCAAAGCAGAGGTGGGCTGGAATGGCAAGCATTAGTTAGTGAGGGCCAATCCTGCACATCTCTCCCCTATCTGTGGTCAGGAATGCCACACTCATGGCTTGAAATAGGCCAAGGTGGGAGATTTACCACAGAAATTGGCAAATGCTACAAACCAGGGCTTTTTATTTTTATTTTTCTGAGACCTAGTTGGCCAGCATACCGCTGCTCCTATGATGGTACATTTCTCTCAGAGTCAAAGTCCAGGTCTTTAAAACTCCCCACAAGGCCCTCTGCAATCTGACCTTCTCTCCTCCTTCCTTGCCCTCTGCTCCAGTCACACTGACCTTGCTGCTCTTCAAACATGCCAGCACATTGTAGCGTCAGGGATTTTTGCCCTGGCTGCTCCCCATGTCTGGATCACTTCCCCCAGGTAACCATACCTGGGCTCTGCTTATTCCTTCTCTTATGGTAAGTTCTTGCTCAAATGTCACCTTCTCCTTGAGGCTTACCTGACCACCTCCCCAAAAATGCTAAACCCCTCTCCAACTCTCCTGACCTCCTTACACTGTTCTATTTTCCCCACAGCATTCTAACCCGCTATAGAATGCACTTACTTATTCTATTTTTTATTCATATTTATGCGCGGCATCCCTCCCCGCCACCCCACTAGAATACCACCTCCATGAGGGCAGGGCCTGTTTTCTTCCCTGATGCATTCCAGCACCTATAAGGGTGCCTGGCACCCAGAAGGCACTCAGTAAGCATTTATTGGCTGACCGGCTAACCTGATCTTCAAATGCCCACCTGCTCTGTATATCTTCCCTAAACTTAGCACCTTCCTGCCTTCCTCCTCTCCATCCCCAGAAGGTCCAGGCTTTTGTCCCTCTATGTTAGTGGAGTCCTCTTTGTACATGAAGCTGCTAAAGTGCTTCTGTTGCACCATAATGATTTTCTTACTAATGGCCTCCCCCATCAGCTGGCTATGTCTGAGCTCTTCAAAGCCATCTCCAGCACCTATCCCAGTGCCTGGCACATGCACCACCCCATTGGTCTATTAAATGAACATATGAATGTATAGAGGAACAGTAGCCAGAATTTAATTTTTCACATTGATTCCTTTTCTCCTCCAGAGGCCCCCTTTGGTGATAGCTCTGCTAGGAAGGCCTAGAGCAGGGAGGGACTGGGAGATATCATAGAGGGAGGCAAAAGGGGTGCTTCTGGACTCTATGCTCTGAGCAGTCTGGTTATGACTATCATGCTCCTGCCACTTCTCTGCTCAGCCGTTACTCCTGCCTTTCATAAGCTCTGATCTCCCTTGATCCCTGGCTAGGGTCAGCTTTACACACAGGGAAAGAAGACTGCTGACCGTGGTGTGATGCCAAGGCTTCAGGAAGGGTTCTCATTCCCAAATACTTTCTTTCTCTTTGTGCCACTTTCCTTGGAGTCTTCTTGGAAAGCAAAGCCTCAGCTACCTGGTTCACTGCTTGAGGTCGTGATGGATGCGTAGAGTATTTTCAGTTTTTCAAAAGGTTTTATGGAAATGCTGTTGTTTCTGTGTTGCTCAGAGTCTAGTGGGGGAGTCGGAAGCATGGGGTTATGGTTGTGGCAGAAGCTTCCAAGGAAAAGCTCAGGATGCAGGAAGAATGCCTGAGGGGAGGCCTTTGGCTGGGAGCACGGAGGGGTCCAGGAGAGGAACTCTTCAGGCAGAGCCAACAGCATCTCGGTGAGCACAGGGCAGTGGGGACCGAGAGGCCGCCCGGGCTGGAGGGCAGTGAACACGGGCAGCGCAGAGTGGCACCGAGGAGGGAGGGGCTGATTGTGCAGGCCCCTAGGCCATGACAGGGCTTCTGCTTTTTACTGGAGGCCACAGGGAGCCATCCGAAGCTGCCCCCTCTAAAGGATTTTCTTGAGCGGGAAGTGGCAGGATCAGATCTGCGATTGAGAGAAGCCCTCCCTCTCTCATCCTCCCGCTCAAGCCCTGTGTCCTCTAAAGCCCTGGCTCACGGAGCAGGAAGGTGGCCTGGAGCCCAGCAGGCACTCAGTGCATGGCCAGAGGGAACGGGAGGCCCAGGGGTGTGCAAGAGAATGGGCGCCCGAGCCTGCAGAGCGCCTGGCAGTTTAGAGCGGTCCCGCCATCTTCGGGGTCTTCCCTGCCACAGAGGCTTCTGAAGGTCGAGGCCCCTCGTCTGTCCCCAGTGACGCCCCTGTCCACACGGGCCAGCTCACTCCTGCTCTGCTAGCCAGGCCTATCCAGGACAAAGAAGGGGCTGTGCCCCTGCAGAGAGGGGGGTATCCTTTCCCAACCATCAAGTGAGAAGGAAGGGTCCACACCCAAAGCTAAGCCCCAGGGGAAGACAGGATGTCCCAACACATCCTGTAGAAGCACCTAGTCATCTTCCAGTTACCAATTTGCCTTACTTGTTCTGTTCAAATAGGGTAATTGTTTCCCCAAAAAGACTTGGGTATAGTGGAATGAAGTCACCAGAGACGTGCCTAAACAATGACAAACACCGGTCCTGGGTGCGCCGAAACCCTGGTAACCAGTTACTCAGACTGCGGGGCTGATTTTATCTTTCCTGAAGCAGCCGCGGAGCAAATTCAGTGATGGCACGCCCCCTGGTGGTGATACGAGGTTCTACCAGGCAGAAAGGACCGTTCTGGGGAGCGACTCCTCTGGGTGGAACGGAGAACGGGAGGAGGAGGAGGTTTCCGGACGTTCTCAGCGGCACATATTCATGGCTAATAATAAATGTTGATCTGTTGATTGAAATATGAAATAAAAGTGATTAATATAACCATTAGTAATCAAGGTATTGGAATGTGAGAATTTTAATAAAAGGTAAATCATCAGCCAAGGCAGGAAGAAAGCAGGGAGAGTTGGTCTGATAAGAGAAATAACTTTTGAGAGCGTCCATATACTTTCTGCTTTGACACTGTGGGTATTATATACTGTCTTTGTTTACCTAAGGCAGCCTCTCTTTTTATTTTGAAATTTTTCAAATATACACAAAACAGTGAAAAGAACTATAAATCCCCACATACCTACCACCCAAGTTCTGGAATATCAAGTTTTTGTCACTCTTGCTTTATGTATCCGATTTTATTTTATTTTATTTTATTTTGAGATGGAGTTTCACTCTTGTCCCCCAGGCTGCAGTGCAGTGGCGCGATTTCGACTCACTGCAACCTCCGCCTCCCAGGTTCAAGCGATTCTCCCGCCTCAGTCTTCTAAGTAGCTGGGACTACAGGTGCATGCCCGGCTAATTTTTGTATTTTTAGTAGAGACAGAATTTCTCCATGTTGGCCAGGCTGGTCTTGAGCTCCTGACCTCAAGTGATCTGCTCACCTCGGCCTCCCAAAGCGCTGGGATTACAGGCGTGAACCACCGCACCCGGCTGGCATGTTCTTACATAGCCACACGCCCTTATTTCATCAAAAACATTATGTAGGCTGGGCGCCGTGGCTCACGCCTGTAATCCCAGCACTTCGGGAGCCCGACGGGGGTGGATCACGAGGTCAAGAGATCGAGACCATCCTGGCTAACACGGTGAAACCCCGCCTCTACTAAAAATACAAAAAATTAGCCGGGCGTGGTGGCGGGCGCCTGTAGTCCCAGTTACTTGGGAGGCTGAGGCAGAATGGCGAGGACCAAGGAGGCGGAGCTTGCAGTGAGCTGAGACCGGCCACTGCACTCCAGCCTGGGCGAAAGTGCAAGACTCCGTCTCAAAAAAAAAAAAAAAAAAGAACATTTTATAATTCCTTGGAGTCATCTAAATCAAGCTCGTTCAACCCGTGGCCTGCGAGCCACATGCAGCCCAGGACGGCTTTGAATGCAGCACAACGCAAATTCGTAAGCTTTCTTAAAACATCATGAGATTTTTTGGTGTGATTTTTCCTTTATCAGCTCATCAGCTATCGTTAGTATTAGTGTATTTTATGTGTAGTAAAAGAATTCTTCTTCCACTGTGGCCCAGGGAAGCCAAAAGATTGGACACCCCTGATCTAAATGACCATACAAACAGTCTACATTTAGGCTTTCTTGAAAACTTATTGCAGTTGTCTGGTTGTTAGGTCTCTCTATCTCTCTCTTTCTCCTCTCTCTCCCTCCCTCCCCTTCTCTCTCTCTCCACCTCCCATTCCTTGTCCTCCCCTTCCTCCCTAACTGACTTATCCTTACATATAGTGAAACGCACAGGTATTAAGCATACAATTTAATGAGTGTTGACAAATGCTCACACCTGGTAACCCACACCCTCATCAAGATAGTGAACATTCCCATCACCTCAGAAAGTTACCACCTGTGCTTTGGCAGCGAACTGTGTCCTCACCCCCAAACCGCTTATCTGATTTCTTTCACCATGGATAAGTTTTGCCTGTTCTAGAATTTTATATAAAATGCACGCTTGCAGTGTGTAGTCTTTTTGAGTATGGCTGTTTGTGCTCAGCATGATATTCTTGAGGTTCATCTGTGTCTTTACTGAGTTGCATTCCATTGCTCGCATTTACTACAATTTGTTTATGCACTCTCCTCTTACTGAGCATCTAGATTGTTTCCAATTTAGGCTATTATGAATAAAGCTGCTATAAATATTTTTGCATAAATCTTTTTATGGACATATGTTTTCAGAGTGTACACTTATGTTTAGCTTTATGAGGAAAAACTTGTCTCATCTAAAGCACTTCTTGGTCTCCCTTTTTGTTCAGTTGTCCAATAGTTCAATATTCTGCACATACCCGTCAGCTTCCTTGTGGTATCACTTACCTGGTCCCTGCTCTGATTTCTAGATTTTGTTTGTTGTTGTTTTTTTTTTTTTTTTTGGAGACATGATCTCACTCCGTCACCCAGGCTGGAATGCAGTGGTACAATCACAGCTTACTGGCAGGTTTAAACTCCTCAGCTCAAGCCAACCTCCTACCTTAGCCTCCCAAGTAGCTAGAACTACAGGTGTATGCCACCATGCCCAGCTAAGCATTAGAAAAAGGTTATCTTTTGTAGAGATGGGGTCTCCCTATGTTGTCCAGATTGGCCTTGAACTCCTGGCTTCAAGCGATTCTCCTGCCTCAGCCTTCCAAAGTGCTGGATTACAGGCATGAGCCACTGAGCCTAGTCAAAATTCTGAAGGAAAATGCTGGAGTTTTTATAAACTGAAAGTTGGATCTAAAACCTGGAGGAGGGAGGCAGAGGTTGCAGCCAGCTGAGATCACATCACTGCATTCTAGCCTGGGTGATGGAGTCAGACGCTGTCTCAAAATAAAAAAATAAAACCTGGAGAAGACACACGTTAGTCACTATGGCAAGAATGACTCAGAAGTGATGCTATATTGTTTATCCTGCATCTCATTAGAAAGCACGTAAGTGGCATGCTTGCCCCACTTGCAGTTAAGACAATAAGACTGATCAGTAGATCTAAGGAGTGGAGGCCTGATTCCTCACTGTATCCTCCATCAACCTCTCATCTTTTGGCTTCAGATGATCTTTACCTTGAATAAATTCCTTTGTTAAGGATTACAAAATAGTGGCTTTTGAAATTCTGTCATCTCTCTACATTTATTATCTGGAATTCTTCTGTAAAGAAGCTTCCTTTATCAACTTTCCGTCATTGTCATTTGGCAAAGGCGGGAAAATGTGTAACTATTTGTCTGTAATTGCATGTGTCACTAGCAGTTTTAATTCACTAGCAATTTTAGTTGCTAGTGAAAAGTTTTAATCTGGCTGATTGTTAGAAACTTTCTAAAAGCTAAGACAAGAAAAGCTCTCATAATGAAGTATTATTCAAAATGTAAGTATGAGAGCTCCCTCATCTTGCTTTAAGAAAAAGATACATAATATAGAAAAACATTGACATATCAATGGACTTGGATCCACTCTGGGCTAAACAGTTATAATTGTAATGATAATAACTACTAACATTTAGGGAACATTTCTTATCGATTTAAATTAATAATTAAATTGAATTAATGTTTGTGATAAGTTATTGAGAAGATAAAAGTACTAGTCATTGTGCAGTCTAGAGGGCTTTAATCAAGTTAGATTTAACTTTTCCCCTTGAGGAAATCATGGATTCGTTTTATTGAGTAGACATTTACTGAGCATTCACTTCACTGGTAAAACAAAGATGAATTAGACCCAGACACTATGAGGCCTCAAGGGGCCTAATAGATGAATTTTGTCTCACTGGTTCCTGGGACTTGCTTTGGTCAGATATTTATGGTCTCTGTTGTGGTATGTACAAAGAACACCCTGAAGCGCTTGGCAACACCCTGAGGTCAGATATCACCTGCCCTATAGGCAGGTGACAAATAACCGGCTCTGGGATGGGGGAAGGGAGAAGGTTTGATTGGTAACATTTGCCTATTTCCGTGGTGCAAATACAACCACCATGGCCTGTTTCAACCTGCCAAAATAATGTCACTGAATGCCGAGTTGCAAAGATATGCATAGCACACCATTATATAGTATTTCCACTATACAGATACAATAGAGGTAAATAACGTCACAAGCATAGATAATGATTAAATAGAGTAAAATAAGGAAGGGATGAGCTTTGAGTATTTATTATCTTTGTAATATAACTTAATTGTAAGTTTATATAATTTAATTTTTAATGATGACTATGTTTAACAAGTGGCTTGCACAATTTCTGAAAATTTAACAGCTCTAGAGAGCCAGTATGTATGAGCCTGCTCCAGCACACCACTGCTTACACTCATGCAGTATTACAAGATAGCCATTGTATTATACTCATGGAGCTGGGGACTTGGAACAATGTGGCTGGGATGACACTCTGCGTGGGGATGGTCAGTGGCCTTAGGGCATGGTAGAAGAGAGGAGCTTAGTACAGTAATATGGGTTATTTCCTTGTCTCTTCTGTGGGGGTTATTTAGTTTCCATCTACTGGTATAAAAATTATCCTAAACTTAGTGCTTTAAAACAATACAAGTTTATTATCTCACAGTTCTGGAGGTCAGAAGTCAGAAAGTGTTCTCACTGGGCTAGAATTAATGTGTCTGCAGGGCTGTGTTGAAGGCTCTGAGGGAGAATCCTTTTCCTTACCTTTATCAGCTTCCAGAAGCCACCCACAGTCTTTGGCTTGTGTCCTCTTTACTCCGTCTTCAATGCTGGTAAAAACTTAGCAATGTTAGTCAAGTCCTTTCCCATTGCCATCTCTTTGGTTTTTCAATTTGAATAGCTGATTAGCAACCTTAACTCCATGTGCAAACTTAATTCCCCTTTGCCGTGTAACCTAACACATTTTTAGGTTCCAGGGACTAGAATGTGGCTATCTTTGAGAGTCCATTATTCTTCCTAACACAGGGGTGCTGACAGATATCTCCAGCTGGCTCTGCACACACTGTATTCTGGGAGGACCTTCTGGAGAAGGTGCTTGGAGCCCTAGAAGGTAAGATACAATGAGAATCCCATGGAAGCTGCTGATTTGCCTTGGCTAATCAGCAAGTAGAAATAAGTGTTAGGAAGAAAATAAATAACAGGCAGAGAGAGAGAGAGAGAGATGGAAAAGAGAAGTATTTTAGTAGATGGTAAGGGAAGGTCTCTCTGAAGTGTTGATATGTGAGCTAAGACCTGCCATGCCAAGATCTGGGAAAGGCCAGGCCAAGGATAACGGCACCAAGGAAGTGCTGGATGGGGCTGGAGTTTAACTGCCTTAACCATCCCAAATAAGTAGAGCAATGTGTTCACTATGCACTCAACTTTTAAGGTAAGTCCACCACCTAGTTTCCTCTTCCAAGCAGATCTATCTTCCGAAATCCCTCCTAATAGAGATTGTGGAGTGCCACTGGGGAAAAATGAGTACAAAGTTTCTGAAGATTGGTATGTTTGAAGAACAGAAAAAAGAGCAGTGGAGATGAGGGCTAATAGCTTGTTATAATAATGGCACCCAGAGAATCATGCTTCCCTATGTCCATGCCCCTGTACAATTGATGTTCTGCTCTTTCTGTCAAGAGACATTATCTGTTTTTCCACCCCCTTAAATCTGGGATGGCCTTGTGACTTGCTTGTTCAATAGAAAATAGCGGCAGTGGTGGTGTCCAATTCCAGGGCCTAGACTTTAAGTGGCCTTGGGGCTTTGCTATCATCACCCTCTTCAAACTCCACCATGCTATGAAGAAGCTCTGTCTAGCTTACTGGAGGACAGGTGGACACAAAGAGGATAACTGAGGAGCACAGCCAACAGCCAACACCAACTGCTTCACATACACTTGAGGCTATTTAGACCTTCCAGCCATAGTTGCACCATCAAGATAGCTGTAGCTGTGTGAGTGCTTTTAGGTGAGGCCAGCAGAAAAACCTACAGAATCACAGGAAATAATAAAGCATTGCTGTTTTAAATCACTATGTTTTTGGGGAGGTTTGTTATGCAGCAATAGATAACTGTTACATGAAATGGGGAGGTTTGAGGGACCAGATTATGTAAAGCTTTATTAGCCATGGTAAGGAACTTGGATTTTATTCTAAGTACTCTGAGGAATCATGGGGTTTTAAGGAGAGTAACATGCTTTAAAAGATCATTCTGGGCTGGGCATGGTGGCTCATGCCTGTTATCCCAGCACTTTGGAAGGCTAAGGAGGGCTCATCACTTGAGGTCAGGAGTTCGAGACCAACCTGACCAACGTGGCAAAACTCTGTCTCTACTAAAAATACAAAAAATTAGCCTGGCATGGTCATGTGTGCCTGTAGTCGCAGCTGCCTGGGATGCTGAGGCAGGAGAATTGCTTGAACCTGGGAGGTGGAGGTTGCAGTAAGCTGAGATTGTGCTACTGCGCTGCAGCCTGGGTGACAGAGCAAGACTCCATCACAAAAAAAAAAAAAAAAAAAAGGAGCCGGGCATGGTGGCTCACGCCTGTAATCCCAGCACTTTGGGAGACCAAGGCAGGTGGATCACCTGAGGTCAGGAGTTCGAGACCAGCCTGGCCAACATGGTGAAACTCTGTCTCTACTAAAAATACAAAAATTAGTCGGGCATGGTGGCACGTGCCTGTAGTCCCAGCTACTTGGGAGCCTGAGGCAGGAGAATTGCTTGAACTTAGGAGGTGGAGGCTGTAGTGAGCCGAGATTACACCACTGCACTCTAGCCTGGGTGACAAAGCGAGATTTTGTCTCAAAAAAAAAAAAAAAACAAAAAACCAAAACAAACAAAAATATAAAAAATAAAAGATTATTCTGAGGGCTGTGTGGAGAAAGGATTGTAGTTGAGCAAGAATAGAAGCAGGGAAACAAGTCAGAAGGCTTTTTCAGGCATCCAGACAAGAGATGATGGCAGTGGAGATGGAGAACAGTGGACAGATTTGGGTCCTGCTAATGGATTGGCTTAGAAAAGAAATAGTGAATAATGATCTTCTTTGAAATTCAGGGCTATATAAATAAATGCACTTTGGACTGGGCGTGGTGGCTCATGCCTGTAATACCAACACTTTGGGAGGCCTAAGGTGAGAATATCACCTGACCCCAGGAGTTTGAGACCAGCCTGGCCAACATAGTGAGACCCTGTCTCCATAAAAAGTAAAAAAAAAAAAAATTTGTCAGATGTGGTGGAGTGTGCCTGTAGTCTCAGCTACTCCTCAAGAGGCTGAGGCAAGAGGATCACTTCAGCATGGGAGGTCGAGGCTGTAGTGTGCTGTGATTGTACTACTGCACTCCCGCCTGGGTGACAGAGCAAGACCCTGTCTCAAATAAATAAATAAAACATGTACTTTGCATTGTCTTTTCTTCCTTTGGTGGACAGGGCAGTGCTTGACAAGTGACAGTAAACAGACAGAAACTTGGAAGCCTGAAGAGCACTGAAGTTATGTTTTGAGATGCAGTCAACATTAACAAAAACTTTTTTTTTTTTTGAGACAGAGTCTCACTCTGTCACCCAAGCTGCAGTGCAGTGGTGTGATCTCGGCTCACTGCAACCTCCGCCTCCTAGGTTCAAGCAATTCCCCTGCCTCAGCCTCCCGAGTAGCTGGGATTACAGGCATGTGCCACCACTCCTGGCTAATTTTTGTATTTTTGATAGAGATGAGGGTTCACCATGTTGGCCAGCCTGGTCTCAAACTCCTGACCTCAAGTGATCCACTTGCATCGGCCTAACAAAGTGCTGGGACTACAGGTGTGAGTCACTGCTCCTGGCCAACAAAACGTTAAAAATAAATTAAGTTAAAAAGAAATTGTCTTGTAAATGCTTTGCTCTGAAGGATCTGACAGGCAAAAGACACCAATGGGCTCACAGACAGGACCACTGCCCCAGTAGATTGGGAAACAAGAGCCTTAGGAAGTGAAAGGCATGAAAGTATGGGGGAGGGACCACAGAGGAAGGAGATGAAGAGGAGAGAGATAAGAGGGAGAAGGTGAAACTGGAAACCCATCCAGAAGTGGGCAGAAACACAATGGGAAAAGTGAGAAAACCACTCTGTGTTTGTGGGAGTGTCATGTGGCTGCTTTCTTTCTGACGATGGACAGCCCTGCACTCAGGCAGGCATAATTGGGGGCTTACTCAGGCATCCCTGAGTATAGAGGGCTAAATAAGATGCAGTCCTAGATGAGCACGGTGGCTCATGCCTGTAATCCCACCTGGGAGGCCGAGGTGGGAGGATCACTCGAGCCCAGGAGTTTGAGACCAGCGTGGGACAACATAGTGAGACCTCGTCTCTACAAAAACAAAAGACAAAAATAAATAGCCAGGCATGATGACACATGCCTGTAGTCCTAGCTACACAGGAGGCTAAGGTGGGAGGATTGCTTGAGCCTGGGCAGTCAAGGGTGCAGTGAGCTGAGATCACACCACTGCACTCCAGCCTGGGCAACACAGCAAAACTGTCTCAAAAAAAAAAAAAAACAACAAAAAAAAAACAAAAAGAAAAAAGATACTTCTCATTACTTCTCATGCTAAGAATCTTGAAGTTTAGTCGAGGGCACATGACCAAACATGGTATAATAGGAACTTAAATGTAAATAATGGTCCACATTTTAAAAGTGCTAAAGTGCCAGGCCGGGTACAGTGGCTCACGCCTGTAATCCCGGCACTTTGGGACGCCGAGGCGGGCGGATCACGAGGTCAGGAGATTGAGACCATCCTGGCTAACATGGTGAAACCCTGTCTCTACTAAAAATACAAAAAAATTAGCCGGGCGTGGTTGTGGGCGCCTGTAGTCCCAGCTACTCGGGAGGCTGAGGCAGGAGAATGGCGTGAACCCAGGAGGCAGAGCTTGCAATGAGCCGAGACAGCGCCACTGCACTCCAGCCTGGGCGACAGAGCGGGACTCTGTCTCAAAAAAAAAAAAAAAAAAAAAAAAAAAAAAAAGTGCTAAAGCGCCAAAGGCTCTCCAAAAAGGGGAGGAGGTAATGTTTGAGAAGGAGTTGTGGAGGTGATGGGGAGCAGGGAAAAGGGTGTGTGCAAAGACACATGGGGTGCTGGAGAAACTGGTTGAAAATCAGAACTATTGAAGCTGAGTGCAGGAAGCACGGTGGGGCCCAAGAATTTGGGTCTTTTTCCCTGGGAATAGAAACTTGTTTTTAATCTATGAAGCTAGTAACCTGTGACAAGAAAGGGGATGGACTGGAGTCAGGGAGAATGGTTAGAAGGCCGTTTCTAAGTAGACCAGCAGCCTCAGATGAGGCTCATGATTGCTACTATTTGTAGAGCTATGGAGTAAGGCCGTACCACCCTGCACCTAAAGGGCAGGTCCAAAAGACCTGTGCCCTCACTCTACGTCTTTATGTGATACTGGCAAGGAATAAAATAGTGACACTTGTAGTAGAGTAAGAAGATAAACCATGGACAATTGTAAAGCATCTTTAAAAACTGAAGACACAAGTGGGTGGGTGATGAGAAATTGCTTAGTGGGTACAATGTATGTTATTCGGGTGACAGATACACTGAAAGCTCAGACTTCATCACTACACAATATATCCATCTAACAAAATTTCACTTGCACGCCTTAAATTTATACAAATTTTTAAAAATCAGAAAACAATCCTGAGGACATAAACACACACATGGAAGTATGTTCAATATATGCACTAGCATGTTCATTGCAACATTATTCACAATGGCAACGAAATGGAATCAACCCAGGTGCCCATCAGTGGTGGGCTGGATAAAGACAGTGTGGTACATATACACCATGGAATGTTACACAGCCATAAAAAGGAATAAAATCTTGTCCTTTGCAGCAACACGCATGCAGCTGGAGGCCATTATCCTAAGCGAATTAAAGCAGAAATAGAAAACCAAATACCGCACATTCTCATTTATGAGTGGGAGCTAAACATTGGGTACACATGGACATAAAGATGGGATCAATAGAGGATGGGGATTATAAATACTGAGGAGGAAGGGAGGGGGGCAAGGGTTGAAAAACTATCTACTGGGTACTATGCTTACTGGGTGACAGGTTCAATCGTACCTCAAACCTCAGCATCACACAATATACCCTTGTAACAAACCTGCATGTGTATGGCCTGAATACAAAATAAAAGTTGAAATTTTTAAGAAAGCATGTTCAATATTACTAATTTTCAGGGAAATGCAAATCAAAACCACAATGAGAAAGCACTTCTCACCCACTAGTTCAGCCATTATTAAAAAAATTAAAAAGCATCTTCGGTATCACTAATCATTAAGGAAATGCACATCAAAAACCACAGGGAGAAAACACTTCTCACCCAATTGGTTAGCTATAATGTAAATAAGCAAACAAAAAAGATAGCAAAAGAAAGTAACAAGTATTAGTAAGGATGTGGAGAAACTGGAACCCTTGTACATTCCTGGTGGGAACATAAGAGTGCAGCCACTGTGGGAAATGGCATGATGGTTCCTCCAAAAAAAAAAAAATTAAATATAAAATTACTATATGACTCTGCAATTTCACTTCTGGGTATATCCCCAAAACAATTGAACACAGGAACTTGAACAGATATTTGTACACCCATGTTCATAAGAGCATTATTCCCAATATGCAAAAGTTGGAAAAAAACCAAATGTTCATCAATGGATGAATGGATAAACAAATATGGTATATATATACAATGGAATATTATTCTTTTTTAAAAAGGAAAGAAATTCTGACACATGTTATGACAGTGCTGAACTTTAAAAACACTATGCTCAGTGAAATAAGCCAGACACAAAAGGACAAAACATTATATGAGTTCACTTATATGAGGTCCTAGAGTAATGAAATTCATAGAGACAGAAAGTAGAAGAGTGGTTGCCAGGGGTGGGGGGCAGGAGGATGACGAGTTTTCATTTCAGGGATATGGAGTTTCAGTTTGGGAAGATAAAAAAGTTCTGGATGGGTGGTGGTGATTGCACTACAATATGAATGCACTTGATGCTGTGGAAGCATACACTTAAAAATTGTTAAAATGGTAAAATTTATTTATATATTTTAACATACACATTCGAACCCCCTTCCACACACACACACAAACTGAGGACTATCCCCTGCCTCCCCACCCTCAAGAGCCAAACTTAACAATCCAATACATTTGACCCCCTTATATGTGATCTGGTCACTCATTGCTCCTCAATACACATGTTTTGTTTTACAGCCAGTAAGTAGAACGAATACAATCAGATTTAAGGGCCTAACAGTGGAAAAAGGGAAGGCCTCATGCTTAAGAAAACAGAACTCTTTAATATCTAATTTTAATTCAAGATTAACATTTATTAGGTGTTGAACTATATAACAGAGTGGCTCTCCAAAAGAAAATGTTATCAATTTGGGAATAGAACACTGCAGTGGGAATACGTACAAATGCCATAGTTAACTATGTGTGTGTTCAGGGAGGTAAAGGAAGACAAAGGTTTTTTAAAAGAAGAAAATGAGAAAGATTACACAGTTGTTTCAAAAAAATTATCTTTGGCTACAAAGATCAGTAACAAGGATAATGCCATAACGCCAGTCCAGGGTTGGGCAGGCAGTTGCTGGGCAGCTGTCCCCGCAGAACTATTTTTTGTTTAACGTTGCGATAGCATTTGTGTAAGGTTGTGGTTTTTCCAGAGTCTCTTTTGCTACCAGGTATACAAGTGTGAGAACCCTCTTTTTAAGGTCTCCCCGGTCTCTCTTTGCTAAGGTTTTTTTGTTTTTTGTTTTTAAGTAGTAGCGACTCCGTTTTGATTGTGACAGCATTCACATAGGTTATCAAGAGTATCAAGATTAACAGGTTTCTAGTATGTGCCCTTAATATGATATATTGAAAATTACACCTTATCTGTTTGTCCTCCCAAAAATTTGGCCCCAGTAATCATATGGAAACAGTAGCCAAATCCCAGCTGAGGCATGCTGTACAAAATACCTGACCAGTATTCCTAAAAACTATCCATGTCAGCAAAAATAAGGAAAGTCTGAGAAACTTCCCACTGCAAGAAGAGAAAAAAGATGTCAGAAAAAACAACAACAAAAACACCTTAAGGAATGAAGTATGCACTTTAGTTAATAATTATGTAAAAAAGGGGGAGGTCGGGCTGGGCGCGGTGGCTCACGTCTGTAATCCCAGCACTTTGGGAGGCTGAGGTGGGCTGATCACTTGAGGTCACGAGTTCAAGAACAACCTGACCAACAGGTGAAACCCCGTCTGTACAAAAAAAAAAAAAAAAAAAAAAAAAATTAGCTGGGTGTGATGGTGGGCGCCTGTAATCCCAGCTACTCAGGAGACTCGCTTGAACCCAGGAAGTGAAGGCTGCACTGAGCTGAGATGGCGCCACTACACTCCAGCCTGGGCAACAGAGCCAGACTTCCATCAACAAAAAAGGGGCGGGGGAGCTCTTTTCTCTTAGAGATGTATACTGAAATATTTAAGCATAAAATAATGTCTGAGATTTATTTCAGATTAATCAAGTGGGGTGAGAGAACATGGATAGAGTTATAGACCTGAAGTTGGGAACTGCTGAGACTGGGTAATGGGTACATGGGGTTCACTACACTCTTATTTTTATTTTTGCACATCTTTTAAAACTGTCCATGATAAAAAGGCATAAACTTAAAAAAATCTAGTATGCTAATTTATATAAATCTGAGTGCTGGATGTGGCTATTTCCTGCCATTAAATAGGGAGGCAGAAAAAAATTAAAAACAGTTTTGGGAGAAGAGAATAAACAAGAATGAAGCAAAGATAGAAGGGGAGAAGCGGAGAGAGATGAGGTTCAAGCTGTAAAATGTTACTGTGTCTGCTTCCCACCCACTCCCTGAGAACCTGCTCTTGGATTTTGTGAGCAAAAAAAAGTACTGGATACTTATATCAGCCCCCACCCTGATCCCCTAATCCCCTCCAAATAACTCCAACGGTATGTTTTTGTGAAGGTACAAGTTCAAACAAATACTGAAAAATATAAGGCTTGCTTTGGCACGTCACCCCTGGTCTAGAACTCATTCTTCTTTTTTTTAAGCTAAAGAGTAAAGGGTTTCCCACACGGGGGCACTTAGCCTAGCTTAGGGAAAGTACAATCTGCAGTAGAGGTGGAGGACTTGGGTCCTGGTTTCGGTTCTGCTGTGCCGCCATGTGACTTTGGACAAGATACATCAGGACTCTGTGCTTGCTCAGTTGGTCTTCTGTGTTGCTGTAACTGAGATAGGAAAAGCACTGGGGCAAAGCCAAGAAAAAAAAGAGTTGCAAAACTTCAAAGTACTGAATTCCTATTTTTAGTAGGACTCCTCAAAATTGCAAATCATCAGAATTTGTTCAGATTTTTGCCTCAGTGAGCACTTATTAAACCTGAACTTTGGAGCTAGCTGCTCAAGAGAAAATCATGTGAAGGAAAATTCTTTTCTTCCTTGCCCACCCCTCTCCTCTTTTCCTTTCCATTTAAGGTAGAGTGACATGCATTTTTGCACTGGATTAAAAACAAAAATAACAACAAGGACAGTATGTTGTAATAAAAAGCCCTCCAGGTGCCTACGTCCATCCATATATACATCTTAGTTGTTCGTTAGCCCAGTAATCAAGTATGGTAACCAGCCATGGGGACTGTAAAACCAGGCCAGAGAAAATCTTTGCTTAGTTATCTTAGTGACTGTTTGGGGAAGTGCTAGTGGGGCTAGCTGGTCTTCCAATATCACTGTAGTAGCTGCCACATTCAGCAAGTTACTATGAAGTAGAATGCATGATTTAAAGGACGTGGAGAGAGAAACTTGAAAGAAGCTCTTGATTTTCAAGCGTGTGCAAACATGGAAAATGTATCCCATAGCCAAGATAGTAAACACATGACTCTACTGATGGCATAATCGATCATTGTTTGTATGACCAAGGGAAGTTCCACACTGTTCTTGATCTATATACAATTGGTTCTCATTACTTATAGTAGTTGTGCTCTATAAATTGCAGCGAACACTGAATTAGCAAATCACATTACTCCTAAGGAAAATACAGGGTTAGGTTCCTGTGAGCCTCTGGTCACAACATTTCCATCAGCCGAGCAATATACAACTTTGTTTTATGTGTGTTTCTGTTTAAAGATACCTTACTAATACATATTGTTAATTCATTAACATCAAACAGCACTATAACTCATGCCTGAATAAAACTTATCATACATCTGTATTTTCTCCATAAGGCACATCACAGCCTTTTTTGTGCTTAGGAATACTGGACAGCACTTCAGCACTTTGCTTGCAGGCCATTTTAAACAGCAAAATCACCAACAGAAATGCAAAAAACATGATCAGCAAAAGGATCACACGTTTACAATATGAGAGCTGAAACAAGAAAGTGAGCATCGTCTTGTTTGACTGCAACTGGGAATGTGGGCTTCCAGTGACTCAAATCTTTTCACTGCTCTGTGCATGTCTGCAAATGACCATGAAAGTGCTGTAAGTATTGATTTTGGGGTTACAAATAAATTTTAGCTAGTAGGCAAATTCGCAGATACAGAGTCCATAAATAATGAGGATTGACTGTAAACACTACATGCCAGAGCCTGCTGTAAGTCGGCAAAATCCCATTTTTTGCCCCCATTATGTGAATTTTTAGGGATGTGAGAGATTAAGTGTGCAATGTATTCAAATATGAGTCACTCACTGTTAGATTGGGTAGATTATGTAGAAAACGGCATTGCATTTAAAATAGTCCTCAGTCAAGAGTTCGAGGCCAGCCTGGCCAACATGGCAAAACCCCGTCTGTACTAAAAAAATAAAAAATAAAAAATAAATCAAAAAAATTTGCTGGGCCTGGTGGTGTGCGCCCATAATCCCAGCCACTCCAGAGGCTGAGGCACGATAATTGCTTGAACCCAGGAAGTGAAGGCTGCAGTGAGCCGAGACTGTATCACTGCACTCCAGCCTGGGTGATGGAGTGAAACTGTGTCTAAAATAAAATAAAATAAAATAAAATAATAAAATAGTCCTCAAATCAGGAGCTATTCTTTAATCTTAAAGATTTGATACCCATCCTCCAAATCATGGGTTCCCAAGCTTCACTCAGTATCTCACTTTTCTTTTTTGTATCAGCCGTTATCTAAAATAATAAAATAGGTACGTACCCTTCCACTACTATGCAGTTTTCTGTCTACCCAACCACCTGCCACATGGCTCAAAAGTATCCAATCTTTGTGGTATGGAACATCCTCCACAGAAAAGTGAGGTAGCCTTTCAGACAGGACCCGGATGGTTCCCGTCTTAGTCCCCTTTTCTGCCCCAGGGCTCAACTTAATCTTGCACAGCCTCCTATATGAGAGCTGGCAAGCTCTATTCTCCATCACTATCCCTCCATGGTGCATAAGGAAGCCACCAAGTCCTGTTTTATGCCAGATCTATTGTTCAGGGTGATATACGAACAACACAAGCAAAACTTTATTCTTGCTCATGCTGTGTGACCACAATTGATTCATATTATGCTTAGGTATGCAGAGAAAATGGAGCCTCCCCTTTATGACAGATCTAGTCTTCCTCAAAAGTCTGTACTCCATTGGAAGGGCAACAGCTAACTCAGTTAATACTATCCTAGTCTCTTCAGTGAAAACAGTTTTCTTTTGGTTTACAACAGTTCCTTCTTTCGGAAATGCTTGTTTGTTCTGAGTTGTCTTCTCCCTCTCGCCTCCCAAGATGGCTTCTAGGTGTGTGCCTTTAAGGGAAGGGCAGGGAACCTTGATCTGCATCATGCGGGGCCTGATGCTGTCTTCTGACCCTTGCTGGCCTCTGTGGTGGTGTGTTCCTTGCTTACCCTGGTGGCATCTGCCACAGAAGTCTTCATTTGGGGAAAGAGTGATCTAGTCTCTCTTGGCTTGGTCAGGACCTAGGGGTCCTCCAGGCTGACCTGCCTGTCCTGTGTAACTAAAACCTCAAGCTAGATCTGACTGTCCCAGGGATAGGAACCTGACTGAAGCAGGGCCAATCAGAGACGCTCCCTGAATTTTTTTCAAACTGGAGCTAAGCAATCTGGTTCTTCTCTGGAGGCAAAACTGTGAGATGGAAGGCTCAGTGCAGTGGGCAACTATGCTTGCTGCCCTGTAGAAGTTGATGTAGACCTGCAAGAAGAGACAGACAATGTGAGAGCTGAAGCAGCATTCAGATTTCTGGTCTAGGTTGTGCCTGAGGTCCTGTATCTCCTAATTTCTTCCTGTTTTTCTGTGAAATAGCCACACATCCTTCCAGTAAATTCCCTGAGTCCAAGCTAATTTGAGTTCAGTTGCTGACACTTGCAACTGAAATTTTAAAAACCCAAGCAGTAGGTTTTTAAATGACTTAATGACCATTCTAACACCTGTGTATTTATAATTCCCATCAACCTTCCTTTACATCATTCCCCTAAGTATACTATGTTTATAGGTTGAAAATTATTGCTGGCAAACATGAGACAATTGAGATTTTTAAAAATTTTATTGGCCAGGCACGGTGGCTCATGCCTGTAATCCCAGCACTTTGGGAGGCCAAGGTAGGCAGATCACAAGGTCAGGAGTTCAAGACCAGCCTGGCCAATATGGTGAAACCCGTCTCTACTAAAAATACAAAAATTAGCTGGGTGTGGTGGCAGGTGCCTGTAGTCCCAGCTACTCAGGAGGCTGAGGCAAGAGAATCACTTGAACCCAGAGGTGGAGGTTGCAGTGAGCAGAGACTGCGTCACTGCACTCTAACCTGGGCGACAGAGTGAGACACTGTCTCAAAAAAAAAAAATTATTGTGAAATGTAATACCGATACAAAAAACTACACAGAACAAATATGTAACTTGCAAGGAATTATCATGAAGTTAGCACAGCTGTGTCATTATCACACAGGTAAGAAATCGAATATACCCTTAAAGCCCATCTCATTCCCCATACGAATATTTACCATTTCCTCCTCCCTAAAAGTAATCATGTTCCCGACTTTTTGGTTATCACTTCCATACTTTTCTGTTTTATCACTCAAGCGTGCATACATGAACCTTTACTTGAGTTCTACCATTCTTTGAACACTATGTAAACAAAATCATACAATGTAATTTGTTTTTAAAGATCAGACTTTTGCTGTGGATTATTTGAGACTTATCTAAAATTTACTGTAGCTGTAGGTCAGTCTTTTTTTGTTGCTGTTTAGTATTCCATAACATGAATGCTCATTTACCTATCCATTCTGTTGATAGACATTTGGAGGGTTTTTTGTGTGTTTTTGGCTATTATGGATAATGCTGCTGTGAATATTCTTGGTGAATACATGCACATTTTTACCGGCCATGTACATAAGAGTAGAATTGCCACGTCATGAGTATATATCTTTACTCTTCTTTTTTGAGATGTAGTCTCACTCTTGTTGCTGAGGCTGGAGTGCAATGGCGCCACCTCGGCTCACTGCAATCTCCGCCTTCAGAGTTCAAGCGATTCTTCTGCCTCAGGCTCCCAAGTAGCTGGGATTACAGGTGCTCGGCACCATGCCCAGCTAATTTTTTGTATTTTTAGTACAGACGGGGTTTCACAGTGTTGGCCAGGCTGGTCTCGAACTCCTGACCTCAGGTGATCCACCCGCCTTTGCCTCCCAAAGTGCCGGGATTACAGGTGTGAGCCACCACGCCCAGCCGTATCTTTTCAAATGAGTAGATAACACCGATTACTTTTTGTAATTGACTGTTCCAGTTTAGTTTCCTATCAGCATTTTATGTGAGTTTCTCGTTTCATATCCCCACTAACACTTGTCTTTTTAAATTTTAGCCATTTTTGTGTGTGTGCTGTGGTGTATCACTGTGGTTTGAATTTCACTTCCTCCTGATTATTAATGGAAGTGAACATCCTATTGCCTGTTTATTGGCCATTTGTCTACCTCCCTTTGTGAAGTGCCTGTTGAAGTCTCTTAGCCATTTTTCTATTTGGTTGCCTTTTTTCCTTATTGATTTGTAAGAGCTCTTTATATATTTGGATAAGAGACCTTTCTATGTTGGATATATATATAGAAAACATCTTTCACCCTGTGGCTTGTCTTTTCACTCGCTTAGGGGTGTCTTTTCAGTCAGAGATTCTTAATTTTAATGTATTCAGATTTATCAATTGGGAGTTTAAAACAATGCATCTGATACAGCAACTGGATTCACTAGTGCAAAATAAAATTCTAAATTCAGTAAAATGAACTTATACAGGCTCTCTGGCTAACACTGCACATTCTTTCCTCGGAATGTCATTTCTGGGATGGCAATTTTTTTTTTTTTTTGAGACAGAGTCTTGCTGTGTCATCCAGGCTGGAGTGCAGTGGCACCATCCACCTCCTGGGTTCAAGCAACCTCCACCTCCTGGGTTCAAACAATTCTCCTGCCACAGCCTCCCAAGTAGCTGGGATTACAGGCACCCGCCACCACGCCAGGCTCATTTTTTGTATTTTTAGTAGAGATGGGATTTCACCATGTTGGCCAGGCTGGTCTTTAACTCTCGACCTCAGGTGATCCGCCTGCCTCAGCCTCCCAAAGTTCTGGGATTACAGGCGTGAGCCACAGCGCCCGGCCGGCAATTTTTTAAATAATAAAAAATTCCATTATTTTACATAGCATTGAGATACACTTACAATATTTAATTCTGCCTCTCGGTGGTGCCATAGAAAACTAAGAGTAATAATTTTAAAAATTATTGTTCTGAAAGTTTGCTGGACAGTGGGATCTATGAGCAAACTGAAAACTATGAATATTCAAAAAAAGTTTGTAATTCTCTTACACACTACAGTGGCTGAAAATGCACATAGACTCAGCCCTTCACTATAAAATTCCTGGCTAATAGTCAAATAAAAATAGCACTAATACTTTTTTAATCATGGAAATTTGCAAGCATTCTAAAGTGCCAATATAACATTCCTGTACCTATTACCTAATAAATGTTAAAATCTTGTTATACTTACTGTAAAAAATTAAAGAAATAAGGAGAAAGTTTATGCCCCTTTGTCCTCTCCAGTTTCATCTCCTTTCCCTTTTTCTCACTAAAGGCAACTACTATCCAGAATTTGATGTATTCCCTTCTAGTTCTTGTTTCTGTATTTTTAGTACATGTGTCCATGAACAATAAAAATGTTACTTTATATTTTAAAAATGTATCATTTCATACTGTAGCATACTGCAATTTGCTTTTTACATTCAACATGTTTTTGCCATGTTTATATATACATATATAGATCTAGGTTATTAATTTTAACTGCCATATTGTAATTTATGGCAAACATATGCCCTGTATTTATTCATTTCTCTATTAATGAACATTTTAATGTTGCAATGCATACAATACCTAGAAGAATATCTTTAGAAAATTTAAATGAATGAGGCAGGCTTTTAATTCAAGCAGTATCCACATAAAATCTCTCAGGCAGACTATTTCTGCTTCAATTTTTTTATTTTTTATTTTTGCTGTTCATATCTACTCTGCATGCATAGAAGGAATCGATACCTGAAATTTCCTAAAGGTCTTTTACTCAGTCCCCACAAAAAAGCTCTGATGTGGTGTGTGTAAAGGGGTAGGAGTGGGAGAATGAAGTGGGTAGAGACGGACACAAAGAAATGTCAAAATACAGGACACTGAAGGTTTGGAGCCGGGGCCAGTGGCAGCAGCCAAAGTTACAAATATCGGGAAGGTCTGAGAGTTTACAGTGCAGAGCATGTCCTGTGCTATCATATGCGGATGACAAAATAGCCGAATACACAAATCTTTCCACGCTTGTGCTGAAAGATGTAACCATCAAGCGCCAGGCGGTTGCCATGGGAACCCGGGGCTGTGGGGAGTCGGCCAGAATTCTTGATGCGCTTAGAATGTTTCTTCTTCCGGCCCTCTGGTCTTCGCAATTATCGTCCCTCTCCTAGGTCCCCCGCCCATTCTATAGGCTCTCATGAGTCTCTTCCCGTCTTGATTCTCTCGCTCAGCGTTCCAGGTCGCCATCTTGGACCATGAGTCAAGATGGCGCCCCCTGGTCCCAGGGGCACAGCCCAGGCACGCTAGCGAGGCTACGCACGCACGTATTCGGGCGCGAAGGGTGGGGCACTGACGCCAGACGTCGCCCCGCCCTCTGTGGTCGCTCCGCCCCCGGCCCCACTCCACCTTCCTCCCACCCCGGGAACCCGGAAGTGGAGGAGGAGGCGCGGCGGCGGCGGCGGCGGCGGCTGCGGTGGCCAAGCAGGCAGATACTGCCTGACCCGTTCCCGGGAGCGTGTCTGGGTTTGGGGGCGGGAGACAGGCTGAGCCGCCTGGGCGGCCTGGCCTGTACGGGGCGGGGGAGGCCATGGCCTCGGCTGAGTTGCAGGGGAAGTACCAGAAGCTGGCTCAGGAGTACTCGAAGGTACCCATCGTGGTCTGGGAGTAGGGGGTCCCCCGCCCTGCGGCCTCAGGTTGCCGTGGCAGCGACTTGTCGGGACCTAGGGGTACTGCGGGAGGGGCACGCGAGCGCGCCCCACCTTTCCCCTCAGCCGTCTCCGTCCACCATTACGGTGCCTCCACCTGCAGCTCCCAGGAGATGGGGCCGGGCGGTGTCTGCGTCCGTGAGCGTTTTTGCAGGGAGAAGCTGGAGTTTGATTCTTCCTTTTCACTGAAGTAGCGGGCTTGGGACTGGGATGTCAGAAATTCTGGCTTCTTGCCTCTAATGCTGGCTGAGAAGGGAAGGGAAAGGTGTGGACCACTCCTCACCTCGCTGCTTCCTCAATTTTCTCAGCCTAGGGATGGGGAAGATCAACCCTTCTCCCCTCCCACAGGGATGATATGAGGTTAAAGAGATTTATCTTCCCCCGAATCAATTCGAGAGGGTAAATAGAGACATTCGGGTAAACTGCTTCACTAGGGATGGGTGGTTATGAATGTATTCACTGCTTTGGCAAGAGGTTGTCAGGAATGATTTTGAAAGCTTGAGTGCTACGGCTCTATCCTTTTCTTTCTCTTGTCCCTCGGTCACCTAGAATGGGGCAGACACCCAGCGGGTGCTCAATACACATTAAGCAACATGGGGACCTGCCCCTTTCTCGTGTTTATGGCATCAGTCTTTTAAATGATATAACCCTTTCCTTGGAAAAGGATGCTGCAGTTTCTGGGTAGGGTGTTTCTAGTTTAAGAATATTTTAATGAAGTTATTAAAGCAGAATTTTACATCTTTGGAAATTGATTCAACAGTCATTAAGCTTAGTTTTCAGTGACTTTGGCATTCATGGAGTCAGTGGGAAGATGGTAATTCCTTTTTGCAATTTGGAGAAACTGAGACACATTTTATTCCTTAAGATTTCATTCGACAAATAGCAAGATGAAATATTCTTTGAAAAATAAAACTTGTGCCTAAACATACACACTTAATTCTTCACCATCACATAGGAGTCTTTTGAGACACTACACTTATTTCAGTGATGCTACCATTAGCAAAACTTCGTTGCATTTCCATTTGAAATTGTCTTAAGAGCCTGTGGCACAATGTTAGTGATGGCAAGTGTTCATCTTTTGAAGGAGTGTTTCCTTGCTTGAAGGGCCAGAAGTTGTTTGGAACAAATCCATGTGATGAAGGGAGGTGGGTGGAGGTTGGCAATGCTCAAATTTGGCTCTACTATTTTTGGTTGAAAATGTTTCATGATCAACACCTGTGAAAAGAAGAAAAAAATAAGAAAATGTTTCGTGAGTATAAAGCAAGGGGACTGATTTTCTTCTCCAGAAAGCCAGCAAGCTCAGAAGGCCATTACAAATGGCAAGAGGGGAGTTCCAAAATGTTTTGAGTAGGGACTACATTGCTGAAATAACTGTATAGCCTCCCAAAGTAATAAAAACTGAAAAGTTTTTGGATATGTAAGCTTGTTTAGCAGACAATATGTGCCCCCTTTGAGCAGTCTGCCAGGGTCTGTTGAGTGAGGCAGGGTTCAGCTTAACAAGTCACCTTTAATGGAATATTCTAACGTAGTACATAGTTATGATATAGTACGACAAGTGTTAGTTCAGTGGGACTACCGAAGACATTGGATAAGCGTTGAGGTTATACTGGGGATTAGAGAAGAGGAAATGAAGGAGTAGTAGCTTTCCAGGCAAAGGGAACAGTCCATGTTTGCTGGTATGAAAGCTCATTAAGATTAATGAGCTTTCACATGGCAGAGAGTGGTGAAATGAGGTAGGAGAGATAATTTGGACCCTATTATGAAAGGTTGTGGATGTCAAGTAAGAAGAGTGAACTTTACCTTTTGAGTAATGGAGAGATGCCAAAGGTTAAGCAGGGGAGTGACATTACTTTTAGGAAGGACACTGATAACTGTGAAGGATGGATTGAAATAGGGAAAGATTGGTGGGAAAAAAGCAGGGAGTAGACTGTTGAAATAGTTTTGGGGAGAGTAATGTAGGGTTATATAAAGTTAGTGACCTCTGGGGCTATAGAGTAGGGGCTAGATTCAGGAATTATGGTTAAAAAATGCTTTTCAGCTTTCCTTTTTTTGAGTGCCTGCTGTGTGCATGGCACTAACCAAACATACAAGGCACTCATCCTTGTGTCTCATTCATTTTGGGACTTGGTGAATGTGGGAAGACTCAGAGTTGTCCCTGCAGTTCTGAGGTGAGGGAACATGACTGCCACTGACACAATGAGGGCCAGCGGGAAGAAGAGCCCGTTCAGAGTGAAGGGCTATAGGAGAGGTTAGATACAGTTGAGGAAGTTTAGGGTTGGAAGGCACACTAAATTTGTTATTCACATATTATTAGTATGAGGTAATGTTGGAAGTAATGGCTGAAACTTTCTAATGGACATGGACTGGCTAAAAGTCAGGACAAAGGCTAGCACTTTTGGAGTAAGTCCCATCACGATGCACTTTGAGAGTTAATCAGGGTAGAAATTGGGAAACACCTGTCGGGAGGATGTGCCTGGAGGAGGAAGAGATGCTAAGGAGACTGTAGGAGGCCTGCCAGACTTGGGGTCATCTCCCCTATTGGACCAGGCCATTTTTCATTCTTTTAATTGCAATGTGATGGGAATTTCAGAACACAGGAGAACAGATCCTGATCAAAAGATTTCTTGTGCTTTTTATTCCTTGTCAATTCTAGTAGCAGGCAATTTCTAGATAAGATCTATGCTCTCTCCAGTCCTATGCCTAAGAGTATTCCACCTTTTTATTACCTTCCCTGGTACAAGTTTCGTGGGCTGATACTGAAATCCAGTTGCATAATTTTTCTGCCTTATTTAGGATACAAAGGAAAAAGGTGTCCTCTTAATCTGTAGAAGGAAGCCCATCAAGAAAGCAGCAAGCATGATCCCTAAGCCAAGGACATTGGCAGAGTCTTCTCATTCTTCTTTAATGCAGATTTCAGCCTTTGTTCCAGGAAAGGTCCCATCTCATAATCTTTCCTCTTGAAAAGGAAGAAAAAAAAAACCAAACAAACAGTGGTCTGAGGAGCTCCCATTAAAGACACTGAGAGTCCAGTTAGATAAAAGATGAACTGTGGAGGTCAAAGCAGATGAGAATTGCTGAGGCAAACAGATTGCTAAAAGAAAGTGTTATGGAAAGGTTAGTAAAAATGGAGATTAAGACCCAGTGGTTTGGGCAATTAGAGGGTCATTTGAGGTTCTTAATATTTCAGGTTCAATAGAGTTTGGGGAGGGAGAATGAATGTGTGTAGAGGCTGGTTTTCAGAGGTTTGTGAAGTTAATAACAGATGCAAGCTACCTCCTTGAGATGTGAGGGAAAGTTAATCAAGACCTCAGTTGCTACATTATAGATTAAGGATGAAAGACCATTTCTGACTTGCTGTTTCTTCCATGACCTGCTCTGCTTCTGATGCTCTGTTGTATCTCATTATGGAGAAGAGAGGCAAAAAGTGCTGAGTTCTGGCTCATTTGATTTTAGCCTGCTTTCTTTGCGGGAGCACTCTTGCCTGGCACCGTGGTGTTTGTGTAAGCAAGTTTCAAGTTCTAATTGTCTTTTCAATGTTTGTGTTACCCTGGGTCAATGATTCTCAAAGTGTGGAACCTGAAACAACATCATCTGGGAATGGGTTAGAAATGTAAATTCTTGGGTCCACCCTGCACCTATTGAATCTGAAACTAGCAGTGAGACCCAGCAATCTGTGTTGTAACAAAACTTTCCAGTGATTGGATTCATGCTAACATTTGAAAATCATTGATCAAGGAATGGTATTGGGATAGTAGCCTTGGCAGAAATAAAGATAATCTTTTTAAAGTTCTTTTTTTTTTTTTTTGGGACAGTGGATGCCAGCAGGAAAGCCAAACATCCATTATTTCTCTACAGTTTACTTTGCAATTGATGCTTCCTTTGCATATAAAGGGAGCTTTTTAGACTTATACTCTTAGTACACAGCTACTTGTATGGAGAAAGGGTCAGTTTTGATCCAGCATGTTTGCTCTCCAGATAACAGGACTTGGCAGTACCTGATTTATCACCTACTTTTATAGAGAAATAGACTCAGGAGCTGGATAGGATTAAAATTGAATATGAGCTTTTTTTTTTTTTTTTTTTTTGACCCTGATGTGTAGGTAGGATTCACTAGTAAAGTTGGGTTGGAAAACAGGTTTGTGTTCAGTGCTATCCAATGGAAGTTTCCATGAGAATGAAAATGTTCTGTATCTGTGCTGTCCAGCAGGGTAACCGCTAGCCATGCATGGCTGTTGAGTGCTTGAAACGTAGCTAGTGTGTGACTGAGGAACTGAATTTTAGGTTTTATTTAATTTAAATAATTTAATTAAAATAGCCACTTGTAGCTATTGAGTACTCTGTTGGACAGTGCTAGCTTAGACCCTGGGTCTTTGCATCACAGATGTAAATGTCTAAATGACTCACTTGAAGACCTTGTTAAACTGCTGATTCTGGTTTAGTAGGTCTGGGGTGGGGCCTGAGATTCTGCCTCCAGGTAAAACTATTGCAGCTGTCCAAAGACCACACTTGGGACAAGGCCCTAGAAAGACAAGGGGCAGCCTCCTCTTCCTGTTTAGTTTAACTGATTTACTCACCCATTCACCTAGGGGCAGCTAAACTGCAAGGGTTGGGGTTTTGTCGTAGTGAGTTTCCCTGCATGGGAGCAGGAGCAGGAGAAAGGATGCCATTTGAGGCAGATGTGAGTTTTTTCCTGCCTCAGTGACAAAGTAACCCTAGCTACTGCTGCATAATATGTAGCCTGCACATACTTTATCCCTGTCCTGGGATAGCAACAAGTAAGTAGGCAGAAAGAAAGACTAAGTAGGATTCCCAGTAATTTGGAATACTTAAAATGTTAGAACTGGAAGGAGTTTTAGGGGTCATCCAGGCCAGATACTGCAGCTGGGGTCTGCACATGACTTCAGTATTCTGAAGCTTTGAATCAGGGTTTTGGTGTGGCATAGGGTTGTCTTGCACACGTCACTTTGTATTGAAGAAAAGACTGTATGTTTAAAAGTTTATTTTATAGGGTTGTAAAATATGTATAAATGTCAAAAAAAGTCCACTGCATGAAGACAGCCATGTAAAAGTGGTTCTAACACAAGATTGTTGAGGATTAGCTGAGAAAATGCATATGAATGATTCATCTCACTTTCCCCAAAAACTCTTCCAACAGTTTGTGATTGAAGGTAATAAATCCCCAATCTTGGGCCATTTAGCCTATCACATATTGTCAGAGTGGCATGAGAGAAGTCATAGTGAGCTTACCAGCACTCTGTGTCCTAGAAGAAACAGCTGTGTGATAGGCCTCACTGAAGTTGGGCTATTCCAGAACCAGAGTTGTAGAGAGCAGGTCTGGGCACTGGTCATTAGAGAGTTAGGCTCAAGGCTTTTGAGGATTCTTGGTGTCCAATAGGATCATGAGGTTCAAATTATTTGGAGAGTCTTAAAAGAGAACTGTTAAAGTAATGGCAATCTCTTATATAATGTATTACATTTAAACACCTTTATATGTATAATTTATTAATTTGATTTGATTAATTTGATTAATCAAATTAACTGATTAAATAACTAAAAATTTATTGAGTTCCTTCTCTATCCATAGCATTGATCTTTCATTGCAGGCAGGAAATACAAGGAAGTATACTGTAGTCTTTACCATGGAGAACAGTTTAAGGTGGCAGGTGGGAAATGAATACAGAAATTTATTTATTAATTGATTGATTTGCTCTGTCTCCTAGGCTGGAGTGCAGTGGTGTGATCTTGGCTCACTGCAACCTCCGTCCGTCTCCTGGGTTCAAGCAATTCTCCTGCCTCAGCCTCCTGAGTAGCTGGGATTACATGCGCCTGCCACCATGCCCGGCTAATTTTTGTATTTTCAGTAGAGATGGGGTTTTGCCATGTTGGCTAGGCTGGTTTTGAACTCCTGACCTCAGGTGATCTGCCCGCCTCAGCCTCCTAAAGTGCTGTGATTACAGGCATGAGCCACTGCTCCCAGCCTATACAGAAATACATATATTAGTAAAATGTAAAATTTACTGTTTTTAGAAGCAAAATTAAAACTGAATAGTTTAATTTTAAAGAGATGTTTTGTTGTTAGTAAGTGCCAAAGGAACTGAGGCACAGGCTCTCTATGGGCCGTAGGGAGTCAGGGAGTGATTAGGAAAAATTATGGAGGAAGTAGGGCCAGTAGGTAAAAAGTAGGATCCTAGAGAACAGGTGGGATTTGGTTGGCCAAAGTGAAGAAGGGCTGTGCTCTCAAAGTAAGGGTAAAATGAATCAGAAAATTACAAAACAAGGATAAATGAGATTTAAAAGGATTAAGAGGGATTCAGAGGTACTCTTCCCCCACTGAATGGAACAGAAGAGCTTGGTGCACAGCTGTTGAAAATAAGCTCTATCATCTGCAGGAGAGTTTTTCTGTACTAATAGAGACTTCAGGGCAGTTGTTTCTCAGTTATGTCATATGCATTGGTGTCTCCATTCTGGACTCCTAGAGGCAGTAGTGACCATCCGGTAATCTTATACCTACATCTAAAACAAAAACAGTGTTCATTTGCCTCCCCTCTGTGGTGAATACTGGTGCAGAGAAAGATAGATTCTAAAAGACCAGGCTGGCTGGATGTGGTGACTCATGACTGTAATCCCAGCACTTTGGGAGGCTGAGGTGGGCAGATCACTTGAGGTCAGGAGTTCAAGACCAGCCTGGTCAACATGGTGAAGCCCTGTCTCTACTAAAAATACAAAAAATTAGCCGGGCGTGGTGGCACGTGCCTATAATCCCAGCTTCTTGGGAGGCTGAGGCAGGAGAATCGCTTGAACCCGAGAGGTGGAGGCTGCAGTGAGCTGAGATTGCACCACTGCACTTCAGCCTGGGCAACAGAGCGAGACTCAGTCTCAAAATAAATAAATAAATAAATAATAAAATAAAAAAAAAAGATCAGGCTAATAAGAGCAGCTCAGGATTTTATAAGCTTCTCATTCAGTAATGCAGTAAGAGTGGCAGAAGTGATGCTGAAATGCAGAAAAACATCAAATGTTGCAAAGAGTAGTTAAAATGGCAATAGAGTATGCAAGCTTATCATCTTCCTCCATTTCTACCTACTAAGTAATAGAAAGGTCTTTCAGATAACAGTTTCTTAAAAAGCTGCATTGTCTGTTAAATGGTTTCATTGAAACCATGTTTGAGTTACCAGTTTAGTAAAAAATATTTTGCAAAGGAAAATCCTAATTTTTTTTGTTATAATCAGTTATATTAAATTCCTAACAGCAATAGCTTGAAAGTTTCATTTTGCTTTTTAACAAAGCAGTCTGTTCAGTTTGCTTTAAATAGTCTGCAGTGTGCCTTAGAAATGAAAGATGAGGTTTTTTTTCTTAAAATTAATTGCTGTGGTTCTGGTTTTACAGGAAATTATCAGTTCAGTGAACTTCAAGCTTCATTCTTAGTCCTTGAAGTAGTCGTTAGGAGCTTCTAAATACCACACAAAGAAGACATGTAAGAGATTACAGATCACAGCTAAGGCAGGGGTATGAAATAAAATCTAACGTCTTTAGATTTATAAAATAAAATCTAAAGACTGAAGCAGTATTGCTATTTTTTTGGCTATATGGATTTGAAAGTATTTATTGAATTCTGTGAAGTAGCACATTATTCAAGACTATGTTGATATTTGCTTAAAAAGTAGAACACTACATCATGGAAGTCAACATTAAAGTGGTATTTCTCTCTTTTGAACTTCTAGAGCAGAGTTTACCAAGCTCTGTAAGAGGCCACACAGTAAATATTTTAGGCTTGAGGCTATGTGGTTTCTGTTGCAACTGCTCGTCTCTTCCATTGTACCTCAAAAGCAACCATAGACAGTACGTAAATGAATGAGTATGGCTATGTTCCAATAAAACTTTAAAAATAGCCTGCCAATTTGGCCCTCAGACCTTAGTTGGCCAACCCGTGTTCTAGAGAATTTAATCTCTTCTACTTTTTTTTTCAAGCAGGAAATACTAGTATTGCTAGTTATCTTTTAATATTTTATCTTCCCTTTTAAAGTGTAAGTTCTTTGAAAATAGAGAACATATCTTTTACATCTCTCACCCATATCAATCAAGGTGTACAATGCCTTACACCATGCAAACTATAATAAACATATCTGTTGTCATTTTGAATCTGTTCTAATAATAAGAGCTCTGTTTCCATTTGTGGAGCATTTTATAGTTTAGAAAGTGCTTTGACATAGGTTTCTTATCTGGTTCTCACAGTAGCCTCAGAAGAAGGAAGGTAGGGTAAATGAATTTACCCATTCTATAGACCATATAGCTGGTTATAGTGAATTTCCCATTCTATAGACCATATAGCTGGTTAAGTGAATTTCCCAAGTTTATATTGTCTAATAAATGGCAGAGCAAATATTTGGGTCTGCTTTCTCTTGTGGTAATGAACTGTCATCTCTAACTTTCTAAAAATAGAAGAATCTCATCTTTTTAGTCTGTCTTTTGCTCAAACTGTTGAATATCCTGCAGTATTCCTGCATTTTATCTCAGAATCTTAGCTAAATTTTCCATTGAGTTTTAAATAGTTTAAGATTTAGCATTCAAATATGCTTGTTCTTTTGGCACAGAAAAGGGTCATTTCTGTTCTGTGTTCTCAGGAGACAGATCTGAGCTATGCAGAATTAGAAAGATTTTTAAAAATTTTTTATTTTTAATTTTAGAAATAGATTTTTTTTTTTTTTAAAGCTCACATACAAAGATGTCTCATTCTTTCAGTTTCTCAGAGAAGAACCTGGTCTTTCATGATATCTGCACTGAGCCCTGGGAATATTAGTCTGTAAACCTTTTGCTTCAGCTACAATGAGCTTGTATATTTATGCTTAAGTGCTCTGTGTTCTCTTCACTGAGAATACTTTCCTCTTATTACAGAAGTAAATTTTATCTTTTAAAACCCTGCCAGTGGTGGTTATATAGATGTATACATAAGTAAAAATGCATTTAGCTGCATAATTTCTGATTTGTATACTTTATTTAAAATAGCGTTATTTCTCAGTATTTAATAATTATCTGTGAAAAAAAGCCCAAGTTTTACCTCTTTCTCCAAAGGCATCTCTCACCTCTCCAGCTCACTGCTTTTTTCACTTAAATGTAGCTTTGTGAAATAGCAGCCAGTATTGTCTAATTGGCATTATGACTTTGGAGTCCAAACTGGTAGAGTCTGAATCTCAGCATTGCTACTTAACTTCTCTGTGCCTCAGTTTCCTCATCTGTAAAATGGAGGTAATTAGAGTACCCACTTCACAGGATTGTGAGGATTAGATGAAGTAATACATAAAAGTACTTAGGACGGTGCCTAGTTTGTAGTGAGCATTCATATGTAAGTGGGTACTATTATTAACTTTTAAATGGAGCCTGCTTCTTAGTTGCTTTTGTACACTGCCCCAGCTGATGCCCGAGGCCATTGTTGATGATGACATTTGCATGTCTAATATTAGGCACAGTGTCCTACTGGGATGTTGATGCCCCACATTTTTATTTTCTGTGGAATTCTTACTTTATAATTAGTCCAGTTGTATGTATTTTACAAATGAATGGTGTGTCAGAATTTCAAGGAACATGGCATATTCAGTACCATATTATTTATTGTATTAGTTTTTATTTAGGGATGGGACTTGGTTTTATAGAAAGAGTGACACACTAGAAATCAGGAGACTGGATTTTAGTCCCATTTTTGCCATTGATTTTTTTTTTTTATTTCATTGGGCAACTCAGCCTGTGTGTCCTCCTTATCTGTAAAATGGTGAATTATTGTTATCTACTACCCTCTTTGGGTCTAATACTTTTTTGTTCTCATATATATGTGAGAAGCTACTTAGTTACTCAGTGTAATGATGCCTGTAAAATTGATGTGATTTCCTTGATATAACCAATTGCTTTATATTAGAAATTGATTATTGCTTTCTCTGTTTTCAGCTTCGGGCTCAGAATCAGGTTCTGAAAAAAGGTGTTGTGGATGAACAAGCAAATTCTGCAGCTTTAAAGGTGGGCAACAGGATATTTGTGTTGTGAGGGTTAAGTTAGCATTTGGTGTTGCTCAAAGCAGGTTCATTGGGTTTTCTGGGTTAAAGTTCCAACTCTGACACTGATTCACTAGGGATAGGGGACAGTAATACAGTCTTTTGTGGTTAATTTTCCTACTTGCTTAGGTAAGAACATGAGGTACTTTGATTTCCTTAGCTAAAAATTATAAAAAAAGGTATTATGTGACTTTGTCTAATGCATTACTCCTGTGCCTCAAGGCCTTTACTTAGCTCGGTTTATCTGGATTATTAAGGCTTCTTATCAGTTGTCATCACAGACAGCTTTCTGAGGGAGGCTATGTCATATTCCTATTTGAATCCCTCTCACTCAGCAGATGGCAGGTCTCTAATAAGTGGATTCCATTGTGTGAATCATTTAGTCCCTAAATCTTGCCTTTAGTTGAGTTATTTAATAGTAATAACCTGTGTTAATCAGGACACTCTTTGAGTGATACATTTTACCATCAGCATTTTTGTTAACTGAGGGGAGAAATATGATAGATGAAGGAATTTGTTTCTGCCTCATTTCTAGTAGGCATGTAGTAAATATTGCTTAGTGATATTTTTAAATGGATAAATTAAGTCTAGGATTTGGATTTCTTCTTGGCCAAGTTTCAGTTAAATATACTGTCTAGCTCACTCTTTTGCTCTTTCCCTTTCTTGCTCCCTCTGCTCTCTTTAGACAGATGGGATTAGGATTCCTCTTACTTCTGTCTCTTTTTGGATAAGCCCCTGATCAGTAATATGTCTGAGGTGGCTCCACTTAGGCAACTAAGCCCCAGAAATTGTCCTTTTACGTAGTCAGTTGTTGGATCCTACAGGAGAGAAATCTGTCTCTGAGTGTCTCCTCCTCAGGTGCTGTTAGCACACTCTCAGGGTTGAGATGGTTCTGAACACCCCACCCATACTTCCAGGCTCTCTGCACCCAAGCCAAGATGATTAAAAAAGAAGCTTTATAGTCAGGATTTATTAGTCAAGTTATTGTTTCACCAAAATTGTTGAAAAAATGATCATTATATCTCCAAATGATATTTAAACTTATTGCTGGGGAAAGTCTTTCCTTGTTTGTCCTAGTAGCCTGCGCTGGTGTTTCATACCCTCCTGTTGCTGGTTGTGTTTGATTAACTCTGTGATGGCAGTAATGGTAGGAACAGTGGTAGGCGTGGTGACAGCTGGTTCTATTGATTGAGCACTCACTGCATACCAGGCATTGTGCTAAGTCCATTATGTCCATTATCTTATTTAGTGTTCACAACAACCCGATGAGGTCAGATAACATTATCATCCCCATTACAGAAACTGGAGTTTAGCGAAAGGCTGGGATAGATGTTTTCTGAAATTAATGATTGGTTAATGGAGTTGGAGCATTAGTTTATTTTAAGAATTATAAGCATAATTATATATTATAATTATATAATATAAATTATGAGAAAAATAAATTATTTTTTTTTTTACTGTTTATTACAGTAGTCATTGTAATTATAGTACAACAAGTGACAATTTGCCAGTTTGCTAGACAGGAATATTTGGATTTCCTGTGTTACAGGAGGCTTTTAGTTTTATTACTGGGTTTACCCTTTCAGTGCGCTGTTAGGTGTAATCAATGCTCATTGATTTGAATTTTTAAAATTTGAAAGACATGATAGTTTGGACATGGGCTAGGCCTAAATTTGCCTTTGAACTACAAGTAAAAATTAAGGTTTTACTAAACAAATGTAGGAAAAAAATTATTTTCTCCTTAATGGGAGCATATTGTTCTATCCCTCTAGCACTTTTCTCAACATGCAGGTAATGTCAGTAGAGTGTAGACACTAGCCTATGGCTTTTAAGTTGCTGTTCCTTTTTTTTTTTTTTTTTGAGACAGAGTCTTACTCTGTCACCCAGGCTGGAGTGCAGTGGCACAATCTCGGCTTACTGCAACCTCTGCCTCCCTGGTTTGAGTGATTCTTGTGCTTCAGCCTCCTGAGTCACTGGGATCACAGGCGTGCACCACCCTGCCTGGCTAATTTTTGTATTTTTAGTAGAGTCGGAGTTTTGTCATGTTGGCCAGGCCAGTTTCAAACTCCTGACCTCGAGTGATCCGCCCTCTTTAGCCTCCCAAAGTGCTGGGATTATAGGCGTGAGCCACTGCACCTGGCCTAGGTTGCTGTTTCAATACAGTTAAATCATCTGTTCGTTAAAGCATGACCTTCATGTTTTATAATTGTTTCAGTGAAATTAGTAAACATACAGTTATTTTTTTATTTTCTATTTTTTTAAATAGAGATGACGTCTCACTATGTTGCTCAGGCTGGTCTCCAGCTTTTGGGCTTAAGCAGTCCTCCTGTCTCGGCTTCCCAAAGTGCTGGGATTACAGGCATGAGCCACTGTGCCAGCCCAGTTCTTTAAATATACAGTATTACATGGCCATCTGTGTTTGACAATCAGTGAATAAAAAGTTGTCAGAACATCATAAGTAAAATATAGTTAGAATAATTCTTTTAAAAAAGAGTGAAACTAAATATTTCTCTTTAGTTTTCCATTTTCATACCCCATTATGGCATAAACAGAACAAAATGGTCACCAGAGGGTGTGTCAAAAAGGTTAGCAGAATATTTTAGATTTTGTTTCTATTGTCATTTAGCTTTAAAGTGAATTATTGTAGGACAGCATATGAAAATATTTTTGGTATGATACTGATTTTTATCTTTGATATGTCAGAATAGTTGAAGAACAATTAAGTGTGTTGCAGACTTCATTTTGACTAATTTAAATTCAGGGAGGATTTACAGAAAAAATGGAATACAAGTATATTTCTTCCCATTCTTTTTCACTGAAGGGAATCATCAGTAAATCTGAGGTTCTTTTTAAATATCTAAGTTTGGCCAGGCATGGTGGCTCATGCCTGTAAACCCAGCACTTTGGGAGGCCGAGGCAGGTGGATCACCTGAGGTCAGGAGTTTGAGACCAGCCTGTCCAACATGGCGAAATGCTGTCTCTACTAAAAATACAAAAAAATTAGCCGAGTATGGTAGTGTGCGCCTGAAGTCCCAGCCACTCGGGAGGCTGAGGCATGAGACATGCTTGAACTCGGGTGGCGGAGGTTGCAGTGAGCTGAGATTGTGCCACTGCACTCCAGCCTGGGCAATAGAGCGAGACTCTGTCTCAAAAAATAAATAAATAAATAAATAAATAAATCAAATAAGTTTATAAATTTGTAGCCTCAATCTTTGTGTCTGTTCACTGTCATAGGATGTTAGTTGATCACGATCTGTTACTTTAGTATAGTTGCTCTTATTTTTATATTTACTTGGTTTAGCCAAAAGATTATCTTTTCACAAAGTGCTAAAAACTTAAGAACTGAAGTGATACACATACAACCTGAATTTCCTAAAGCAAGAGGTTTTGATTATATTTTGGTGAAATAGAAATAATTTTTAATAAAATTTCTAAACCTTACAGCTAAACTGTGAGGACCAATCTGTTTTCACTTTGATATAGGAGCAACTGAAAATGAAGGATCAGTCATTGAGAAAACTACAACAGGAAATGGACAGTTTGACATTTCGAAATCTGCAGCTTGCCAAGAGGGTAGAACTACTTCAAGATGAACTAGCTCTAAGTGAACCACGAGGCAAGAAAAACAAGGTAGGTTCAAATACAGGCAAGTTAGTGTGACCTTGTCGTTAGTTACTGACACCTACAGGGCATCCTGGTTTTAACAGAAGACCCCACTGCCGAATTATTTTTTTCTTTGTTTGTTTGAGACAGGGTCTTGCTCTGCCACCCATGCTGGAGTGCTGTGGTGTGATCTTGGCTCACTGCAACCTCTGCTCCCAGGCTCAGTGATCCTCCCACCTCCGCCCCCAGAGTGGCTGGAAGTATAGGTGTGCACAACCATGCCTGGCTAATTTTTGTATTTTTTGTAGAGATGGGGTCTCACTATGTTGCCCAGGCTGGCCTTGAACTCCTGGACTCAAGCGATCCACCTGCCTCGGCCTCCCAAAGTGCTATGATTACAGGCATGAGCCATCATTCCCGGCCCTGAATTTTTTTTTTTTTTTTTTTTTTTGAGACAGTTTCACTCTTGTTGCCTAGGCTAGAGTGCAATGGCACGATCTTAGCTCACCACAACCTCTGCCTCCCAGGTTCAAGTGATTCTCCTGCCTCAACCTCCCACGTAGCTGTGATTGCGGGCATGTGGCACTCCCAGCTAATTTTGTATGTTTAATAGAGAAGGGGTTTCTCCATGTTGGTCAGGCTGGTCTCGAACTCCAGACTTCAGGTGGTCTGCTCGCCTCAGCCTCCCAAAGTGCTGGGATTACAGGCCTGAGCCACCGTGCCTGGCCCCGGCCCTGAATTTTTAATGTTCCGTTGTTACACCTGGATATTAGGTCAAGAAAGCAGACTCTTATTATTAATATATATTAAATGTTAGGGACATTTATATGATAGTCAATTTTAAAGAACTTATTAGGAGCAAATGTAGTTGGTTTAGTGGCCGAGAAGAGACAGTGGAATATCTTATATTAGCTAAAATTTTTGACATCTTTTGGTTATACCAGGTTGCCATTAATCCAAGGTTGAGCAAATAAAATGAGGGAGATTGTCAAAGCGTTACTACTCATATGAAAGTAGCGGCCGGGCGCGGTGGCTCACGCCTGTAATCCCAGCACTTTGGGAGGCTGAGGCGGGCAGATCACGAGGTCAGGAGATTGAGACCATCCTGGCTAACATGGTGAAACCTTGTCTCTACTAAAAATAGAAAAAATTAGCTGGGCGTGTTGGCAGGCGCCTATAGTTCCAGCTGCTCGGGGGAGCTGAGGCAGGAGAATGGCGTGAACCTGGGAGGCAGAGTTTGCAGCGAGCCGAGATCAGGCCACTGCGCTCCGACCTGGGTGGCAGAGTGAGACACTGTCTCAAAAAAAAAAAAAAAAAAAAAATAGTAGCAGTTGAAACACTTATACCTTAGGTTTGTAAGTTTACTGCAGATGTAATTTCTTAGCATTTATTCTTACGAGGCCAGTTTGGTGTTCTTGTCTTGAGATTTAGAGATGAGTTTTTTTGCCTTATGGTTTTATATGGTGAGGTGGGATTCTTATTGCTCTAAGGTGGATAATCTGGTACTTTTGAACATTGTGATTAAGAGATTGCTGCTCTTTTTTTTTTTTTTTAAGGGTAGAAGTAGTGATTGAGTCTTTAAGTCTTGTATGTATATAGACTAACACTCCACAAATGTATGTATTGAGGCAGTAACAGTAGAATGGGTAGAAGGGAAGGAGAAGGCACACAGTGACTCTGAAGGAGTGCAGTATGGCCAGAAGAGCACAGGCTTCAGATTTAAGCCCAGGCTTGAATTCTTTGGTTGCCTTTAATAAATCTGTGACTTTCGGCACAATTTTTAACCTTGTAATCTTAGTTTCTCCATCAGCAAAGTGACAATGAGCCTTTCAGGTTTGTTGTGAGGATTGTATGGTATCATGTAAAAGTGCCTAGGGCCATATTTCCCATGTAATGGGTAGTTGCCATAATTATATGTTAATAGTTTTCCCATATGCATTTCCCCACATAGAAGCATTCCCGAGAGTGTTAGTGTTCAAATAAAGGAGGCAACAGAGAGGGTATAACACTTATGTATTAGAATCACTTGGGAAACTTTTTCAAGATATACATACCAGGCCAGGCACAGTGGCTCACGCCTGTAATCCCAGCACTTTGGGAGGCCGAGGCGGGCAGATCAGGAGGTCAGGAGTTGGAGACCAGCCTGGCCAGCATGGTGAAACCCTGTCTCTACTAAAAATACAAAAAATTAGCCCAGCATGGTGGTATGTGCCTGTAATCCCAGCTACTTGGGAGGCTGAGGCAGGAGAATTGCTTGAATCCAGGAAGCCGAGGTTGCAGTGAGCCGAGATCACACCATTGCACTCCAGCCTGGGCGACAGAGTGAGACTCCCTCTCAAAAAAAAAAAGATACATGCCCTGGAAATTCTGAAAGACCCTTGGGGAGAGAATAGTCATCTGAACTTCAAACATGTTCTTCAGGTTCTTAATATCCCTGCCTAGGACTGTTGAGCAGAGGTTTGGGTGTAATATTGAGAATTAATTTTAATTAAAGCTCATCAAATTTGGAAGCACTAAGGACCCTGAATACATCGTTCTGCAGTGTTCCATATGCACCTCTTGTTTTCCAAACATGATGGATATTTAATTTCTTTTTATATGGCTACTCCATTTTCAAAGGGCTTTTAAATCACTGATTCAAATTGGATTAGTAGGTGAGTTCATTTTAAGTGAGAAGTGAGACTACAAAAAAAGCAGAGAAAGGGTGGTGACTGATGTTTGAACACAGTTTCATTGTTAGGCTGTTCCTTGAATAGTCTCAGTTCTATGTATTACATGAAAACAAATACTCATTATTAGATGTTTTAAATAGTGCTATTCTTCTATGTAGAACGAGTTCATATTAGTAAAAATTTAAAGGAAGGGATTTTAAAATAATCTTTGAGAATTTTCCTATTTATTTATAATAGCTTTATTTTATATATTTTTTAACTTAGAAATTTATATGAACTTTTGTATAAACTTACCTTTGTGGATGCTGTTACAGAATTTATTACAATTTCTTATGGAGTTTAACAACTCCGACTCATGAAATTGCTATAACTCTCATTTCCCAAACCAAAAGATCAAATTGAAATGATATTTATGAGCTTATTTTATATTGCTGGAGCTTTCTAGGTCTGCTCCGTCCTCCAGCAGAACTACTCCTGAATTCATCTGCAAAGAATAGTAAGCCTTATCTGTTCTTTTCTCTCTCTTTTTAAAGCTTTCCTGCTCCTTACAATATTTGCAGTTTCAACTTGTGTCACATAGGAAAAGTTAAATGATGAACTGTATAGCTTTTGCAGGATTGTTTGAGAATGGTGAACACATAGAAGAGACAAGCTTCTAAGATGATAGAGAATCTGTGTACCTTAGGATGTTTCTCTAAAGGATGAAAGTTATGTGGACATAACTTATTCTTTCCATCAGAAAAGTGGAGAATCTTCTTCTCAGTTGAGTCAAGAGCAGAAGAGTGTCTTTGATGAAGATCTGCAAAAGAAGATAGAAGAGAATGAACGGTTGCATATACAAGTGAGAAAATCTGTTTTTCTATGTGAATTAAAAAATGGGTCTGTGATCTGTTAATGTGGAAAAGCTAATGCACATAGAGTGTTTTGTGTCTGCGTGGGTATTTTAATGTCTTCTATGGTCTTCAAGTATATATGTCACTGTCACTTATTCATTTCTTAAATATCACACAGTCTTAATGTGGATGTGTGCTTTGAAGTATATGCATTTGTTCAGAAGACAGCAGAATAGCTTTATAACTTAACAGTGCAGAAATATACTGAGCATTATTCATTTTATATGGGAAGTGATTACATGTATCATTTAAATGGGAGCTTACCAATAAATGGTATTTGCTTTTTTCCCTCCCCCTCCCTTTTTTTTTTTTTTTTAACTGATGTTTAGTTTTTTAATTTACTGATGTTTAGTTGGTTCTTATCCCTACCCCTGTTAAACTGTAAGGTCTCTGAGGGTATGAACCATGTATGTTTCCTATGCCTAGTCCCAGGACAGTGTCTTACTTATGTCAGGCACTCAGATATTTATGGAATGTTGAAAAGTTAGTGCCTGCCCCCAAACCACTGAGCATATTCTAAGATTCATAGTGGGCTGGGCGCAGTGTCTCATGCCTGTAATCCCAGCACTTTGGGAGGCCAAGGTGGGCGGATCACGAGGTCAGGAGATCGAGACCATCCTGGCTAACACGGTGAAACCCCTTCTCTAGTAAAAATACAAAAAATTAGCCAGGCGTGGTGGTAGACACCTGTAGTCCCAGCTACTTGGGAGGCTGAGGCAGGAGAATGGCGTGAACCCGGGAGGCGGAGCTTGCAGTGAGCCGAGATCAAGCCACAGCACTCTAGCCTGGGCGACAGAGTGAGACTCTGTCTCAAAAAAAAAAAAAAAAAAAAAGATTCATAGTATAGTGTATCCAACTATAACCTCCTTACTTATTTTTTTTTGGTCAAATGGTAGGAAACACACACACACACACACAAACAGACACGCTTTTCAGTCTTTGAAAAAGTTGTTTTTGACCACAGTGTATTTTATATCTAAGTATTCACAATTCTTTATTAGTATTGGACTCTAATTACAGGAAAGAGCTTTACCTGTTTTAAGAATAACACCTGTTTTAATTTTGATTATTTTATGTGAAAGTTAGCTTAGTAGAAAAGTTATACTCTGATCAATTGAATTCTATGTATGCCAGACATTGTTTAAAACAGAAATTCATGAGACTGAGAGGTAGGAGGTGCAGGCTTTGGAGTAGGTTTCCTGTGTTCAAATCTCAGTTCTACTATATTTTAGCTGTGAGACATTAGACTAGTTATTAACTCTTTTAAGCTTGAGTTTCCATATTTGTAAAGAGGAATAACAGTAGCTACTTCTGATATCCTGTGAGGATTTAATGAGATAATGCCTGTGTGGGTTTAACATAGTCAGCATATGGAACCATGTGGAAGTTGCTCAGTGAATAGTCACTGCTGTTATTTTTCTCATTTATGTATATTAGGATATTGTGAGAAGAGAAAATGGTCTTCTCTTTTTAGTTTTTTGAAGCTGATGAGCAGCACAAGCATGTGGAAGCAGAGCTGAGGAGTCGACTGGCCACTCTGGAGACAGAAGCAGCCCAGCACCAAGCTGTGGTTGACGGTCTCACCCGGAAGTACATGGAAACCATTGAGAAGCTGCAGAACGACAAGGCTAAACTAGAAGTAAGCCCCATTGTGAGAGCACACTAAAAAATAGTTACAGCTTTTGTATTAATAAATTGTCTATCCACTTAGAGTTAGTCATTTCTGGTGAGACTTTTGCCTGCAGGGTCTTACTAAGTGTGCTCCTATCTGTCGTAGCCTGAGCCATCTGTGTTTCTTTTTCTTCTGAAATTCAGGTGAAATCTCAGACTCTAGAAAAGGAAGCCAAGGAATGTCGACTTCGAACGGAAGAATGGTATGTGGAAACTTGAATTCCAAGAGGGTTCTGAAGCAAGACTCAGAAGACATGGGTTTTGGTTGTAGCAGCTCCTCTGTTTTAATTGTCTTACATTTAAAAGGAGAAAATGGGAGTAATCTACAGGGTCCTTTTCAATTCTGGGATCTCCGGGGCCCTAAGCATTCTTGATAGAGTGGCCTGTGTATTAGTTCTCAGCCTGCAAGGGTTTGGGGCTGTGGCAGATCGTGTTCTGGAGCTCTTGCACTGAAGACTGGAGACTTTGTGTTTGAAACTACTCTAAACAGAAGGGGCCTCTGATAGTCCCAGGAAGGAAAACTGATAATCACCATGCCAATCTTTTAATGGTACATTTTGAATAAAATAGAGGTTATGCGATCTAATTTGGAGATACATAAATTTTAAAATCAAAATACTAGTAATGCATGGTAAAGGTGTACTCCAACATTTATTTGATAATATTTTAGTTTTTAATAGGATCAACTAAGTGAATTTCTCATATCGATTTTGTTGCATCGTTAGAATTACATGCATGATTTAGATGTGTACATAATTGAACCAAACACAGAAAGAGTTCAAGGGGAAAAGAAGGCTAATACAGTATGTACTTAAAAAAAGTCTATAGTGATACTAGTGAATACTTATGTGTTGTAACGAGAACATTTGTGATTACTTTGAGCTTGGGGAAATATTATTTCTAAGATTACTTTGAGCTTGGGGAAATAAATGTAAGGTTGGCTAAGACACTCGTACCATGATAAATTCCTCCAAACTTCCACATCATTCTCCAGAAGTCCCTGGGACTTGAGAAGCCAGGTTAGCGTTTTTGTTATCTTCCTCTTTTAACAACTCTCTGCCAAGAGTATCCCAGATGTCAGGTGCAGTTCTCTGGAAGCCTACTACCAGCTGTTGAGGTAACAAATAAATGAGGATTCACTCAGTGATTGGTGATAATGTGGTTTTGTATTTTTTTTTTTTTTGCAGTCAATTACAGTTAAAGACTCTTCATGAAGATTTGTCAGGTAGATTAGAGGAATCCTTATCAATCATCAATGAAAAAGTACCTTTTAATGATACAAGTAGGTATTATGTACAGTTTTCCATTATTTGTAACTTTGAATCTCTCTGTGGTAGCCAACTAATTAAAGTAATTTTTAATCTTTTGGGCAAAAAATTTAATTGGCCCCACAGAAGATTGCTTTCTCTTTGTTCATTTGATCAGCCGTGGTAATCATATTTAACAGGAAGATTTTAAATTGTCATATAACTACTCCAAAGCTGGTCTTCTTGGAAGAAGCCCAAATCCACATTTTTTGATTGCATGTATTTAGCATTTTCCAAGATAAAAAACAACCTGCACATAAATAGTTGAATATTTGTACAAGAAAAATTGTTGATTGGGGTGGGGGAAATGAGGCTTGGTGGTGGGAGTTAAATCATCTTAAAATTATGACTTACCCCTTGGTCAATTCCCAGCAATAGCTACGAAGCTAACTTGGTTAAGCCTTGCTTCCTATTCACCCTGGGAATGGTTTGATAATTTACATTCCCAGGAACAACAAAAAGTTAAAAAATACTACTTTACATGTGTAATAGGTGCCAAATTTGCAACCTTTAGGTAAGAAGTCAAAACCTCAAAAGCAAAGAAAATATTTGCTTGTTTGGATTTTGAAACTTACATTCAAATTGATGCACATTTCCTTTTTCTGTAATCACATGATTGAAATTAATATTTTACTTCCCCTAAATTTTTTTAGGGAAGACCTAAAAAAAGAGGAAGAAAAAAAAAGAAAAATAGCAGTTTGATTTAAGATTAAAATCAGCCCATGTCATTATTGTATCAAAAATTTAAATTCCCCTTTGAAAATAACACCTGCTTCTAGCTTCTACATTAATGTAAATACTACTGGATTCACTGGATTTGAAACTGTGGCATTACATTTTCCCTTTAAGCCTTGTCTCAATCATTAGGTTTTAATAATTTCCTTCTGAATCATGGATTTATCCTTCCTTTTCTAATACTAGTTGTCACCCTGTTTTAGGTCCCTTTCTTGTCACATGTGGACTATTACTTTTAGTCCTGAAATATTTAAAGATCATTTGCTGAGTGCCTAGACAGGTCAGTAGCATAGGGGATGCAAAAATTGGTAAGTCAAAATTTCTACCTCAAGCAGTTTATAGCCTCGTAAGGCAGAGATAGATGTAGAAATGTCAATAATATAAACTAGACTGTGCCATAAAGAACCTCCTGGGGTTTCAGAGAAGGACATGTTACTGCTGGTGGCATGGTGTGGGGAAGCCTTCCCAGAAAAAGGGTGCTTTGAGCTGGGCCTGGATATGTGAGCAGGTTTTATTGGGCAGAGATAAGGGTAAAATCTAAGGAATTACGTGAAGTATGGTATATAGGAGAAAAGGTGTCATCATGCCCTCAGGAGCAGTAATCCAGTATGACAGGAGGCTTAGGGTGGGTGGGATGTGCAGGGCAAGGACATGTAAGTTCTGAAAGGTATGGTGGGACTGGACCCTAGTGTTCTGGTCTAAGGACTGGGAACTTCATTCATAAGGCCATGGGGTTGTTGGAGAAGTTTTTGAGCCAGGGAACATCATGTTGCTATATGTGTACTCACAAGGTTAATCTGGCAACAGAGTGTAGATTACCTAGGAGTGGGACAAGGGAGTCAAAGACTATTGTGATGATAGTTTTGGCGTACTATTGTGGAGGCTTAGCCTGGATTGGGGAGATGTGGAAGATCTTGTGGAAGGAGAGGGAGCAGACTGGTCCTTTCAAGGAGACAAGGGAGAAAGAGGCAGTCATGGGGAAGATGGTGATGCAGTTGACCGAAAGAAAAGAGGTAGACAGGAGCAGGTTTATGGGAGAGACAACGAGGTTAACTTTGTTGTTGTTTAATCTTCTGACAGATGGGTTCATATGTATCTATATAACTGCTGATGTATGCCTTTCTAAATGAAAGACTAGACTTTGGCAGAGAAACTGATGTCAACACTATTGGGCTGGAGGAGCCCTCATGTTGGGAGTGGTGGGTGCACAGTGCAGTCAGGCCTGTGCAGGGTCCTTGGTGAGTTCTCCATCCCAGTGATCAGGAGGCAGAGGGGAGCTGTGGAAACGGGGTGAGGTAGAAGCTGGAGAAGGGAGTTTCAACCTGATGGTGCAGGTCAGTTCTGCGCATTGCTGTGGAGAGGTCAGAGGGTGATGTATCAAGGCGACTGGGTTTGGTGACTGGATTTTGTGGCCTCGAGAGGACTAGTATACTTTGCGAGGAGCGCTTCTGTGCAGGGTGTAGGTGGACACTAGATTGCCAGCACAGGGAGTTGAGGTGAATGGGTGCTGAGGAAATAGGCAGAGCAGTGCTGTTTTTTGAGCAGTGGGAATGAAGGAAATGGAGAAGCATGAGAGCCTGACAGACGGGCAAAGTGAAAGAAAAGGCTGGGGACAGGAGTCAGGGCAGAGAATTAAGTGTGATTAAGTAATGGAAGAGACTCACTGTGGACACAAGAGTTAAATGAGCTGCAGCAAATGCTTTATTTGTAATGAGGAGATACTGAAGATAGAAGCAGGGAGTGATTATGTCCTAAGGTCCTGAGGGGGTCAGAAGCAGAAGGGCCCAGGAGGACGGTTAGCTGAGGAAAGGATATGCAAGCAGTAGACCGAGGTGGAGGGTGGGGAGTGTAAGAACTCTTTTGCTTTGGCTGTGATTTTCTTGGTGGAGTAGGGAGAGGCCATCCTATCCATTGGGTAGTGGAGAGGAGAGGAGGAATGGTATTAGGAGCTTAAAACAGAAAAGGTTTGGGATAGATGCCATGGGAAATAAAATAGGCACACGGCAATGAAATTGTGGATTGCTGAGTAGAGTTGAAGCCCCCTGGAGTTAGGCAGAGTAAATTGTAGTGGACTTTACTCGGGATTCGTGTTAGCAAAAGCGTTGTTGAAACAATGGACCAGGCTGGGAAGCAAAACAAGCAAGGCTGAAAGATGGCTGATAGAAGTGTCCAGAGGTGTTGGTGGATGGGAGATCAAGCTGGTAATGTATAGCCCAGTGAGTAGCAATGGAGACATAAAAGGGAACTGGGTGACTATGCCACAGGAACATTCTGAATCGTATTTTGGCACTGGGGTCATTCTGACTGAGAACCTGGGCAGAGAAGGGCAGGTTTGAGTGGCTGAAGGGATGAGTAGAGATGAGGAGAGATGCAGCTCATTAAGGAGGAGTTTGAGGAGGTATGGCTAGGTAGGAGGAAGCTGCCAGAGGTTAGTAACAGACCAGGGTAGAGAGGAAGACTGAGAAAGATAGTGATACCATCCAGGAAAGTTAGGATTGAGTCATTGGGATCCACAGTGGCAGACAGTGATAGATTTTTCCGGTAATGTAGTGTCAGGAAAACAGTGGTATTTTTTGCTGATTAGCGTGGCGGCTTTGTGGAGGGTTATTTTAGAAGGGAGAATGACTGAAAACAGCAAGAACGTCATGAGCCTTTCTAAGTAGTCCTGATAAGCCTGAAAGCAGTATTTGAAATGATTTCTTAGAAATGGAAACACTGGATTTGTTTGGGTTTTTTTTAAGCCTGAAGTTAAAAAAAGATGGGAAGTATTACTTTATCTGAGAAACCACTGATTCTATGTAAATTCCATTATTCTGTATTGTTGATCATTTTAAATTCTTATGTAAAGTTGATTTTGCTTCAGAGCATTCATTATTTTGCATTTAAGTTATTTTCCAGTATATGTGAAATGAGAGACTTAATGTACATTATTTTTCTTCTGTAGAATATAGTCAGTACAACGCTCTGAACGTTCCACTCCACAATAGGAGACACCAGGTAAAGGATGAAGTACATGTTTTTATTTTCAGTTATATATACATCAGACTTTCCAGAAACAAGAATTAGTTGTGTTTGGACCTCTGTTTAGTGCATTCAGTCATTGCATTTAACTGTTGCTTTACGTGTTTCTCATACATTTATTCAAATGTAGCTTGCTTTTTATTGCATTCATAAGTAACACAGATTTTTGCTATCTCCCTTGTCTGATAACATTAGAACTAAATTATGAGATGCATTAATGTTTTGAGCCATACTTTTTTGTGGATTGGTAGACCTTATACTTAAGTGGTCTGGGTTAAGTGCAGGAGGTGTATTTGCCAAATTGGTGGCTTTCTAATTTACTTAGATAGGAATATTAAAATTCAAGTGGGAGCAGATGAATTTAAAGTAAGGAATAATCACACTAGGATTCAAATGTTTTCTCCAGATCAGACTCAATAAAGTTCTTTTAGGATAATAATTTGAGAGTTGACCTTAACTATATATTTTTCATTTTAAAGCTGAAGATGCGAGATATTGCTGGGCAGGCCCTGGCTTTTGTTCAGGATCTTGTGACGGCTCTTCTAAACTTTCATACCTACACAGAACAGAGGATTCAAATTTTTCCTGTTGATTCTGCCATTGACACTATATCTCCATTGAATCAGAAGGTAAATTTAATTCAGGATACATTTTGTTTGCCCTGAACAAAATAGGGAGATATTGTTTGTTTTTAGACCTCTTCTGTGCACCATCCAAGTACTGCAAAGGACATGGAAAAAACCCAAAAAGCATAGTTTTTACTCTCAAAATAAAATATGGCAAAAATAGAGATTCTTAAGAAATTAAATTCTAGGGAAGTGTATTAGTCTGTTTTCACACTGCTGATAAAGACATACTGGAGACTGAGCAATTTACAAAAGAAAGAGGTTTATTAGACTTACAGAGGTTTATTAGACTCCACATGGCTGGGGAGGCCTCACAATCAAGGCAAAGAGGAGCAAGTCATGTGTTTCGTGGATGGTGGCAGGCAAAAAGAGAGCTTGTGGAGGGAAACTCCCATTTTTAAAACCATCAGATCTCGTGAGACCCATTCACTATTGTGAGAACAGCACGGGAAAGACCCACCCCCATCATTCAGTCATCTCCCACTGGGTCCCTCCCATAACGTTTGGGAACTGTGGGAGCTAGAAGATGAGATTTGCATGGGGACATAGAACCAAACCATATCAGGGAGGTTTTTTTTTTTTCTTTTTTTGAGGTGGAGTCTCGCTCTGTTGCCCAGGTTGGAGTGCAGCAGTGTGATCTTGGTTCACTGCAGCCTCTGCTTCCTGGGCTCAAGTGATCCTCCCACCTCAGCTTCCCAACTAGCTGGGACTACAGGCGTGCACCACCACACTGGCTAATTTTTTTTTTCTTTTTTTTCCCTATTTTTAGTAGAGCCAGGGTTTCGCCATGTTGGCCAGGCTGGTCTTGAACTCCTGACCTCAGGTGATCTGCCTGCCTCAGCCTCCCAAAGTGCTGGGATTACAGGTGTAAGCCACTGTGCCTGGCCCTTGGGGAGTTTTTAAAAGACCTCAGTGTGAGCGAGTGAGTGGTATGGCCAGTAAGTGGTATGAGATCACCGGGGAATGGAGGTCACTGTAGGTGGTAATGTCTGGGAAAGATTCTTTGGGGATTTGAATGGGTCTTGAAAAATTAGCAAGGTTTAAATAGGAGGAGAGAAGTGGGATACACTTTTTCCCCCAGAAGAGAATGACATGAACAAAATCATGGAGCAGGAAAGCATAGGGAGTGTGGGGGTTGGGAACAGGGTGAGGCATGGGGAGGGAATAATGAGCAAACTGTGTTGGCTGAAATGTGAAGTCCTCAGAAGGGGAGGTATGGAAAGGAAGGTTGAAAGAGAAAAAATGGCTCCAGGTTCTAAAAGGCCCCTAAGGGCAGGCCAAGACATAGACCTTCACTTTGTTTGTAGGATTGAGGCCTTTATAGCTTTTTGATCGGGGGTGACATAAAAGTGCCATTTTATTGTCGGAAAAATTAATTTGCTGGCATTTCTCTCCCTGATTGTACTCACAGTGTAACTTTCATCACTGGGCATGTTTAGGAGTAAAACAACCTGTGTGGTATAGTTGACCTTTTTCCTTCCTGCTGAGTTATGGAGTGGGAGACACACTGCTTATCCAGTTGAGCTTGGGGGGCATTTTCAGGGTTTGTGAGGTTCAAACAGGGTTTAAATGTCACTTTCTTCAATCCATGTGCCTTTTTTGGGCCATTAGATTTTGCTTCTTTCTTTCCCTTTTTTCTCCCCTGCTAATTCTAAAAAACAATTTAAGGTAGCTTACAAAATTTCATTTAACCGAAAAGGATAAAATAAATGTTGTGAGTATATTAGCTATGTATTGCTATGTAATAAATTACCCCAAAACTTCATAGTTTAAAACAACAAACATTTACTATCTCACAGTTGCTGCGGGTCAAGAATGGAGGGGCTAGTTAGCTGGCTCATGATCTCTCATAAGGTTTCAGTCAGGATGTCACTGGAGCTGGGGGATTTGCATCCCAGGTGGCCGACTTACATGCCTGGTGAGTTAGTGCTAGTAGTTGGCTGGGAACCTCAGTTTCTTATTGCCTGGCTCTTTGAGTGTCCTCATAAATGGCAGCTAACATTTCTCATAGTGAGCGATCTAAGAGCAAGGTGGAAGCCACAGTGCCTTTTGACATAGCCTAGGTAGTCACGTATCATCACTTCTTCAGTATCGTATTGGTCACACAGACCAGACCAACCTTGAAACAATGTGAGAGGGTAGTACACAAAACCAAAAATACCAGGAAGTGGAGACAATTGAAGCCATCTTAGAAGCTGACTCTCACAGGGTGGAAATTGAGGGAAATTGCTATACATGTGTGCTGTAAGTGCCTCATGATGTGGCAGTCTGAAATATGAGTCATGCCATTCGTCCTACATAACCTGATTCTTATTCCCTGCTTCTTCTGTGCATCATGCAGTATTTTCAGGGTCTGAACAGTGTTTATGTCTGTGGGTCCCCTACGTGCCTATTAGTGCAGCAAAGACTTGGACTCAGGAGTTAGACTTCCTGGGTTCCCAGTCCATTTCTGCCACTTTCTCAGTTATGTCCTCTTGGGAAATATACTTACTCTCTCTGCGCTTCCGTTTTCTCATCTTTAAAATGGGAGATAGAATACCTACCTCACAGGTAAGCGTATTTGAGGATTCAATAAGATAATACATGTAAAGCACTAAAAACAGTGCGTGGCATGTAATACTAGCACCCAATAAAGATTAGCTCTTAGGATCATCATCGTTATGTCTTACACATAGGAAGCCATCATTAGGTGCTTGGCTTTCATCAATTTTGGTCTGACTCTACACGTCTATTGAAGTTTGTAAAAATTAAACATTGGGCCTTTGAAATGTTCTTTAATATCACTGTGGGAAAAAGCTTTCAGAAGATCTGGATAGGGAAGACAGTACTGCAACATTTTAATGTAGTTATGCTTTCTTTTATACTTCCTGTAATATTAAAAAATATTTTCTGACCAGACACAGTAGCTCACACCTGTAATCCTAGTACTTTGGGAGGCTGAGGCGGGTGGATCGCTTGACCTCAGGAGTTCAAGACCAGCCTGGGCAACATGGTGAAACCCCGTCTCTACCAAAAAAAAACAAAAATTAGCCAGGTGTGGTGGCTTGTACCTGTAGTCCCAGCTACTTGGTGGGCTGAGGTGGGAGGATCCCTTGAGGCCAGGAGGCAGAGGTTGCAGTGAGCCAAGACTGTGCCACTTCATTCCAGCTTGGGCAACAGAGTGAGACCCTGTCTCAAGAAAAAAAATGTATGTGTGTGTGTGTGTGTGTGTGTGTGTGTATGTATATATGTATGTGTGTATATATATGTATAAGTCCGTCTTCACGCTGCTGATAAAGACTTGAAAGACGTATCTGAGACTGGGAAGAAAAAGAGATTTAATTGGGCTTGTAGTTCCACATGGCTGGGGAGGCCTCAGAATCATCGCGGGAGGCAAAAGACACTTTTTACATGGCAGCGGCAAGAGAAAAATGAGCAAGAAGCAAAAGTGGAAACCCCTGATAAACCTGTCAGATCTTGTGAGACTTATCCACTATCATGAGACTAGCCCAGGAAAGACTGGCCCCCATGATTCAATTACCTCCCCCTGGACACCTCCCACAACATGTAGGAATTCTGGGAGATACAATTCAGGCTGAGATTTGGGTGGGGACACAGCCAAACCATATCAATATATTTGAATTGTGTGTGTGTGTGTGTGTGTGTGTGTGTGTGTGTATGTATATATATACACACACACACATATATATATAGAGCATATATATATATAGCATATATATATAGAGCATATATATATATAGCATATATATATAGAGCATATATATATAGAGAGAGAGCATATATATATAGAGCATATATATATATAGAGAGAGCATATATATATATAGAGCATATATATATATATAGAGCATATATATATATATATAGAGCATATATATATATATATATATATATATAGAGCATATATATATATAGAGAGAGAGAGAGCATATATATATATATATATGCTAACCAGTATTGGATAGAATATACTATCCAATACTGGTTCTTTGTCCATTATTGGAATTTTATTTTAGCTTGTTGCCATGTTATACCCACATAGTGAGAATCAAATATATTAATCTTAATTTGTTTGAGTCATTTCATTACTTTGAATAATTCATGTATTTCTCATTACTTTACCTTTGGTGCTTTGGCCTATAAAAGATCCTATGTGATTTTTGTAATAAGTCTGTGTTATTGAAGGAGATTCAGAAACCATTTGTTAAAAGATGACTGGAGTGTTTAAACTTGTTCATAACATCATAAAGTAGACCTTTAGACTTGTAAGCTTAGAGTGCATTATATTATACAGCTCTAAAGATTGAAGCCCAAAGAGATTAAGTTACCCAGGGCCATGTGTCTGTGTAGTTTGTAGTGGATGGGGTCAGTTGAATCACATTTCTGCAAAATGAGATCTTACATTTCTATACTGAGAAATTGAAATTTGAGCTATTATGTAACATTAGATAATTGAGATATTTAATAAATGAAAATAATCTTTTTGCCTATAAATTTTCTAAATGCCTATAGGATTTTTTTCTGAAGCTATTCTTCATACTGAATTAGTCCCTTGTAAATATTAAGGTTATCAGTGACAGTTATAAAAAGTTATTAAGCTGGGCATGTTGGCTCACACCTGTAATCACAGCACTTTGGGAGGCTGAGGTGGGTGGATCACCTGAGGTCAGGAGTTCAAGACCAGCCTGGCCAACATGGTGAAAGCCCGTCTCTACTAAAAATACAAAAATTAGCTGGGCGTAGTGGTGAGCATCTGTAGTCCCAACTACTTGGGAAGCTGAGGCAGGAGAATTGCTTGAGAACCCGGGAGGCAGAGGTTGCAGTGAGCCAAGATCCCGCCACTGCACTCCAGCTTGGGGGACAGAGTGAAACTCTGTCTCAAAAAAAAAAAAAAAAGGTTTCTGTATCCTCATTTTGATAATTACATCCTTGGAATTTGTTAACACCAAATATCGTATACATTAAAAATAAGCTTTCCTCAATAGGCTTGTTTTTTAAAAATTGGGTATATAACACAAAAATTTTTGTCGTACAGTCTTGATTTTCAAATCTTTTTTGTTTGTTTGTTTTTATACTGGGACCTCTATGGAGAAGCAGGTGTTCAGGGAGGCTGACCTGTTGGTCCTAGGTTCTAATGCAGTATTCGCTCCCTATTTCCTCTGATGCCTGGTTATTAATTGTGTCACCCCTCTTCTAGTTCCTCGATTTAGAATGGGATAGGGACTTGGGGGTATCATCTGGGACTATTAGAGGGGAGCATCTGTGTTTAGCTTTTAAACCAAATTTCCAATAAAAGTTTCCAAAACTTGAGCACAGGAGTTTGAGGCTGCAGTGAGCCATTATCAGGTTTACAATTTAGGTTTATAATTTGGTGGGTCCATTTAGAAATGTGTTGATGTTTGTTATTTTCCAGTGATTTAATTCACAATACTTTCCCTCCTGTTTAGTTCTCACAATACCTTCATGAAAATGCGTCCTATGTCCGCCCTCTTGAGGAAGGAATGCTTCATTTATTTGAAAGTATCACTGAGGATACTGTGACTGTCTTGGTAATTTTCTTCCTTGTTTTACTTCTGGAAACTGGGAGCTCCTCTTTGTCCAGTAGCACTTTTAACCTTGAAATTATTTTTCTTTTCCAGGAGACAACTGTGAAATTGAAAACTTTTTCAGAACACTTAACCTCCTACATATGTTTTCTTAGGAAGATTCTTCCCTATCAGTTAAAAAGGTAGTTACCCCCGGAGGCCAGGGAACTTGGGGAATTGTGGGTGTAACCTGATCTGGCTGGCGTTAATAAAATATTAACATGTGCCTCTTGTGATCTGCCTGACTTTTCTGCTTCACAGTTAATTTGGACTTCCGTGAAAAAGGAAAAGCATGGTTGAGCAGCATTAACTTAAATTTAAGAAAGTTGAATTATAGTCTGTCAGTTACAGATTTTCAGTTGTTCTGTACTGTGGTTACCATTATCATCCCTTTGCAGTTAACACCTAGATGGGTGTTCATAATAGTTTCCTTCTACGTTAGGATCTATAAATTTTAGGTTTCTTTGAAATGGTGTATTTTCTTATTTTTGTTATTAGTGACTTGTTATAAACTAAAAACCTTATCTACTCTAGCCCTTACAGAATACGTCATTTAGTAACCTTTGATATTCTACTTTAAATATTTCTAGAAGGGCAGAAAAAATAATACGTATTATTAGAAATTTGATAATATTGCTTGTAAGTTTTGATACTTTTGGTTTACAACTACCAAGACACCTATTTCATTTAAATCTTTCCATTCTAAGATTTAGCCCTTTTTTAAAAAAATCAAGGCCGGGCGCAGTGGCTCACGCCTGTAATCCCAGCACTTTGGGAGGCTGAGGTGGGTGGATCACTTGAAGTCAGGAGTTCGAGACCAGCCTGGCCAACTTGGTGAAACCCCGCCTCTTCTAAAAATACAAAAATTAGCCGGGCGTTGTGGTGCATCCCTATAGTCCCAGCTACTTGGGAGGCTGAGGCAGGAGAATCGCTCGAACCTGGGAGGCGGAGGTTGCAGTGAGCCAAGATCGCGCCATTGCACTCCAGCCTAGGCAACAGAGCGAGACTCCATCTCAAAAAAAAAAAAAAAAAAAAAAAAAAAAATCAAAGAACAATACAACTGGAACATGAGAGAAATAATATTTTACAGTAAAATAAAATTTAGAAAATAAGTAGGTTGGCCAAGTGTGGTGGCTCATGCCTGTAGTCCCAGCACTTTGGGAGGCCAAAGAGGGTGGATCACCTGAGGTCAGGAGTTTCAGATCAGCCTTGCCAACATGGCAAAACCCTGTTTCTACTAAAAATACAAAAATTAGCCGGGCGTGGTGGTGCATGCCTGTAGTCCCAGCTACTTGGGAGGCTGAGGCAGGAGAATCACTTGAACCTGGGAGGCGGAGGTTGCAGTGAGCCAAGGTCACATCACTGCACTCCAGCCTGGGCAACAGAGTGAGACTCCGTCTCAAAAAAAAAAAAAGGTTAATTACTTACAGATACTGAAAATAGGCCAGGCATGGTGGCACATGCCTGTAATCCCAATACCTTGTGAGGTCGAGGCGGGAAGATCACTTGAGGCCAGGAATTCGAGAACAGCCTGGGCAGCATAGGGAGACCTGTCTCTACTGAAAATAAAAAGAAAACTAGCTGGAGGTGGTGGCCTGTGCCTGTAGTCCTAGCTACTTAGGAGGCTGAGATGGAAGAATCACTTGAGCCCAGGAGTTTGAGGCTGCAGTGAGCTGTTACTGCAGCCTGGGTGATAGAGTCCCTGCCTCTTAAAAAAAAAAAAAAGAAAAGAATGTATAAGTAATTATATCAGCCTGGGTGATAGAGTCCCTGTCTCTTAAAAAAAAAAAAAAAGAAAAGAATATATAAGTAATTATAAGTCCTTGTAAAACTAAAGTAGTAAGTTTGGCATTTAAGAAATATACAATTTTATTATTAAAAAAATTAATATATATTAAGAGACATCTTCTTTCCTAATTCTATCCTTACAAGATATTTCAGTAACAAAATTCTGTGATTTGTGCATATGATAGGATATTAGGAAATACTGGGAATCAGATAATTATGGCTTAAACTAATTATTATGAACTAATAGTTTTATTTTAGATCATTATATGTTATAGTTCTGTATAAAGATTTTTTGAAAATCGACTCTAGAGGTTTAACATTAAAGTTGAATGTAACTTTGATTTGGCTTATGTTTAAGAAGAATCTGTTTAAGAACCATTGCACAAGTATTTACTACTTGAAAGAGTTATGAATTTTATCTTGCTTCATTTTTTCCATGATTATGTTTTGTAAAACACTGGATGAATTCTTTCTTAAGCTAAGATTTCTACTTTTGGAATGTTCTGTCCCATATGCTTTCAGCCCTGCTTCACGAGTTATTAATATTTTTCAGCAATTTTGGGGGCATTGGTTTAAATACCACTTTAATTGACAAGATGACCTGTTGTTTAGTAGTAAATGGGCTTAGAATGGAATGAAGCTGTCTGCTATAAATAAAGTAGAAGAGAAGTTGCAATGGAGAGAGAATGGAAATGATTATGATTCCTATGCTACCTTTTCTGGCTTTGTCTAAAAACCTTTTTTTTTTGCTTGATTACCTCCACATTTTAAAATGAATAGTTAAGACACTACATTTTTTAAAAACCTTGTAATTAAGTTTTCCCAAGTAACTATTTAAAATTAAAAATGGTAAAATGCATTTTATGAATGTTAAGCGTTTACTTTTAAATTTGAGCCTCTAGATTGTAAATCTGTTTGGCTTTGGAAAAACTATGTGTACTGGAAAAGATTTTCTAGATTCTCTTGCTGGTGTCAGTGTTAATAATACCAGTTCCTGTTTAATTCATTTTCTTTAGGAATTTAGTCTGTGAAAATTTTTTCCTGTAAATATTTTAATGATTTTTAACATTTAGAATATTTAAAAATATGGCCGGGCGTGGTGGTTCATGCCTGTAATCCCAGCACTTTGGGAAGCTGAGGCAGGCGGATCACCCGAGGTCAGGAGTTCGAGACCAGCCTGACCAACACAGTGAAACCTTGTCTCTACTGAAAGTACAAAAATTAGCCGGGCGTGGTGGTGGGTGCCTGTAATCCCAGCAACTCAGGAGGCTGAGGCACGAGAATGGCTTGAACCTGGGATGCGGAGGTTACAGTGAGCCGAGATTGCGCCACTGTACTCGAATCTGGAGACAGTGAGAGACTCCGTCTCAAACAAAAAAGAAAAAGAACATTAGAAATATTCTAATGTTTTGTGTTGCTCTCAGGATGGAAAGATAATGGACATATGCCTTTATCTGTTATTCCATTTAGTCATCTTATATTCCATTGGTATTTGCAGCAAGCAGTGTATGTATCATGATGTAAAAAAATGGAGCCATGCAAATGAGATCAAATTCTTTTTTCTGCAATATCTCTCTTTGGATATAGTTGTTTGAGAACTTGGTTGGCTGCTAGTAGCTAATTGAAAATCGTTTGGGATGCTCACTTCTTAAAAATCTGCCTATTCCTAGTTTAGAAGAAGAATGTGAATCCTCTCTTTGCACATCTGCGTTAAGAGCCAGGAATCTAGAGCTGTCCCAGGACATGAAAAAAATGACAGCTGTGTTTGAGAAGCTGCAGACTTACATAGCTCTTCTTGCCTTGCCAAGTAAGTATGTTTGTTGCTTAGGGGTCAACTTCAAGGACTTAAGAGTACAAGAAGCTGGAAAAGGGAGATGGTTTAGCTAAGTAGAGTGAGAGGAGCATAGGATCTGGCATCAGGAAAACTTGAATTCAAATTCTCTAGCCCCTTATACATTTATGACCTTGGGCAAAGCTCTTGACCTCTCTGGACTTCTGGTTTTCTATTTATATAATGGAGTTAAATGTTGTGATTATTGAGTTAAATTAAGAACGTACGGCCAGGCTGGGTGACTCACACCTGTCATCCCAGCACGTTGGGAGGCTGAGGTGGGAGGATGGCTTGAGGTCAGGAGTTCAAGACCATCCTGGGCAGCACAGGGAGACCCCATCTCTACAAAAAATTTAAAAATTATCCAGATGTGGCAGCACTTCCCTGTAGTCCCAGCTACTCTGGAGGCTGAGGTGGGAGGATCACTTGAGCCAAGGAGGTTAAGGCTGCAGTGAGCTATGATCACACCACTGCACTCCAGCCTGGGTGACAAAGCAACACTGCTTCTGAAATAAATAAGTAATAAAAATAAATTATGTAAAATATCAGGCATTGAGCATGCATTAAATATTAATTCCTTTCCCTTCCTTCCTGTTTTTTGTATGGAAAGGAACACATCATAAGAATTTGTAGCAGCTTTCCAACAAGTAGCGTAGGGGAGCTTTAGTAGTAAAAATGCCATTTGTTCCCCTTTGGCCTAACTTCAAAAAAAGTATTTTCAGGGCCGGGCGCGGTGGCTCATGCCTGTAATCCCAGCACTTTGGGAGGCTGAGGTGGGCAGATCACCTGAGGTTGGAAGTTCGAGACCAGCCTGACCGACATGGAGAAACCTCATCTCTACTAAAAATACAAAATCAGCTGGGTGTGGTGGTGCGTGCCTGTAATCCCAGCTACTCGGGAGGCTGAGGCAGGAGAATCGCGTGAGCCTGGGAGGCAGAGGATGCAGTGAGCTGAGATCGTGCCATTGCGCTCCAGCCTGGGCAGCAATAGCGAAACTGTCTCAAAAAAAAAAAAGTATTTTTGGGTAACTGAATGGACCTCATTTTAAATGACATTTTTAAGAATGCCATAATTTTTCTGGTACTATGGTTTTTTTTAACAGCATTATTGTATAATTTATATACCATACAATGTATTAATTAAAGTTTACAATTCAGTGGTTTTTAGTATATTCACAGGAATGTGCATTGTCACTACAGTAAATTTTGGAACACTTTTATCACCCATAGAAGAAACCCTGTGTATTTTAGCTATTGCCCTCCCATTCCCCTGTTCCACCCCTCCCTAGCCCGTAAACCCTAGTAATTTACATTCTGGCTATATATTTGCCAATTCTACCCATTTCATTTAAATGGAATAATATGGTATGTGGTCTTTTCTGACTTCTTTCACTTAGCATCATGCTTTTTAAGATTCATAAAAGTTGTAGCATGTATCAGTACTCAATTTTTATTGCAGAATGCTATTATATTTTATGGATGTATCACATTTTACTTACCCGTTTGTCATGTAGTGGACATTTGGGTTGTTTCTACCTTTTGGCTATTACAAATAATGATGCTATTGACATTCATGTACAAGTTTCTTTGTGGACATCTCTTTTCATTTCTTTGGGGTGTATACCTAGGAATGGAATTCCTGGGTCATGTGGCAACTCTGCTTAACTGTTTGAGGAGCTGCTGGAGTGTTTTACAAAGTGCTGTACCATTTTACATTCCTACTAGCAGTGTATGAGGGTTCTAATTTCTCCACATCCTCTTCAGTGTTATTACTTGGTTTTTTGATTTTTAGCTATTCTGGTGGGTATTAACTGGTATCTCATTGTAGTTTTTACTTGCATTTTCCTGATTGCGAGTGATGTTGACTATCTTTTAATGTACTTATTGGCCATTTGTATATCTTCTTGGAGAAATATTTATTGAGATCTTTTCTCCATTTTTCAGTTAGGTTGTCTGTTTATTATTGAGTTATAAGAGTTCTTTATGTATTATACATACAAGTCACTTATTGGATATATGATTTGCAATATTTTCTTCCATTTTATAGGTTGTCTTTTAACTTTCTTGATAGTGTCCTTTGAGGAACAAAAATGTTCAATTTTGATGAAGTCCAGTTTCCCATTTTTGTTGTTGTTGTTGCTGATGCTTTTGATGTCATATCTAAGAATCTGCTGTCAAATCTGAGGTTATGAAGACTTACCCTGTGTTTTCTTCTAAGCGTTTTATAGTTTTAACTCTTACTTACACTTAGGTTTATGATTAATTTTGAATTAATTTTTTTTTTTTTTTTTTTTTTTTAGACAGAGTCTCACTCTATCACCCAGTCTGGAGTGCAGTGTCACACTCTCAGCTCGCTGCAAACTGCCTCCCGGATTTAAGTGATCTCCTGCTTCAGCCTCCCGAGTAGCTGGGACTACGGGTGTGCGCCACTGCACTTGGCTAATTTTTGCATTTTTTAGTAGAGATGGGGGTCTCACCATGTTGGCCAGGCTGGTCTCGAACTCCTAGCCTCAGGTGATCTGCCCATCTCGGCCTCCCAAAATGCTGGGATTACAGGCATAAGCCACCACACCCAACCTCATTTTAATTTTTGTATATGGTGCCTGTGCCTATGCAGTTGTCCCTGCACCATTTGCTGAAAAGCCTATTCTTTCCTTATTGAATGGTCTGGGTACCCTTGTGGAGAATCAGTTGACTGTAGATATATGGATTTATTTCTGGATTCTCAGGTCTATTTCATTGATCTGTCCACACCAGTACCATAATATCTTGATGATTGTTGCTTTATAGCAAATTTCGAGATTAGGAAGCGTGAGCCCTCCTACTTTTTTTTTTTTTTTCAAGATTGTTTTGGTTATTTGAGGTCCCTTGCAATCCCGTATGAATTTTAGAATCAGCTTGTGTTGATGTCTACAAAGAAGTCAGTTGGGATTCTGATAGGGATTGCATTGAACTTGTAGATCATTTTGGAGAGGGTTGTGAGTTGAATTGTGTCCCCCAAAATAATATGTGAAATTCTAACTGTCAGTACCTGTATGTGTGATCTCCTGTGGAGATGGGATCTCTGCAGATGTCATCAAATTAAGATGAGGTCATACTGGATTAAAGAGAGTCCTAAATCCAATGAATGGGATCCTTATAAGGAGAGAGAGATTTCGAGACAGAGACACACAGAATCTGGAGACAGAGATACAAGGGGGAAGGCCATATGAAGACAGATGCAGGGATTGGAGTTATGCTGCCACAGGCAAGTAACACCTAGGGCCAACAGAAGCTGGAAGAGGCAAGAAAGAATTCTCCCTTAGGGCCTTTGGGGAGAGTGTGACCCTGCCAACACCTTGATTTTGGACTTCTGGCCTCTAGAACTGTGAGAAAATAAATTTCTGTTGTGTTAAGCCACCTTGTTTGTGGTACTTCATTACAGCAGCACTAGGAAATTAATACAGGGAGTATTGCCATCTAAGCTTAGTCATCTGATTCATGAACATAGTATGTTTTTCCATTTATGTAGCTCTTTAATTTCTTTAAACACATCTTCTAGTTTTTAGCATGTAAGTTTTGTGCCATGATGTTGCTTCTCAAGGATTCAGCCTTGGGCATGCATACAGTCACCCTGAGATGACGATGGTGGCAGGGCTCTCCTTCACTGTCTCTTTCACTGATCACACCCAGGTTTAAGCTCTGCTGATTGCTGATTGATTGCTCTCATTTTCAAAATGTCGTGGGGCATCAATTGTCTATTCAGAGAATCAATTCAGTTTGGGCTCTTTTACGGGTATAGTTATAGACCTAGTGTACACCTAGCAGGTAGAGTTTTTTGAGATCAGTGTTTGCGCTTCATTCTGACCCCAGGAGGGCTCTTCTTAGCTATTTCTGTTTCCTGTTCTCTCTGGTAAACCAGGCAGCCCACAGTTTAACTTATATCGCTAATCTACCAATTTCTTCTTCATTGCTTTTACCACAGCCATAATTTTTTAGAGTACACCCTTAGGCTTGAACTTCTCCACACTGTATTACAAATTAAGTCAGTTCCTTAAGAAGAGATTAAGAGCTCTTGTTTTAAGGCTTGCTTATCTCCTGGGCTAAATCTCTATGGGCTAGGGACAGTGGTCATACTTTTCTCTAAGTGACACCCCCTTGTTAGAAACTGCGCCCTTAGTGGAGGGGGTAGGCAGCAGCCCCCGGTCTCCTTGGTCTGCCTCTTTCAGGGTGGAACTCCTGTTGATGAGCTGGGGCAAGGGTGATCAGGGCCCCACTTTTCTTGGCAGCACCACGCCCAAGGTAGAGCCTCCATCTTAGGAGTAGGGGCTGGGTGAAAGAAGGGGAACGTTCCCCGCCTCTGTCCACACTTGCTCAGAATTTAGCTTCAGCAACAGGTAGCTGGGAGCAAGAGGAGAAATCCAGACCTCTTTAGGAGTTGGGAGAGACGAAGTCCCGTGTTCTTGGCTATACCTATTGGGAATGGAATTTCTGTCTCCCTGAGCTGTGGGAGGGAGGTAGTGATTCTTGGTTTAAATACCGTAGCCTCTCACTGTTATTACTGAGTTGTTACAGATTTTCTTGAGTAAATCATGTGCTGTGTTGCCCTTAGAACCGTCTCCAGAGACTTTAAGTGATTGTCCTTTTTGCAAATTTTACCAGTTTTGCAGAGGGCAAGCAGGTCCACAGAGCTCCTCACGCTGACATGGCAGAAGCAGAACTCTGTGATATTTGGGTAAGAGTGTTTTAGCGATGTTCAGCAAATAATGTGTAGGGAATGAAAAATGCATTATATAATAACAAGGTAAACATTCACAAAGACTTTCGTTTTACAAAGAATCATGACAGACTTAATCCTGCTTAACAACTGAATTTTGTTTCTCAACCATTAAAAAATATTTGTGGACATAGGAGATGCAAATCATTTAGATGTGCTTATGTGTATCACCATTATGTCTGAATGTATCTGCCACGATTTTAAGAGGCATTATTTCTAGCACATTACAACCAATCTTCATTCTCTATCTTCCCAAAAGTAGAGGGATACAATGGGCAGTCCATTTTTCAGGAAAATGCTTAGATTTGTGATTTTGATTTCCTAGGTACAGAGCCAGATGGACTCCTTCGGACAAACTACAGTTCTGTGTTAACAAATGTTGGTGCTGCTCTGCATGGATTTCATGACGTTATGAAAGGTAGGCCTTGAAAAAGAACGTAAGCTTAAAACCTTTGCCCCACTTTCTTCGATCTGCCTGAATAAGATTTAAACAAACACTGCCAAGGGTAATAGACCCCAGATAAAGGCTTATTAGCATTTGGCTTATGTTGAGTGCACAGCTCACTGCCTTCTGCTTTTCCCATCTGTTTTATTTCTGGAGGTAAACAAAGTGCTGAAGAGAAATCCTTGTGTACAGTCCTTGTGTACAGTACTTTAGCCAGAAATACGTTACACTGACTTTAGGCAGGTGTGTGAATTGTACAAAACCAGACATGCTATTCAGAGGCCTTTTGCAAAATACGTTGCGCTTCTTAGAGCCCAAGCACAAAGGAATTGAGGAAACCAAGGCTTCAAGTCCCCAGAAGGAATACACTAACTTTCCACCATCCTGTGCATTTTAATATTTTAAATGCCTTTTAAAGTCCTGTCTTGTTGGGCATAGCCTTAAGAAATGAAAGTCTGGTTTTGCATTTTGGTCAGTTTTCAATTGCTTCTGTGCTCCTAAAAATGTAGTCTGCTGAAAGGCCGAGGGGAACCTTTTATTTCATATGCTTCTTAGCGTGTGATTCTGAGTCCTGACTAATCTACAACTTTGCAATTGCTTCTAGGTTTTTTTTCCCTTTCTTTTCCTTTTAGAGACTGTTGGGGTAGGGAAAGCAGGGGAAGGAGGAGACGGGCAGGAGCAATCTATTAAGGACTATTGGAAATAGTCCAGGTGCCTGGATGATTCATTGTTTTTAGTTAACAATTAGTGACCAATTACTAATTGCACAGAGAATAATTTTTAAAAACCTAAAGCTGTGTTTCATAACATGGATAAGAGGCATATATTGGGGGACCTAATCTGTGGCACTGGGATTCATTCTTAGTCTCAGCAGTGTTACCAAGCACCAGTTTACCATTCAGTCTACGGTATGGGCCTTTCTGTGGCTTGTATTCAATTATAAGGAACTTTATAATTTTTTCTGAGGTTCAGTTTCGCTTTATTGCCCAGGCTGGAGTGCAGTGGTGTGATCTCCGCTCACTGCAGCCTTTGCCTCCTGGGTTCAAGTGATTCTTCTGCCTCAGCCTCCCAAGTAGCTGGGATTACAGGTACACACCACCATGCCTGGCTAATTTTTGTATTTTTAGTAGAGATGGGGTTTCGCCATGTTGGCCAGGCTGGTCTTGAACTCCTGACATCAGGTGACCCACCTGCCGTGGCCTCCCAAAGTGCTGGGACTACAGGCGTGAGCCACTGGGCCTGGCCCCAATTATAAGGAACTTTGAAAGTCACTGTACTTACAGAATTAGCCTTGGTTTCAGAAATCACAACTTGGATAGGCAGTATGGGTGGCAGTTAACAATATTCAACTCCAGTCCTGCAGAATTTAGTTTGGTCTATAGAAAAATCCAAGAGATGGTGCTTTTTTCCTGTGAGGCTTTTGGTTTGAGGAGCTAAGACTTAGTCGTAGTCCTCTCTTCCAGAACTTTACTTAACGTAGAACCAGTTTGAAACCACAAGTACCTCTGTGGCTACAAGTTTTTTAGTTTTGTTTTAAAATTTTTCCTCTGCTGGCTGGGTGCAATAGCTGACGCTTATAATCCCAGCATTTTGGGAAGCTGAGTGGGAAGATCACTTGAGCCCAAGAATTTGAGACTAGCCTGGGCAACATAGGGAGACCCTGTCTCTACAAAATGAAACAATAAAATAAAAAAAAAATAAATTTTCTTATGCTAATACAGGTTGAGCATTCTTAATACGGTAATCTGAAATCCAAAATGCTTCAAAATCTTAAGCTTTTCAAGTGCCATCATGACACCATAAGTGGAAAATTCCGCACTTGCCCTCACGTGACATGATAAAGTTGCAGTCAAAACTTAGTTTCATGCACAAAATTATTAAAAGTATCGTACAAAATTACCTTCAGGCTATATGTATAAGGTATATATGAAACATAAATGAATTTCTTATTTAGACTTGGATCCTGTCCCCAAGATACCTTCTTATGTATATGCGAATATTCCAAAATCTGAAGAAATCTGAAGTCCAAAACACTGCTGGTCCTAAGCTTTTTGGATAAGGGATTCTTAATCTATTGGTTGATAGGTTGGTCTCAGTGTAAACAGAGGGATTTATAAAAATATGTATCCTACATGGAATTAAAACAGGAGTGACTCAATTATTTAACAAGTGGCATTTTGTTTTGTAAAAGAGGAGTATATGTAAAGTCACCTCCAAATGTTAAAGGAGCTGAGAAACCAAAGAAGGAGGCAGACAAATCCACTTTGTTGGTATAGGGTGATTTATTGGGGTATCTTATAGACAGAAGAATGGTCTTGGGGCAGTCATAAGACGGGAAGGTCTTAGTACTGCAACCTCCCAGACCCAGAGCTTATATCTTGAGGGAAAAGTACATGTGCTCTGGAAGGAATGTGTAAGTGGGTATAGCATCACAGCCTATGATTTTTTATAACAGTATCAAGGGTTGTTTTGAAGGAAACTTATTGTGAATACATGTTTTTATATAAAGAGTAATATATCATCTAGACATTTTGGAGGTATTCCCAGATTCAGGGTCAGCCAGAAGTTACATGGCAGATTAGCATTTAAAATAAAGACACTGTTTTTTTTTTTTTTTTTTAGGATGTCTACTTTATTCTAAAGTGACTATAGTCTGTAGTTGTAATTATGAAAATATATAGACCAACGTTTCCCAAAGTTTAGTGTGTATACACATCATCAGATGACTTTTTTTTCCCCTCAACTTTTAAGTTCAGGGGTAAATGTGCAGGATGTGCAGGTTTGTTACATAGTTAAATGTGTGCCGTAGTGATTAGCTGCACAGATCATCCCATCAACTAGATAGTAAGCCCAGCATCCATTTGCCATTCTTCCTGATGCTATCCCTCCTCCCATCCCCCACCCTCCATCAGGCTCCAGTGTGTCTTGTTCCTTGGCATGTGTCCATGTGTTCTCATCATTCAGCTTCCATTGACAAGTGAGAACATGCAGTATTTGATTTTCTGTTTCTGCGTTAGTTTGCTGAAGATAATGGCTTCTGGCTCCATCCATGTACCTGCAAAGGACATGATCTCGTTCCTTTTTATGGCTGCATAGTGTTCTATGACGTATACGTACTACATTTTCTATAAAATAAAGATACTTTTTTTTCCTTTTTTTTTTTTTTTTTTTTTTTTGAGACAAGTCTCACTCTGTCACCCAGGCTGGAGTGCAGTGCAACCTTTCCCTCCCAGGTTCAAGCGATTCTCCTGCCTCAGCCTCCTGAGTAGCTGGGACTACAGGTGTGCGTCACCATGCCGGCTAATTTTTTTGTATTTTAAATAGAGACAGGGTTTCGCCATGTTGGCCAGGCTGGTCTCGAACTCCTGACCTCAAGTGATCCGCCTGCCTCGGCCTCTCAAAGTTTTGGGATTATAGGCGTGAGCCACTGCACCTGGCCCAATGTCAAAATCCTAAAATTCACAGGAAACCATAAAAGGGGCCTGAATAGCCAAAGCAAACAGCACAAAGCATAAAGCTAGAGGCATCACGTTAACTGACTTGTACTGCTTTATAAGCTCATTTAGCAAAGTAGTGCACATAGTATTTTACCCTTCTCTACCCTGTTCCTTGTAATGCACAATGAGAAACAGAACAGAGTACACATTGTTCCAACCCAAGTGCTGGGATTACAAGCGTGAGGTACCGCGCCTGGCCAAGAGTGTCTTTATTTTAAATGCTAATCCACCATGTAACTTCTGACTAACCCTGAGTCTGGGAATGCCTCCAAAATGTCAATTTAGTGTATTACTCTTTCTTATTTTTAATTTTTTAAATTTCTTTTTTATAGAGGTGGGGTCCTTCTATATTTCCCAGGCTGGTCTCAAACTCCTGGACTCAAGTGATCCTTCTGCTTCGGTCTCCCAAAGTGCTGGGATTACATGCATGAACTACCGTGCCCAGCCTAATGTATTACTCTTTATATAGGAATACCTATTCACTGTAAGATTCCTTCAAAACAAACTTTGACGCCATAACAAAAATCATAGGCTGTGACTCCTGTAGCCACCCACACATTCCTTTCAGAACACGCATACTTTTTCCCCAAGATATAAGCCCTGCGTTTGGGGGTTTGCCATGCAGAGATCTGTTTTGCAGCCACCCAAGACCATGCTTGTGTCTGTAAGTTCCTCCTAATAAATCATCCTATACCAATAAACTGGATTTGCCTGCTTCCTTCTTTGATTTCTTGGCTCCTTCAGCATTTGGGGGTCGTGTTGCAAATACAGCCCTTTCAAGGAGCATATTCTAAGTGAGAATTGTTTGATCTTTAGTCTCAGAGGTCTGAAGTTGGTAGACTCGTGGGAAACATAAAAGGAAAAATAAATCTATGGTCTAAGTCACATGATTCTTTTGTACATTTTGGAGTTAAAATTTAATGTCAAGAAACACTCTAAATAATTAAAATCTTTGGACTAAATAAAGAATAAACTTTTTTTTTTTTTTTTTTTCTGGACTGATTCTTGCTCTGTTGCCCAGGCTGGACTGCAGTGGCATGATCTTGGCTCACTGCAACCTCCCACTCTTGGGTTTAAGCAATTCTTATGCCTCTAGCACCTGAGTAGCTGGGATTACAGGCACATGCCACTACACCCAGCAATTTTTGTATTTTTAGTAGACACGGGGTTTTGCCATGTTGGCCAGGCTGGTCTTGAACTCCTGGCCTCCAGTGATCTGCCCACGTCGGTCTCCCAAAGTGCTAGATTACAGGCATGAGCCACTGCATCCTGCCAAGAGTAAACATTTTGATTGTGAGAATGACTATAATCAAGCTACAATAGCATTGTTCTTAGTATTGTACTTTTTTCATGAGTACCTCAATTACCATCAACCAAGATTGCTTACCAACCAAATTGTATTATTATAACATTGTATATACTTCCAGTGAAATATTGAATAAAACTGTCTGTGATGTGTAGAAAGAAAATGTCTGTTAGGGATGAGCAATTCAGTATACAAAAAGCATTCAGTACTTACAGACTGTTGGTGGGAATGTAAATTAGTTCAACCCCTATGGAAAGCAGTATGGAGATTTCTCTCATTTTTAGAGTTCTGAAAATAGAATTACCATTCGACCCAGCAATACCCACTACTGGGTATTAACAATCCCACTACTATGTTCACCATTTGGGTGATGGGCTCAATGGAAGCCCAAACCCCAGTATTACACAATATGCCCGCATAACAAACCTGCACATAAACTCCCTGCCTCTAAAATAAAATGTAAAAAAAAAAACAAAAAGCATTCAGCATCCTAATTGAATTTTTATACACTTGGACATCTTATGACTATGTTGAGCATAATCATTTCTTTTCAAAAATATATTGAATGTAATAGTAATTTGCCAATTGGTTGGTTCCTTTTCTGTGACAACTGTACCATAGTAATATGTTAACAGTAGGAAAAATTGGCTAAAGGGTGTAATGAAACTCCATACCTTTTCTATAAGTCTAAAACTATCCTAAATCAAAGACGTATTTATTACAAGTGTATATAAATATAGGAATATATTAATAATTTTTAAATTCCCTAGTTTTAAAATGTTAGTGAAAATAATCTCATTCATGGACCATAGTAATTTTGAGTTAAAACATCATGATCACTTCAGGTTAAATCTCAAATACTATTTCTTTTCAAATAGTCTTATTTCCTCCATTAATTATCTATAGTCTAAAACAATCAACAAAATTTCTTGATTCTAAATTAATGAAATTGTTTGTACAGAATTGCTATAAAAATTTTCATGTTTTGTGATTGACATATATATAGTTGTATATATTAACTAATATATACAATTGTATATACTAACTAATATATACAATTGTATATACTAACTAATATATACAATTGTATATACTATATATAATTGTATTATATATAGTTTTATATATTATATTAATATATACAATTATATATAATATAATTAATACATATGTGTATATATGTATACCTCTTCTATGCTTTCCTAACCACAGGCCTTTATTGTACTATTCTTGGACTGGAGACAGTTGCATAGGAAGTCAGGCACTGGGGCGTCCAATCCGTATTTGGCTGTGCAGATACTTCTCATTGCTAGTTAGGGTGTGCACTAGGAAACTAGCTATAGCCCAGTAAGGACTGTGAGACAGTGTGGTTGTGTTGGCTATTCCTTTCCAGCCTGGTGGGTTGTTTATATAAATACAAGATAATTTCTCCTCAATGCCTGTTACACTATCAAAACAGTGGTTTTTAACTGGTAAATAGTGGTTTTTAACTGGTAAATACAGGATCATTTACCCAATGTTAGAATTAATACTCCGACGAGGAAATCTTGGTGGCTGTAGTAAAGATAGCCAAGATGGTGTTCAGAGATCCTTACTTCTCTCTGTTCTTTCCATGTAGATTTGTGACCTAATTGATACTCAGTGCAATCCTGACACTTGAGACCATTCTTTGTCAAATTTACTTTATAAATTTAGAAGAATAGATAGGAGAAGTGAATGGGCTGGTTATCTGTATGTGACTTATATATAGATAATAATGAATTTTCATGTAATTGCTTTTATAGATATTTCCAAACATTATAGTCAAAAAGCTGCAATAGAGCATGAACTTCCAACAGCAACACAGAAGCTGATAACAACTAATGACTGTATCCTGTCATCAGTAGTGGCATTAACAAATGGAGCAGGAAAGGTAATTCTCTTCTGGCGTATATTGATGTTAAAACTCTTAAATATGTGCTTTTTTTCTGAGGGACATAGGAAAATGGATCTGTAAAAGGATTTTGTAATATAAGGGTTTACTGTAAAATAAAGTTGTCTCTCTTTCCTCTGCTTCCTACCCAGTATGTACTCTGACTTATTATTTTAAGAGAGGGATCTCTCGCTATGTTGCCAGGCTTGACTCAAACTCCTGGACTCAGGGGAGTCTCCTGGGTGGCGGGGACTATGGGCACATGCACTGCATGCTGCTTTCCTACCTAATGTTTAAAGCAATGTGACAGTGACTGTTTAGCATTTGTCTTGGATGTGTAGATCACTCCCTGTTTATGTTTTAATGCAATATTGGATGATTAGAAGATTCTAGGTAGTCTCAATATAGATCGTTGTGTATATGAAGGGTCTGCCATATAGAACACTGGGAACATACAAAAAAAGAAAACAAACCCACCACAATATACGTTCCATTAATACTTTGGGTTTTTTCCTTCTAGTGTTTTTGTATGTTTCTTTTTTGGTAATACTTGTGATAATACTACCTCTGTGGTTTTGTATCTAAACAAGTACTTTGAAGTGACTTCAACATGTGTCTTTTCGTTGAACCTTTAATAGTAGGTCATGATCGTCTGGATCATTAAATACTTAATTTTCACTATAAACTAACTAAAGTGCAGTTTCTTTAAGAATCCTTTGATAAGCCAGGTGCTGTGGCTCACACCTGTAATCCCAGCACTTCGAGAGGCTGAGGCGAGAGTATTGCTTGAGCCCAGGAGTTCAAGACCAGCCTCAGCAACATGTCAAGACCTCATCCCTACAAAATTAAAAAATTAGCCAGGCATGGTGATGTGCGTCTGTGGTCCCAGCTACTTGGGTGGCTGAGGTAGGAGGATTGCTTGAGCCCAGGAGGTTGAGGCTGCAGTGAGCCGTGTGTGAGCCACTGCACCCTATCCTGGGTGACAGAGCAAGACCCTATCTCAAAAAAAAAAAAAAAAAAGAATGTTTTGATCATGGATATTCCTGTTTCAGCAGAAGTTATATTCTCAGAGTGTGCGTTCATGTGGCTGTCATCAACAACTTTAATGATTAAGATTTTTCTGAGAACATCCTACATGTATAAAACCAAAAGGACTGTATTCAGAACTATCTTAGCCCATTTATTGCAGCAGACTCAGCATGACTTCCAAAGGAAATGCTTATCTCTGTGTCTGTCTTTATATACTATTCTGCTTCTGACAGGTTAACCATAATAGGAACAAATATTCTTCAAGTGATTTGCAGTAGTCAGAAATGATCATAGATCATGTTAGACATTTCAGTGTCATATTTCCAAAGTTGGACTGGCTTTGTGACCACTTGCTATAGCTTGGGGTCATGATTAAAACGTGTTATCTTTAGGTTCTGTCAGCTTACAGATCTATGTGCAAAGGATTCCTGAGCCAGAGGACCATCCCCACTGCCTCCCCTTTCACCTCCTTCATCCACGGCATGCCAGATGCTTTTGGAGGATAATCCTAACTGATTCAGTTAAGAAAAATTCTGAAAAGAGAGAATGTTGGTATTTTATGAGTCTCTGTATTTGCCAACTTTTTTTTTTTTTTTTGAGACGGAGTCTTGCTCTGTTGCCCAGGTTGGAGTGTAGTGGCATGATCTCAGCTCACTGCAAGCTCCACCTCCCAGGTTCACACCATTCTGCCGCCTCAGCCTCCCGAGTAGCTGGGACTAAAGGTGCCTGCCACCATGCCTGGCTAATTTTGTTTTTGTATTTTTAGTAGAGACGGGATTTCACCATGTTAGTCAGGATGGTCTCAATCTCCTGAGAACTCTGAAATAATTAAATACTTGCATACGTCATAGTTTATTTTAGCTTTACTTTGCCTGAAACCGTAAAATGTCATCTCAAGGAAAGATATCTGATCTTCACTCTGGAATTTTAATAAATGGTTTTCAACCAAAATATTTGAACTAATGTTAGTTGGTATCAGCTTAATATTAAATACTTAGCTGATATGATTTGATTAACCTAATTTTACAGTTTGTAATTTCCATTAAGAACCCAGTAGGAAAGTGTAGTATATTCATATTAAAGAAAGTTTGGAAAATGTAGAAATATTAGAAAAAAGAAAAGAAACCTCACAATGTACTACCATGATCCAAATGCAAACACTGTGTGAATCCATGTCATTCACAAGGACTATATATAGCTCAAGATTTTTGGTATCCTTACTTTACTGAATACTACCTAACGTAGAATTTCATTTGATATAGTAAAATATCAGTGAAAAATATAACCTTTCAGACCATTAGTGATTAACTTTTGACCAATTTTTGCCAAAGTAGAATACTCTGTTTTACAGATTACTTTTTAAAATTTATCAAAATACAATATTCTTTAATGTATACAAGACTGTAACTTTTCTGGCTAAAGCATTTAGCCAGACATTTTTATTTATATCAGCATTTCATATAGCACTGAAGAGGCTGAGGTGGGAGTATTTATTGCTTGAGCCCAGGAGTTCAAGACCAGCCTGGGCAACATGGCAAGACCTCATCTCTACAAAATTAAAAAATCAGCCACACATGATGGTGTGCGTCTGTGGTCTCAACTACTTGGGAGGCTCAGGTAAGAGGATTACTTGAGCCCAGGAGGTTGAGGCTGCAGTGAGTCCTCCTACCTCGGTCTCCCAAGTAGCTGGGAACACAGACGCACACCACCATGCCTGGCTAATTTTTCAATTTTGAAAAGATGAGGTCTTGCCATATCGCCCAGGCTGGTCTTGAACTCTGGGCTCAAGCAGTACCCCTGCCTCAGCCTCTCAAAGTGTTGGGATTACAGGCGTGAGCCACTGCACCTGGCTTATCAAAGGATTCTTAAAGAAACTGCACTTTGGGCTGGGCACGGTAGCTCACCTGAGGTCACGAGTTTGAGACCAGCCTGGCCAACATGTTGAAACCCTGTCTCTACTAAACATACAAAAATTAGGCTGGGTGTGGTGGCTCACGCCTGTAATTCCAGCACTTTGGGAGGCTGAGGCGGGAGGATCACGAGGTCAGGAGTTTGAGACCAGCCTGGCCAACATGGTGAAACCCCGTCTCTACTAAAAGTACAAAAATTAGCTGGGACGTGGTGGTGCACAACTGTAATCCCAGCTACTGGGACAGCTGAGCCAGGAGAATGGCTTGAACCCAGGAGGTGGAGGTTGCAGTGAGCCGAGATCGTGCCACCGCCCTCCAGCCTGGGTGACAGAGCAAGACTCTGTTTCAAACAAACGAACAAAAATACAAAAATTACCCGGATGTGGTGACGGGCACCTGTAATCCCAGCTACTCAGGCGGCTGAGGCAGGAGAATTGGTTAAACCCAGGAGGCAGAGGTGGCAGTGAGCTGAGATTGTGCCACTCCACTCCAGCCTGGGCAACAGAGTGAGACGCCGACTCAAAAAAAAAAAAAAAAAAAAAGAAAGAAAAGAAAAAAAGAAACTGCACTTTGGTCAGTTTGCAGTGAAATTAAGTATTTAATGATCCAGATGATCATGACCTACTATTACAGGTTCAATGAAAAGACACATGTTGAAGTCACTTTAAAGTACTTGTTGAGATACAAAACCACAGAGGTAGCATTATCACAAATATTACCAAATGCCACAGATTCAAAATCATGGCTTTGAAAGTGATAGATCTTTGTGGCTGCTTACATAGAGTTAACAAATGTTAAATCTGTAAATAACAGTCCACTGAATTTTCAGTCTTTTTTTTCTATATTTGTAATTTTTAAATTGAGATTTATAGAATTAAATTTAAATGGAAGTTACATATTCAAGATACTATGTTATATCTTCTGTTAGAATATGAAATATTCAAAGTTAAAATATGGAATCTAGAAATCCGAACATGGATATTTTGAGAACAGTGGCAGAAATCAATGAGGTAAAGAGCTCATGAAAGTCACCTACAGAATAAATGAGTATCAGTCTTGGTTTTCAGGAAGAATAGAAATTGTCTAGAAAAGGACATGTCAGAAATTTGTTCTGACTATTTATACTGGTGTCCTCTTTTTATTATAAACCATTGCCTAGGTATTCTCAAATAAATAAATGTGGACTTTGGGGCAGGTGTTGAAATTTCATTTCCATTTCCATTCTCAACATCTTTAAACTTTGCTGCAAAAACTATTAGATATATATTTTAGATATATTGTTGGAAAACAAAATCTATTTCCTTGTCATACTTTGTTTAGATTGCATCCTTCTTCAGCAACAATTTGGACTACTTCATTGCTTCACTGAGCTATGGACCTAAGGCAGCGAGTGGATTCATTAGTCCTCTTTCAGCTGAATGCATGCTACAGTATAAGAAAAAAGCTGCTGCCTATATGAAGTCTTTGAGAAAGGTTTGTTAGCTGCTGTTAATATTTAAATCAGAGGAAACATCAGGAGTCATTCTAGAGAATGGCAAGAGTTTTTCTGCAGTTTATATTGTTGACTTTTTATACGATATTGGGGTACAGGTTGTTGGTGGGTGTTGGGGGAGGGCTGTGGGGAAGAGGAGGTGACAGGACCCAGACTTTACCTGAGAAGCAGCGTTGCCTATATTCGTAGGCCATGTTGGACTCATGTCCCAAGTGCCTGATAGAGCGCCTGGGGTGAGGTAGCCAGCCAAACAGTAAATATTGAACTTCAGAGACTCTTAAACTTGTAGAAACAGAAAAAAAAGAAATATGTGTATGACTTTTTTCTGAATAAGAATATGCAGTTGTTGCAAAAAAAAAGAAAAAAAAAAGAGAGAAGATACTGCAGTATATTAAGAAGAAAATTGTGGTCACCTGTAATCCTACCACCCAAATGTAGCTATAATTGACTTTTTTAGAAAACAATATATTTATATCCAAAAAATGTTATTATATGTTTGAGTGCACATGCACACACATACTATAAAAAGCAGAATGTATTTAGGTGCATGTACTGTTTTAGAATATTTTTTTCTCTTAATGCATTGAGGATATATTTATATATATCTCAAAAATTGTATCTATAAAATACATGACTCAAGGGACATCATTAAAAAAGAATGAAAGAAATAGGAATAATAAAATATAAAATATAAATTACTATGTTTTTATTTTTTAGCTGCTCCTTGGGGAGCAGGACTACTTATAGACAGTGCACCCAGAGCTGCCAGCTGTCATCATTTATTTATGGTGTTTCCTTCTGTAAATTTATAATTTAATTCATTGCTGGTAGATATTTAAGTTGTTGCCTGTTTTTCACTGTTACAGTGGAGTGCTACAGTGGATATTCTTGCACCTGCAATTTGTGCATTTTACTTTTTTCTCATCTTTAAACGTTTTAACTATGCAGTGCATAAACACATTCTTATATTAAATTAGATCATTACAGGTAAATTATAATCCCTAATTCCAGTTCCTCTCTAGAGGTAACCATAATTATCAGTTTGATGTGTAACCTTTCAGGCTCTTTGAGCATTTATAAGCATGCAATCTATAAACAAAGAATTTTTCTTCCTTCCTTCCTTCACTTTTCTTTTGTTCTTTTCTCCTTTTCTCTTTTCTTGTCCTTTTTTCTTCCCAAATGCATGTTTCATTTTGCAATTTGCTTTTTTTTGTTTAAAATAATGACTTAGAGACTGTCTATGTCATTTCACGTGGAACTCACTAGGTTCCTTTTAGATACGGCATAGAATTCTATAATATGGATGTTCCATAGTTTGTTTAGGTTTCCCTTAATTGGTAGGCATTTAGGTTAATTCTACTTTTTTACTGTTACAATAATACTGCAATGGATAGCCTTGTAAATGTTTCCTTAGGCACATGGGTGGAATATGAGAAGTAGAATGTTGTAGGCCATGTGGCTTGTGCATTTTAAGTTTTAATAGTAGTTGCTAGTTGTCCTTCAAAATGGGCACTCTGAAGGATACTTCCCACGGTATAAAAGCTACCTATCTCCCTATGTGAATTGCTGGTTCAAAGTCTGTGAGTGTTTCAAATTTTGGCATGTTTTTCCAGACTATACTTCAGGAAGGTTACCTATTTATAGTTTGCCTGTAGTAGAAATATGAATTTAACCCATGCATTTAATATTTATCAATCTCAGGAGAGGTTTCTTGCTGTTGTTTTGGTTCATATGTATATATTTGCTTGTTAATGAGGTGGAACATCCTTTCATAGTTATCACTTGTGTTTATTGTATAAATTCTCTCTTTAGGTCATTTACCTTTTTTTTTTTTTTTTTTTTTTTGAGACGGAGTCTTGCACTATCGCCCAGGCTGGAGTGCAGTGGCATGATCTCGGCTCCGCCTCCCGGGTTCACACCATTCTCCTGCCTCAGCTTCCCAAGTAGCTGGGACTACAGGTGCCCGCCACCACACCCAGCTAATTTTTTGTACTTTTAGTAGAGACGGGGTTTCACCATGTTAGCCAGGATGGTCTTGATCTCCTGACCTCCTGATCCACCTGCCTCGGCCTACCAAAGTGCTGGGATTACAGGCGTGAGCCACTGCGCCCGGCCTTACCTATTTTTAAATAAATGTTTCTAATTAGGGTTGAAAGAGCTGTCTCTGTATTAAGAATGTTAATTTTGTGTTTATGTGGGAAATATTTTTCCCTAGTTTGCTGTAATAGTTTTTCAAAATAGAAGTTTTTATTTTTGTATCATCAAATAGGTCTTTTTCTTCATGGTGATCATTCTTAGCCAGGGTTGATTTCCAAGGTAGAAACATTCACGTGTATTTTCTTCCAGCATTTTTACAGTCTCAATTTTTACATTTGGACAGGCAGCCTGTAGTAGCTGGAAAAAAATACATAAATAAATAAATTTTTAGATTTGGATCTTTAATTCATCCAGAATTTATTCTGATATAAGATGTCAAAGAAGGATCTAAATAATTATTTTTTTTCAATAATTAGCTGGTTGTCCTTGTACCGTTTATTTAGTCCATCTTTTCTCCATTCAGTTAGAAATGCAATATTTGCCACATAATAAATTTTTATGTATGCTTTTGTTCGTTTCTGGATATTTTATTCTGTTCTTCATCTATTTTGGTGCAAGTCCTTATGGTTTTAGTTAGTGTAGCTTATACTGATGCTCCTTGACTTATGATGGGATTACGTCCTGATAAGCCCATTGTATGTTGAAAATGTTGCAGCCGGGTGCAGTGGCTCATGCCTGTAATCCCGACACTTTGGGATGCCAGGGTGGGAGGATCACTTGAGTCCAGGAGTTCGAGATCAGCCTGGGCAACATAGGGAGACCTCGTCTCTCCAAAAAAAAAAAAAAAAAAAAAAATAGCCTGGCATGGTGGTGCATGCCTGTAGTCCCAGGTGCATGCTTGGGAGGCTGGGCTGAGGCAGGAGGAGCCCTGGAGTCTGGGAGGTCAAGGCTGCAGTGAGTCGTGATCACGCTACTGCACTCCAGCCCAGGGCGACAAAGTGAGACCTTGTCTCAAAAAAAAAAAAAAAAAAAAAAAAAAAAAAAAAAAAAAAGTCATGTCAAAAATGCATTTAATGTGCCTAACCTACCAACCATCATAGCTTAGCCTAGCCTGCCTTAAATGTGCTCAAAACACTTACATTAGCCTACACTTGGGCAAGTCATCTAACATAAAGCCTATTTTATTTTATTTATTTATTTATTTATTTATTTATTTTTGAATCAGAGTCTTGCTCTGTCGCCCAGGCTGGAGTGCAATGGCGCGATCTCGGCTCACCACAACCTCCGCCTCCTGGGTTCAAGCGATTCTCCTGCCTCAGCCTCCCACAGGATCCTGCCACCTCCCCCGGCTAATTGTTTTTGTATTTTTAGTAGAAACGGGGTTTCACCATGTTGGTCAGGCTGGTCTCGAACTCCTGACCTTAGGAAGTCCACCCGCCTCGGCCTTCCAAAGTGCTGGGATTACTGGCATGAGCCACCGTGCCTGGCCTTATTTATTTATTTTTGAGATGGAGTCTTACTCACTCTGTCGCCCAGGCTGGAGTGCAGTGATGCAATCTCTGCTCACTGCAACCTCTGCCTTCGGGGTTCAAAGGAGCCTCCTGCCTCAGCCTCCTGAGTAGCTTGGATTACAGGTGTGTGCCACCACGCCTGGCTAATTTTTGTATTTTTAGTAGCACCATTTTGGCCCGGCTGGTCTCGAACTCCTGACCTCAAGCAATCCATCACCTCGGTGTCCCAAAGTGCTAAGATTACAGGGGTGAGCCACCACTCCCGGCCAATTTTATAATAGTGTTGAATATCTCATGTAACTTACTGAATACTGTACTGAAAGTGAAAAACAGAATGGTTGTATGTATAAGTACTCAAAAATATGATTTCTACTGAATGCATTGCTTTTGCACCATCGTAAAGTCATCAGTCGAACCAAGGTAAGTCAGTGACCATTTATAATTGCTTTAAGTTCTTTATTGTTTTTCTTTTTTTTTTCTTTTTGAGACGGAGTCTCGCTCTGTTGTCCAGGCTAGAGTGCAATGGCACAATCTCTGCTCACTGCAACCTCCGCCTCCCAGGTTCAAGTGATTCTCGTGCCTCAGCTTCCCTAGTAGCTGGGACTACAGGCGCGTGCCACCATACCCGGCTAATTTTTGTATTTTTAGTAGAGATGGGGTTTCACCATATTGGCCAGGCTGGTCTTGAATTCCTGACCTTGTGATCCGCTCGCCTCGACCTCCCAAAGTGCTGGGATTATAGGTGTGAGCCACCGCGCCCAGGCTATTATTTTTCTTTTAAAAAATTATCTTCGTTTTCACGTGTATTAAAGAAAATAGTCTGCTTTGACATACATCTGAATTTATTGTCACACCTCGTTTAGCATTCTTTGTGTATGTTGGATGCAGGGGAGGGGTGATACAATATTTTTTCTTTAATTCTTATGATGCTTTTATCATAGCCCCTCTTGGAGTCTGTGCCTTATGAAGAAGCACTGGCAAACCGCCGCATCCTTCTCAGCTCTACTGAAAGTCGAGAAGGCCTTGCACAGCAAGTATGGCACTGGGAAAATTATGGAAATTGTTAAAGAACAGAAATGTTAAATCCCCCATAGAAAGTTTTTAAGATACGTAGAATGATTCAAAAGTCTGCATAAATAAACATGTGAAATGAATTGTTTAATACATACTAAAAAGCAAATAGACATAATTTGTTGAAAAACATGTGTTGACACTCTAAGTCATCTTGATTCAGTTGGTGGTATAATTGGAACTAAAGTAATATCAACACACTTTGGCCATGATGATTAATTCTTTCTTTTTAGGTGCTAGATTTAAATGTCTGAAATACCAAAGTATAAGAGGGGGCAAGAGCTAGTGACTCTGAGTTATTTTTATTTCTTAAAGGAGCAAGAATGAAAAATGTGCAATATTTAGTGGTCAGTTGAGTTTAGGGAGTGGGTGGGAGTGGGAGGCACTGTCTTTTTCAGAAAAAAAGGAAAAAAAAAATATGTATATATTTGTCCACAGTTGGTGGCTGGTAACTCCCATAGTCCTTGTTACAGTAAATGGAATCTCTCTCTCTGATCTTCTCTTGCCCTCTTTTAACTTGCCTAGGGCAGGACTCTAATCTGACTTTACAGCATTATAGGGCATAAGACCCTCATTCTAGAGGTGTTGCCCCATACCCTAGAGGGAGAAATGCTGCTGTACAGAGAAGAATCTAAACAAGACAGGGCTTATTGGGTTTTGGGTTTTTTTTTTTTTTTGAGATGGAGTCTCACTGTGTCACCTAGGCTGGAGTGCAGTGTTGTGATCTCAGCTTGCTGCAACCTCTGCCTCCTGGGTTCAAGCGATTGTCCTGCCTCAGCCTCCAGAGTCGCTGGGATTACAGGTGCATACCACCATGCCCGGCTAGTTTTTGTATTTTTAGTATAGACAGGGTTTCGCCACATTGGCCAGGCTGGTCTTGAACTCCTGACCTCAAGTGATCCCCTGCCTTGGCCTCCCAAAGTGCTGGGATTACAGTCGTGAGCCATTGCGCCCAGTGGAGCTTGTTGGATTTAGGTCCAGTCACATTTCTTCATGGTTGTCAATCATGCCTATCCAGTGCAGTCTCCATGAAAAGCCCAAGAGGGCAGGGTTTGGGAGCTTCTGAATAGCTGAACACATAGAGGCTCTTGGAGGGTGGCATGCCCAGGGAGGACATGGAAAGTCTGCACCCCTTCCTCTGCTTCACTCTAAATCTCTTCATCTGTATCCTTGGTAATAAACCAGTAAACATGTTTCCCTGACTTCTGTGAGGCACTCCAACAAATTAATCAAACTCAAAAAGGGAGTCATGGGAACCTCAATTTAAAGCCGGTTAGTCACAAGTTCTCAAGGTCCAGACTTGTGACTGCCGTCTGCAGGGGAGGCATTTTTGGGAACTGAGCTCACAATCTGTGGGATCTCACACTATCTCCATGTAGATAGTGGTGGAATTAAATGGGAGGACACCCAGCTGATGTCCACAACAAAACTGACTACTTGTTTGTTGATGGGGAAATACCCCACATATTTTGGGGTCACAGAAGTCTTCTGTATTGATTGTTAAAGTGTGAGAACAGAGGAAAAACGATTTGAGAGTTTTTCATAGCAAAGGTTTACCTTAAAAATTATTAGGACCTTAGAAGCCTTCCTCATGCCCATTTCCAGTTACTGCTCTCCTCTCCCCCAAAGGTAACCATTCTCCTGCCTTCTAGCACTATAGATTAGTTTTTTTCCCTGATACTGAACTTTTTATTAAATGCAATTATGCTTTTTCAGGTCTGGCTTTTTGTGTTCAGCACAGTATATGGTATTAGGTTGGTGCAAAAGTAATTGTGGTTGTTGATATTAGTTTTAAATAAATGGCAAAACTACAAAATTACTTTTGCACCAACCTATAGTTCTATTTTTTTTTTTTTTTTTGGAGACGGAGTCTTACTCTGTCGCCCAGGCTGGAGTGCAGTGGCGCTATCTCGGCTCACTGCAAACTCCGCCTCCTGGGTTCACGCCATTCTCCTGCCTCAGCCTCCCGAGTAGCTGGGACTACAGGCGCCCGCCGCCACACCTGGCTAATTTTTTGTATTTTTAATAGAGATGGGGTTTCACTGTGTTAGCCAGGATGGTCTCGATCTCCTGACCTCGTGATCAGCCCGCCTCGGCCTCCTAAAGTGCTGGGATTACAGTCATGAGCCACCGTGCCTGGCCTGCACCAACCTATAGTTCTAATTGTTTACAAACATGTCCATTTTTGTATTCTCTGCTTTTTATATTTTAATTAAGTGGATGGTTTAAGTTGCTGTGCTTTGATAATTAGTGGCATTGCATACCTTTTAATTTGTTTATAGTCTTGTTCAAGTTTTTTGTTGGGTTTTTTTTTCTTTGCCTTCTTCTCTGTTGAGTTGTCTATCTTATTGGTTTGCAAAAATTCCTTGTATGTTCTAGTTATTGGGTCTCTGTTGGATAAATGCTTTACAGATTCTAATTCAATTCTGAGTTTTCTTTTCACTCTTGATGTTTTTCAATGAGTAGAGTTTTTTTTTTTATCTCACTATAGTTTAATTTCTCGATTTATGGTTGTGCTTTTTGTATCATGTCTAATAAATCTCTTCCTATTCGAGGGTCAAACTTTATTATTATATTTTTACCTCTGTGGGGTAGTTTTGGTTTACATTCTGTAAGATAGTTTTTGGGCCACTAAGGTTTATCTGTATTAGTCTCTAAGATACAACACTCTGTTACTTTTCAAGGTTCAACAGAGTTTGGAAAAGATTTCTAAACTGGAGCAGGAAAAAGAACATTGGATGTTGGAAGCACAATTAGCCAAAATCAAGCTAGAGAAAGAAAACCAGCGAATTGCAGATAAGCTGAAGAATACAGGTAGTGCCCAGCTGGTTGGGCTGGCCCAGGAAAATGCTGCTGTGTCAAATACTGCTGGCCAGGATGAAGCCACAGCTAAGGCTGTGTTGGAGCCCATTCAGAGCACCAGTCTAGTAAGTGTCTTCTTGGTTGTCCTCAGTTTTCTTTTTTAAATGCTAATTGGTAAGTATCTAATGTTCAACATTAACCATTGTCTTAGTTCATTCAGGCTGCTATATCAAAATACCATAAGCTGAGCATCTTGTAAATCACAGAAATTTATTTCTCCCAGTTCTTGAGGCTGGGACGTTCAGGATTAAGGTGCTGGGAGATTCACTGTCTGGTTAGGGTCTGTTTCCTGGTTCATAGACAGCAGCATTTTCATGGTGTTCTCACATGGCAGAAGGGTCAGGTGAGCTCTCTGGGGTCTCTTTTGTAAGGGTATTAATCCTATTAGGTTATTTCCCAAAAGCCCTACCTCCTAATACCATCACCTTGGGGGTTAGAGTTTCAACGTAGGATATTGGGGGTGGGGGGGGACACAAACACGCAGGCCACAGTAACCATCTTAATTATACATCAGTTCATAACAGGAGTGATCCGTGTACTCTAGAAGAATGCTGGTTAGTAAGCAGGATATCTCCTTCAAAAAGTAACCATTAAATTCCCTGTGATTTTACATGAGACTTCCTCATGGTGAGGACTATGTTCCTGGAAAAGATATAGTAAGTTAAATTTAAGATGATTCTGTTTTTCCATAAAAACATTTGTAATATGGGGTTATTATGTTTCTAACAAAGGACCAAATGCCTAATTCTTTAATAGAAATAACCACAGGAAGCCGAGAGTGATGGCTTATGCCTGTAACTCCAACACTTTGGGAAGCTGAGGTGGGTGAATCACTTGAACCCAGGACTTTGAGACCAGCTGGGCAGCATAGTGAGACCCTGTGTCTACCAAAAGTAAAATAAAACAAAAACAAGTAATAATAAAAAAGAAATAACCACAAATACAATTTTAACCCAATTTTCTATGATCTATTCCTAGAGAGTGTAAAGCTTTATAATATACACATACTGTAGAAACCCATCAGGTTCTTTTTCATGAGGCAGATTGTTGGCACATTATCTTGCAACTTTGTATTTCTTGCCTTATTGATAATTACAGTGATTTAGAAAGTGAAAAACATTTATATTGCTGTTATAGAATTTAAAGTTACTTTAAAAAATGTTTTCTAATTACACTATTCTGTTCACTGTAAAAAATTAGGAAAATCTAGAAAAAGAAATCAGGAAGGAAAAACCCTAATAATCAAAGGAGTCTTTTAGGTGTATTTTTTTTAACAAACATTTTTTTTACAAGCTTGAGGAGCTTGAAAGCCATGGTGCTTCTTGAAGACCCTGTCCTAAGGTGTGTGCTTTTCTGCTGACTTTACTCCTGAAGCTCACTGATGCTATTGAAGAGCAAGTCATGGTTCTTCCACCTCATTCAGAGCATACCTGCTAGTTAAATATACAAACCAGATTTTATCTTTAGGCCCTATTGCATCTAAACAGTGTCAGAACCTCAGATGATTGTGAATTTTCCTAGGTATGGTAATGATATTATTATTTAGGAGAATATCTTTACTTTTTAGAGATGGATTTCAGTGTACTTAGAGTAAGGTATCAAAATGTCTGCAACTTACGCTCACATGTTTACAAAAAAATATATCTGCACAGATCAATAAAGCAAAACAGGCATGCTAGCAATTATTGAATCTAGATACTAGATATACAGATGTTTACTATACTTTTTACCGCTAACCTTTCTGCATGTTTGACATTTTTCATAATAAAATATAGAAGAGAAAAAAGAATCATTGTTTGTTCTGGGAGGTATGGGGGGAAAAAACCCAAGAATTAAAATTTTTAGAAAAGCAACAAATAGAAAATAATAACAATTTAAAAATAAAAATAAAACCTAAAAACAACAACAACAATTAAAATTTTTAGAAATGCAATAAATAAATAAAAACTTCCTAGTTTGGGCTGGGTGCGTGGCTTATGCCTGTAATCCTAGCACTTTGGAAGGCCGAGGCGGGTGGATTGCCTGAGCTCAGGAGTTCGAGACCTGGGCAACAAGGTGAAACCCCATCTCTACTAAAATACAGAAGAAATTAGCCAGGCGTGGCGGCCTGCGCCTGTAGTCTCAGCTACTCGGGAGGCTGAGACAGGAGAATTGCTTGAACCTGGGAGGCGGAGGTCGCAGTGAGCTGAGATCATGCCACTGCACTCCAGCCTGGGCAACAGAGCCAGACTCTGTCTCTACAAAAAAAAACCCCAAAGAAACAAAAAGAATACCTTCCTAGTTTGTTGACCATGAATGTTCATGACCAATGGTCATGGTGACCTTGAATGGTCGCCACACTCACAGGACAATCCTGTAGTGTTCACCAAAGGCAAGTCTTTGTTCCAGTCACAAGTCCTGCATGTTGCCTCTGATGGGACAAGATGACTGTTTTTACCTCCATATCAGTGGTTTAGCATTTAGCTACGGTGTATAAATGAGGTAATGAGAGGGACATTCAACAAACAAAAGAATTCCAACATCCATCCAAATAGCATTTAAGAACTGCCCCCACTCCCTTGCCTTTAGATTTTTCCTTCAGTGTCTGTCTCAAATGATGGGGTCAGACTGTTCATTATGTCTGATTTCTTCTCCCCAGCTCCATTGCCTGTATCCATTCCTTCCTTCTTCTTAGAGTTGGTGGTGGCCAGACTAGACCAGGGAGGGTGCTGCTGACAATGACATTGTAATTGTAGAAATCGTGTGCCTGACACAGGTCTAAGGACTTTCCAAAGTATTAGTCAGTCAGTCAGTCCTCACACAGGATTGTAGGTACTGTCATAACTCCATTTCATAGTTGAGGAAACCAAGGACCAAAGAGAAATAACTCACATGAAGTCACACACTTGATAAGTGATGGGATGTCTCATCCCAAGCCCTGCCCTCTTAACCAAGATGGCCTTGTGTCTGATCCATGTCAGAAAACAGAATAGCCGACATAAACTCATTTGTTAGCCAGGTGTGGTAGCCCACGCCTGTTGTCCCAGCTACTCCAGAGGCTGAAGCAGGAGGATTTTTGAGCCCAGGAGTCTGAGGCTGCAGTGAGCTATCATTGTGCCACTGTACTCCAGCCTGGACAACAGATTGAGGCCTTGACTCTAAAAAAAAAAAACAAATAAACATCAGATAAACTCATTTGCTTACTGCTTGCCTTACTGAGGTGCTGGAATTGGTAACACTGGCATATATATTTCTTTATAAATTAATAATTTTAAAACGTGGAATGCTTCATGAATTTTCAGGTCATTTTTGAGCAGGGACCATGCTAATTTCTGTATCGTTCCAATTTTAGTACATGTGCTGCTGAAGAAGCACAATGCTGGTATATTTGAGTTGTTAATGTCAGTTGCTGAAAGTTTTGGATTATCTTTTTATTTGAACATTTTCAATGGAAAACGCTATTCTTACATATGTAAGTGAAAAAAATTTCTAGGGAGGGACACGAAAAATCTTTAGTACTGAACACTATTGGGCCATGAGTGATAATGACCTTAGTTGGGTTTGGTGACTTTAGAAGTTGCTATTTAAATCAACTAGTTAGTGTAGGGGTGGAAAGGACCTGATACCTTTTCTCTCCATCATGAGGGTCACAGCCAGCACTCCTATAACAAAAGACAGGTTAACTGCTAACAGCAGATTTCTGCCGAAAATAACCTGGAGTCTTGCCTTGCACACAGTGCACAATAGAAATAAAAAGAGATGGAGTTTTCTGCTTTCCTTGATGTTTCTACTTTCAGCCTTTCTTTTTACCCCCATGCCCTTTAAGTGACCTTAAGGGAACTAATTGTGTGGCTGTGTATGTGTGTGTGTCTTTGTGTCTTTTCTGTCTTCTTCCTCTTGGGTGTTGGGAGCAAGTATGTGCCCATTTCAGTGTTAATTGATTAACAAAGGAAGCTCATCCTACAGGGAGATTACTTTGGTTCAGTCACTTTGAGGCAGAAAAAGTAACCTCAGATAGAAACTTTTCTTTTTTTTTTTTTTTTTTTTTTGAGACGGAGTCTCGCTCTGTGGCCCAGGCTGGAGTGCAGTGGTGCGATCTCCACTCACTGCAAGCTCCGCTTCCCGGGTTCACGCCATTCTCCTGCCTCAGGCTTCCAAGTAGCTGGGACTACAGGCGCCTGCCACCATGCCCGGCTAATTTTTTGTATTTTTAGTAGAGACGGGGTTTCACTTTGTTAGCCAGGATGGCCTCAATCTCCTGACCTTGTGATCCGCCCACCTCGGCCTCCCAAAGTGCTGGGATTACAGGTGTGAGCTGCCGCGCCCAGCCTAGAAACTTATTTCTAACTCTGTAACATTTCAAGAGTTAAATGCTTGTTATTTTTAGCAAGATACCTAGTATTATAATTTGAATATTCAGCCACCTATTATATATTATAAAAAAAGATAGCAATAGCCTTAAAGTAAAAGCACAGAACAATATACATTTCTGTTTTTTGCCGGAATGGAAAAGCATTGCTTAAATTAATAGAATTTTTAAACATATATTTTAAGTATAAAAATGACATTATCCTGAATAATCAAGCCACCAATGTTATCGTTTTTTTCTACTAAATTTCATATATAGTTGACACTGTACTACATAAAATTTCAAATCTTTTAGCATAATGTTAAAACATAAACATCCTGTTATAAGAAACTCAGTAGAAACTTACTGATTTCATAGTATTCCATATCTATTATACCTTAGTTTACCTATGATTAGATATTGGTTATAACTTATGCTATTTTAAATAATGTCTCATTTTTATGTATAAGGTTATTTCTGCATGTTAAATGATTACCTCAGGATGTATTCTCAGAGTTGGAATTACTACTTCAGAAGGCATGAATATTTTCAAATTCCTTGATCTTTATTACCAAATTATTTTTTAAAAGGACTGTATCAGTTTATACTATTGTTAGTATCATATGAGAAAATGTTAAAGTAATCTGTGTTAAAGGCTTTCCTTGCATTGTCGGGCGCGGTGGCTCACGCCTGTAATCCCAGCACTTTGGGAGGCCGAGGCGGGTGGATCATGAGGTCAAGAGTTCGAAACCAGCCTGGCCAACATGGTGAAACCCCATCTCTACTAAAGATTAAAAAAAAAAAAATTAGCTGGGCGTGGTGGTGGGCACCTGTAATCCCATCTACTCGGGAGGCTGAGGCAAGAGAATTGCTTGAACCCAGGAGGCGGAGGTTGCAGTGAGTCAGGATCGCACCATTGCACTCCAGCCTGGGCAAAAGGGCGAGACTATGTCTCAAAAAAAAAAAAAAAAGTTTTCCTTGCATTTATACAGTACCATTCCTTTGAAGGACTTGGTGCTGTACCCATTTTCAAATCATAACCCGGGAGTAAGGGGGTGAGGATGAGCAGGTGGAATAGATGTTTCCTCGCAGTTTATTTTATAAACTGCAGTCATATTTGAATATGTAAAATTAAATGATTGGAGTATTATTCCAAGCAATTTTTCACTAAAAGAGAGTAATTGCTACTTCTACTTCATAAAGTAGAAAAATTATGGCTCTTCTATTTTAAAAGTTCTTATCAAAGACTCTTTTACAGCCAGGTGGGCATAACATTCATTAGTACACATTCAGTTGATATACTCTCAGTGTTCAGAACAATACTCCAGAGGAAATTATTTAGAATACATTAAAACTGTCTATTGACTGGGTGCGGTGGCTCTTGCCTGTAATCCCAGCACTTTGGGAGGGTGAGGCAGGCAGATCACGAGGTCAGGAGTTCAAGACCAGCCTGGCCAACATGGTGAAACCTGCCTCTACTAAAGATACAAAAAATTAGCTGGGCGTGGTGGCGTGCACCTGTAATCCCCACTACTCGGGAGGCTGAGGCGGGAGAATTGCTTGAACCCGGGAGGTGGAGGTTGCAGTGAGCCTCGGTCGCACCATTGCACTCCAGCCTGGGCAACAGGGTGAGACTCTGTCTCAGAAACAAACAAACAAAAAAAAACTGTTCATTGAGTGTAATATCTTATTGACAGAATCCATTGACACTGAGTTTCCAGTAGTTTCCTTGTCATTGTGCCCAAGCACATGCCCCACCACCTTGAACAATAACCAGAATTCAGAAATCATGACCATCTGTTTTTGAAATCTTAAACTGTAGAAACAAACTTTTAAAAAATCTAGCAGCAGCCAGGCATGGTGACTCATGCCTGTAATCTCAGCTACTCAGGAGGCTGGAGACGGAGGATCTCTTGAGCCCAGGAATTTGACGCTGCAGTAAGCTATGATTGCACCAATGTAATGCAGCCTGGGTGACAGAGGGAGACCTTGTGTCTAAAAAAAAAATTAGAAAGAAAAAAATCTAGTAGCATTTTAATGTGTTTAAAATTACATTTTTGTTTTCATTAATTTAAATCTGAAATTTATGCTTACTCATGTCATAATAACTATATCAAAAGTATATTCTCCTTTTGAGCTTTCAACTAGAGTGTTTATTATTTGCATTTTCTGTTTGGAATGTTTAATTATTATGGTCACCGTAAAAACGTCTTTACCCCTTCTTGGCTACTGCTTTGGGAATAGGTGTAGAAATGGCAAGTTGTGGTTAAAAGCTGATCTTCTCTTCTCTCCTAGATGATTTGTTGGGTTTCAGTGAGAATGGCTAATCAGCATTTTGATAGAAGATTTGGTGATGATCATTATTGGTTACTGCCTCATGGCAGAAATAGTAAATGCAGCTACCTATCTTCATGTCCTTGTAGTAAAAGACAGTCCAAGGATGATCTTCTAGTTCTGTACCCTCAATGCTCTGTGAACGGAGAGGAGAAAATATTAAAAGCGTTTGATCTATTGTGCTTGAAATGTACACATTCTGTTCTAAAAGATTTTTCCCCTTATGTTCTAGATTGGGACTTTAACCAGGACATCTGACAGTGAGGTAACATGTGCTTGTCATCATGTTGTTTGTTAGTAAATATCTGGCAGCATGTTTGTTGACAAAGTCCTGCAAAAGCCATCTTTGTCTAATTGTTGTTGTTGTTTTTTCCTGACACTTCTAGCAAATGTGGAGCCAGTGTTTTCCACCTTCGTGTATGGATCCATGTAGCTTTTCTCTGGTTCTGTTTTGATGGTCACCAACAAATTATAGCCTGTTTTTGTAATTGCCTTATTGAGTGACTTGCCATGGAGATTTGACAAGGTGTGGCTCCTGCTTGGGCCTTCATTTGCTGGCATACTACATGAGGCTGAGAGCCGTGTTAGTCCTCGCAGTGGGCAGCCAGGAAAGCAGGGCTTAGCAAGGGCTATCTAGGGCCTTGACCAAGTACAGTGTACTTGGTAGCTGTTTCTTGCCCACAAAGCAAGTGAACCCAGGTCAGATTTGGCCTGTCAGATAGGTTTGCACTTTTGAATTTTGAAATATTCTAAGATGTAACTTTATTTATTTATTTATTTAGAGACAGAGTCTCATTATATTGCCCATACTGAAGTGCAGTGGCATGATCTCAGCTTACTGCAACCTCTGCCTCCGGGTACAAGTTATTCTCCTGCCTGAGCCTCGCAGGTAGCTGGGACTTCAGGCGCATGTCACCATGTCCAGCTAATTTTTGTACTTCTAGTAGAGACAGGGTTTCGCCATGTTGGCCAGGCTGGTCTCAAACTCCTGAGTTCAGGTGATCCATCTGCCTCGGCCTCCCAAAGTGCTGGGATTACAGGCGTGAGCCACTGTGCCTGGCCACTTTAAGATGTAACTTTATAAATAAATAAACACTGAAGTCATCCAACTTACCACTCAGTATGGCAAACTGGTTAATATAGTTCAAGTAAGCTGGAAGATTCTTTGATTTCTGTATTTATTCTTGTAATATAGATAATCATGAACTTCTGCGTGTATTTTTAAACTAAACTCAACAGGGTGTCATTGTTTGAGTAACTAGTAGAAATACCAGTCTGGGACAAAGGCCACAAACTGTTCAATATAGAAATAGTTTAATTTGTTAGTATGTTGGGTGGGCGCGGTGGCTCACGCCTGTAATCCCAGCACTTTGGGAGGCCAAGGCAGGCGGATCACAAGGTCAGGAGATCGAGACCATCCTGCCTAACACGGTGAAACCCCGTCTCTACTAAAAAATATAAAAAATTAGCTGGGCGTGGTGGCGGGCGCCTGTGGTCCCAGCTACGCAGGAGGCTGAGGCAGGAGAATGGCGTGAACCTGGGAGGCGGAGCTTGCAGTGAGCCAAGACTGCGCCACTGCACTCCAGCCTGGTGACGGAGTGAGACTCTGCCTCAAAAAAAAAAAAAAAAAAAAGTCAGTTTTGTGGCTAATAAAAGCTGGATGGAGGGGCAGGGTTCCAGTGGGCTTCCCATTACTTCAGTTCTGTTTTCTTGAAGCCATAACTTCATTCTGAAATAGAAAGATGCTAAATAAAAGAAATTTGGAATATACACTTCCCTGCTATGTCTGAAGTTTCTTCGAGGGGGTAGGAAAACAGTGATTCCCCATCAAAGTTCAAGTGAGAATGTACAAAATGTTGTCTTTTTTTTTTTTTTTTTCTAGAAATGCTTCATCTCACTGGTACTTGTTTATTTATGTGTATTTGTGTTCTATTTAGGTTCCAGATGTGGAATCTCGTGAAGACTTAATTAAAAATCACTACATGGCAAGGATAGTGGAACTTACGTCTCAGTTGCAGCTGGCTGACAGTAAGTCAGTGCATTTTTATGCCGAGGTGAGTGTAGATTTAATTAGATTGGTGGTTTTTTTCCTAACCCCTGCAGGAGTTAGGACACTGTCCTGTTTTCATGCTGTTCACTGTAAGAGAGAAGTCAGTGTCCCAAGTAGCTGGGACTATGGGTGTGTACCACCACGCCCAGCTAATTTTTTGTATTTTTAGTAGAGACGGGGTTTCACCGTGTTAGCCAGAATGGTATCGATCTTCTGATCTCATGATCCGCTGGCCTCGACCTCCCAAAGTGCTGGGATTACAGGTGTGAGCCACCTCGCCTGGCCCGGAGTTCATATTGACTAGTCTGTATACCAACTAAAAATCTTTATTTCAATAAATATAAGACTGATTTGAGTGAGGCTCTGCCTTTTTTTTTTTTTTTTTTTTTTTTTTTTTTTTTTGAGGTGGAGTCTTGCTATGTTGCTCAGGCTACAGTGCAGTGGCACGGTCTTGGCTCAGTACAACCTCCGCCTCCTGGGTTCGAGCGATTCTCCCGCCCCAGCCTCCTGAGTAGCTGGGATTACAGGCACCCGCCATCATGCCTGGCTAATTTTTGTATTTTTGTAGAGATGGAGTTTCACCATGTTGGCCAGGCTGGTCTTGAACTCCTGACCTCAGGTGATCTGCCTGCCTCAGCCTCCCAAAGTGCTGGGATTACAGGCATGAGCTACCACCCCCAGCCACAACTCTGCCTTTAAAAAAAAAAAAAAAGTTATTGCACTATGCAGTATCATCTATAAAATTATACACAATTCATAGAATTAAGGGGGCAAATGAAGAGAGAAAGTAGAGATACCAAGGAGTAGGAAACAAATGGTAAGGTAGAATGGATGCTGCTCAACATAAAAGAATGCCTTCAAGATCTCTGACTTGAAACTTTATATTAAAAAGTCAGTTATGGATGGCAGATAGATGATTATAATGCTTAACGTTGTTAAATTGAAAAAGGAAAGATAAACCCTTTATTGAGACCTGACTTTTTGATTTTCTCTTATACTAGAGTTGAAGAGGTTGATAGGAGGCCAGTTGCTAAAAGTGAAGAGGGGCTTTGCATCTTTTTCCTGCTAAAATAAATTGTGTGCTTAGCTCAGTGTTGTTCACAAGCAGCCATCGAATACATGTTTGATAAGCTGATCAGTAGTGACAGCTTGTTGGAATGCAGGAAAGGGGGAGGACAGCAAACTGAATGGCTAGCAGTGGAAATGCTGAATCACTAAGCCGGCAGTCCAGCAGGCATGGATCCTCATTGTTTGGTTCTGAGTTAGTGTCTCAGACTTGATTGTCCTTTTCACAAGGACCTGTGCCTTGCATGCCTATATTCCTCTTTGTCAGGTTCATTGCTGAGCACAGAATAGATGTTTGGTTAATAGGAGGCGGTTGACTTGGTTGGCTGAACTGCCCTAAAATTTTGTGAGAAATGAAATAAGTAGCTGAGGAATTTTTTTTAGGCTGTTTGATTTCCAAGACATTTAGTTATTTTAGTAAATATCTTCTGTGCAATTGTGATTCAAGAATTTTTAAATTGTCCTACTTTTTCCTTATTGGTAAACAGGAAGTGGTGACCTCCCCCCTCCCACATGACTTTACTGCTCTGAGCGCCTTATGTTGACATAGCATTTGCATGTGTTTCAACAGATTCTCCTTGTCAGTAACCTTATCAGAAAGTTTAGTGAGCCTTTTAATTTCATACCCTCTTTGAACAATATTGTGAAATAGGATTTTTCTTTTATCGTTTTGATCTACACACTCTCTGGATAGAGTAGGATTGGTAGAACCCCTAAAGAAAGCAGCCTGGAATTTTTGCAATCTTGTGCTCATTTTTTCCCTTGTAAGTAGCGCATAATCTGTAGGGTAGGATGGTAAAGCTTTTATTGCTCCTATAATGTGGTCTCTAATGAAGGACTTAAAACACAAGAAAAGTACCTTAGGATCCATAGTGCGTGGTCAGAAGCTCCTGATAACTTTTGTAATAATCACTTTTCTTTTTATCTAGTATAAATATAAATGAATTCTAGATAAATCTAGAAAGTTCTTATGTAAAGAACGGGTGCTGTGGCTCACACCTGTAATCCCAGCACTTTGGGAGGCTGAGGTGGGCAGATCACTTGAGGTCAGGGGTTTGAGACCAGCCTGGACAACATAGTGAAACCCGTCTCTACTAAAAATACAAAACTTAGCTGGGTGTGGTGGTGCATGCCTGTAATCCCAGCTACTCGGGAAGCTGAGGCAGGAGGATCACTTGAACCCGGGAGGTGGAGGTTGCAGTGAGCCAAGATCATGCCACTGCACCCCAGCCTGGGCAACAGAGCAAGACTCCGTCTCAAAAAAAGAAAAAAAAAGAAAGTTCTTATGTATTATATATAACCACTGGTCATCAGGCTAGAGTGAAGAAAAAAACATTGATCTTAAGTTGGTAGACTTTTTTCCCCTTACTGAAATGACAAAGCTGGGGGCCACTTCTTTCTTAGGTGTACTCTGATGTGTGACACAATGCCTATAGGTATTCAACAGATTATTTGTGGAATGAATGAGTAGCTTTGGCTTTGAGAAGTGTTTTTAACAAACTTTCCCGAAGCAAATTTGGTTTTAGAAAGTGCTCCCTCTAGTAATGGAATGTTTTCTGATTTTACAGTGCCGAGCACTGTCTAAAAGACTGGCCTTGGCTGAAAAGTCTAAGGAAGCATTGACAGAAGAAATGAAACTTGCCAGTCAGAACATCAGCAGACTTCAGGTGAGTTAAGTGTTACCTGAATGGTTTTAATGTTTTTTCATTGAAAGTTCTTTGGTAGCAAAGCAGCATTTCTTTTCCAAAGGCATTTGATCTCTAGATATGCTTTTTAAGATAACCACTGTATTTCTGATTCATTTAAAAATAACATCTTACTTATGTTAGGCAAAAAGTAGTTGTATTGTTTCTCTGACTTGATTCTAATTGTAAATCATTTTATAGTCGGCTTTTGCTTAAATAATACTTATTTACCCAGAATTTTTCTTTCCCCTTCCTTGTACATACCCATCATGGTGAGCTGTAGGCTTGTTCTGTACATAGTACTCTGTTCCTTTTCTTTCCTGTTGCATAAAACGGATCTAAACTGAAAGGTGGGGCTATAACATTCCTTCTTACTCACTGCCTGGTTTTAAATCTTTGTTTTCAGAAAGCCTCTGCTAATAAAAACATGATGCCAGGCAAGGAAAAAACACAGCACTACAGCAACACCCACTTCCTCTTTGCTTTAGATTCATTTATCAGATTAATTAGGCACACAGGATTAGATTTTAGGCAGCAGAAGAGAGCATGAGAAATGGGAAGAGAGATGAAGGGTGCTTCTTTCAGGGACGGTGCTGCCGGGAGGGCTGTAGGCCATCGAGGCATAGGATGGAGGCAATGTGTTGTAGGCCTCACCTATGGCTCAGCAAAACCTGAGGGAATTTGGAAAGATAATGAGGCCATATGGCTTTTCTTACAATTTTATACCTGGCATAGAAAGAAACCCTTAAATTTTTGCAAAGAAATTATGAATCTACTTTGGAGGCTGAGAAAAACTTGTTGCCATTTCTTTTAACTTTGTTCTCTTGTTAGGCCTGGGCCTTAAGCTGCATGTCAATTGATCAGATAGACCATCTTTATAGGTTGCTTTTACAAGTAAAAGAATTTTTTTAAAAAATTGATGTAAATAGTTGTACATGTTTGGGGGGGACATGGTATTTTGATTATTTTGATACCTTTGTACAGTGTGTAATGATCAAATCAGGGTCATTTGGAGGTCCACCACCTCAAACATTTATCTTTGTGTTGGGAACATAATAATTCTTCTTTTGTAGCTATTTTGAAATATACAGTAAATTATTGGGAAACTATAATTTCCCTACTCCACATTTTTCTTTTGTGAATTAAAAAAGCTTCAGAGTGGTACGACTCGTGGGATGTTGATTTTTGTCTTTTTCTTTGCTATTTAGGATGAGCTGACAACTACCAAGAGGAGTTACGAGGATCAGTTAAGTATGATGAGTGACCACCTGTGCAGCATGAATGAGACATTATCTAAACAGAGAGAAGAGATTGACACACTAAAGATGTCCAGTAAGGTATGTGAGGTGAGGTGAGGTAGTCTCTCTGCAATATAATATTTAATGTGAGGTATTTTATTGTTATGCATTTCAGGAGGAAGAGGACATAAGATTTAAAGTGTTTGTAAGGGCCAGGGGCAGTGGCTTAAGCCTGTAATCCCAGTACTTTGGGAGGCTGAGGTGGGAGGATCCCTTGAGGCCAGGAGTTGGAGAGCAGAGTGGGCAATATAGTGATACTTCATCTCTACAAAAAAAAAAAAAAATGAAAAAATAAGCCAAGCATGAGGGCCTGTGCCTGTAGTCCCAGCTAGTTGGGAGGCTGAGGTGGGAAGATTGCTTGAACCTAGGAGTTTGAGGTTACAGCAAGCTATGATTGTGCCACGGCACTCCAGCCTGTGCGACAGAGTGAGACTCTGTCTCTAAAAAAGAAAAAAAAAAGCATGTATAAATAATTTTCCTTAATATCATTTGTCCTTTTTTCCAAAAGTATTAAGTGTCTTTGGCTGAATTAAAAGCTGAGAAAGTCTGGCCTCTAAGGCTTTAATACTGTATCAGCTGCTTTTTGGCATTTTTGGCATTTCTCCTACTGTTGCAGAAAAGTTAGGGGGACTCACAAAGGGCTTTAGGAAAGGATTGCTCTTTGTTTATGTAAGACCTAAAATGGTACTGTTGAAGAGTAAATGTTAGAAAATTTATTCTCATAAATGTTAATATAACCTTGGAATGTCTTACCCTTTTAACTAGATTTCCTTTCCCATAATCCTTCTGCTTGCCCAGACTGAGATAGTAGATGTTGGGCAATATGTTTAGGCTGAAATGCATATCCACATACCGTGTCTTTATTACTGTAACAACGTATGTACTGTTTTGCCATGAAAGGTAAACTTTGGGAGGCCAGGGGCTCACTTAGTTGGCATCATCTCATGTGCTTAGTCCATTTTCATAACTCAGTATTATACCACCATCAGCTGGGATTTACCATCTCCAGCCTGCAGTCTTTGAGATCTGCTGCTGCCCCTTTGTGATTCAGCAGGCATTTATTGAGTTCCTGCTGTGTATACTGGGGAGAAATAGAGATGAAGAAACCATGGCTTTATTTTAGCATCTGCTGTTGGTGTTAAGGACAGGATTCTGTTCATTTAGGGTCTTCTTGGAAAATACGTCATGTTAATGCATTGGAATCTGCATTATATATGATTTTGTTTATCAACATAGTTTCGTGATATTCATTGATTGCTTGCTGCTTTGGAGGCTGTCTCTGATGCTTTTCTGGGCTGTTTCTGTGATTATTGTAATCACCCAATATGGTTCTCATTATGGTTCTCCAGTTACTTGTGGTTCAGGAAACTTGAGCTTGGGGGTAAGGGAGTTGGCGATCAGGGGGCTGGTCCTTTTAAGGAAAGCCTCCCTTAACCTTTTGGTTTCTTGTTATTCCATATTCCAGCAGAGCAATATCTAATTCACAAGTTATATTCTTAGTAGTGGTAGAAAATACACACATTGAAGAGGTCGTGTTTTGGGTTTTCTCATGGTATGTATAATTTGTTTTAGTGTAGTAGTATGAGAAAGCCTGTTTTAGCACCTAAAATTTGAAAAGAAGTAGCAATAATTTTTGAAAACTTTTCAATCTCTGGAACTTCAGAAGTATTTGGTTTTGAATTGAGAAAGGTACATGTTGAGTACAGCAAAGCTCATTGTCCTGAAGGTAATTGGATTGCAGCTACTTCAGAAGTTAGGGAATTTTCAAGTTTCCTCTGACTTTTTTTTTTTCTTTGATGGAGTCTTGCTCTGTCACCCAGGCTGGAGTGCAGTGGTGAGATCTTGGCTCACTGCAACCTTCACCTCCCAGGTTCAAGAGATTTTCCCACCTCAGCCTACCTAGTAACTGGGACTACAGGCATGCACCACCATGCCCGGCTAATTTTTTTTTTTTTTGTATTTTTGCAACAGGGTTTCACCATGTTGCTCAGGCTGGTCTCAAACTCCCAGGCCCAAGTGATAAGCTGGCTGCAGCTTCCCAAAGTGCTGGGATTACAGGCGTGAATCACAGCACACAGCATTTTAGAGATTGTTGATCTTTTCCTTAAAATACCAGCCATTAATAAAACTCTGAGAGACCCTTCTTCAGTTTGAATTTATGTCATTAACCTGTCTTTGATCATTCTGTAATCCTGTAGTTTGCTTTTCCCCCATTTAGTAATTTACATTGCTATAGCATCATCTTATGGCTGACATTGTCTGCATTGGATACAAAGTAAACATCCTCAACCATTTGTTTGCTATGATCTTGCTCTTAGTGTTTATATTCTGCAAGCATTTCTTCCATGAAGAAAATGTATTTATGCCTAAGAGTTAAATACAGGAATTTAATTAAAATGTATTCCCAAGAAGGGAGCCTCTCCAGAAAGAATAAAAATTATACAAAACTAGAAAATCCAAATCTCCGTATTTGAGGAAATGGAATAAGTCATCTTCTCTCTGATTTGTTCTCAGCCAGTATCCAAGCTGACTTTTGACAGATAATCAGTGCCGTTTGGGTGTTAGTTAGCACATATTCAGAGTTATTACCTATTAAGACCTTTAAAAGAAAAGGTGTTTATTTAAACAATGACGAGACATGTTCTTTTTTTTTTTTTTTTTTTTTTTGAGACAGAGTCTTGTTGCTCCATCTCCCGGGTTCATGCCATTCTCCCGGCGCCATCTTGGCTCACTGCAAGCTCCGCCTCCCGGGTTCATGCCATTCTCCTGCCTTAGCCTCCCAAGCAGCTGGGACTACAGGCACCCGCCACCATGCCCGGCTAATTTTTTTGTATTTTTAATAGAGACGGGGTTTCACCATGTTAGCTGGGATGGTCTCGATCTCCTGACCTCGTGATCCACCCGCCTCGGCCTCCCAAAGTGCTGGGGTTTAGGCTAACATTTTTTTATTCAGCTTCTTGAAATCTTAGACTCTCTTGTCTTTGGAACAAAATGAATGTTTGTAGTTTTGATAAATCCAAGATAGTTGCTTTCTTTTCTTTCTTTATTTCCTGTCCTCAGCCCCGAGAGGGATAGGGTCTGTGGAAGCAGAGAGGAGAGAGAGTATAACAAACTGCTTTGCGATTATTGAATAAAAGTTAACAATGCAAGGTTATCAGCTATTCTCCTTTTTGGAAGCTAGTGTTCCAAAGTGAAATATGGCTTTCAGACAGCTTGGTTTATAAACTATGTGAGTTATTTTTTTTTATGTTTATGTTCTTATTGTTGATATTTTTCTTTGCACAGGGGAATTCTAAAAAGAACAAGAGTCGATAGTTTTGAAATAGCTGGTTGGCGACTGTTCTTTCCAGACCTGCTCCTGCTGCACAGAGCCGCAGGGCTGAGACCACGTCCATGCTGGCTGCCTTCAGGAAGCTAAAGTATTGTTGGACCTAGTAAACTAGTCAGTGTTGGAAACGGCCTTGAAATATTTAAAACATATTTGTAACCAGTGAGGCAAATACAGAAGTTGATGTCGGCAGTAAATGGAAAACAATACGTATGTCATGGATATTGTAGGTTTCCTTATGCTGTTTTTACTGTGCACTTTTTAAAATTAGGTTTTAATTTCAGTATGTAAGAACAAATATTTTGTATACTTTCAAACTCAATTATATGGTAATCGATTTGGTATCTATGGAATAGATATATGTTTCTGGAAAAAAATGCTTAAATTGTCAAACTGTCATTACTTCTTATTATAGTTGAAGGCATTCTCCAGATTCTTTTTAAAAGATTTGTTCATATTTCTCTCTCTCTCTCTCTCTCTCTCTCTCTCTTCTTTCTCTCTGAGGGAGAGGGAGCCCTCCAAACTTCAGATCCTGTGGGTTTAGTATCATTATCTTCAGCTCTTTGATACCCTGTGTTAGAGTAATAGCTAAAGGAAGTTCATGTCAATAAATTCATACTTATATCACACTTTCAGTCTCTCTATTAAAATTTGATAAAGGAAACTGAACCCTATTAAAGTGGGCTGTTACAAAACATATCAAATGCCAACTGACTTAGGTGTAATCCTCGGATTCCTCAAATTGGAATAATTCTACAGTTAATCCTTTAGTAAGGCTCTTGAGTTTTGCCTTGAAAGCTACTTTAAACCACACTTCAAGCAAAGAGCCTGAGCCCTTTAAGGCTTCCCTTGGCTGATATCATAAACATTGTGTTGTATTAGTGTCAGGAGTGGCTCTGGCAGCACTCTCCACCCCTACTCCCGAGGCACTAAATATATTACTCCTTTCTGAACTGCTTTCACAGGCCCATTTCAACCGTGTCCAGGCCTCCAGATTAGCTGAGGAGTTCCTGAAACCCACTTCTCCTTACCTCTCCGCCTGTGGCACCATCTCTCGAGTCTACTCTCTAGACAGTTGTGAGTCACCCTCTAAAATGCTTTATTCCGGAGTTTACCTGAGATCCCATCACCGGCTTCTCTCTGTGCTCAGCACAAAAGCCAACTCCTTGGCCTCTGCCCTAAGTCCTCAGCTGTCTGCCATACAGAGAGACTCTGGTTGTTAGGCCCAGTCCTCACCACAGTGAAAGCATTCGGATCCTGAGTTGGGGGATCTCTGGGTTGGTTGGTTCAGTTCCATTTTTCCCAGCCCTTCAAGTCCCTAGCCCCCTTGCCCTTTCTGTTTTCTCTGCCCTGTCCATTGTCAGTTTTCTATCTACTCAGCCAGTTGTTTTCACTGCAGCTGTGAGTAGGCCCCCAAACACTGCGAGGGAAACATCAAAGAGCCATGCTGGGCCTGGCACAGTGGCTCACACATGTAATCCCAGCACTTTGGGAGGCTGAGGCAGGTGGATCACTTGAGGCCAGGAGTTCAAAACCAGCCTGGTCAACATGGTGAAACCCCATGTCTACTAAGACTACAAAAAATTAGCCAGGCGTGGTGGCATGTGCCTGTAATCCCGGCTACTTGGGAGGCTGAGGCAGGAGAATCACTTGAACCCAGGAGATGGAGGTTGCAGTGAGCTGAGATAGCACCAATGCACTCCAGCCTGAGCGACAGAGTGAGTGAGACTCTGTCTTAAAAAAAAAAAAAAAAAAGAGCCATCCTAACTAGCTCTGTCAAGAACTTAGGGTTTTGAGCCCCTGCCAGCCTTTCATTGTTCTAGGACAGTCCTTTGGGTATTTTTAGTCCATTTTTATTCTAAATTTCAATAATGGCTACACCACTTCTCTCCTTAAGGTCTGCCCCCTTCACTCTTAGGATTTGTACCATCTGTACCATCAAAAACACTTCTCAACTGCCCCACCGCTTCATATATTTACCCATGCTTCCCGTTCTCCCCTGCTTCAGAGGCAGAGGCATCTCTGCTACCCTTAAAGGTAGGGTATTTCTGATGCTCTTAATGCCATACCTTTTCTGGTGCTTGTTTTTTCACTTTTAGATCTTCAATTTCTCATTCTACTGATGTCCTCTCCCTCAGCTTCCAAATAGACTGAACTTAGCCCATACTTTTTTTATCAATTTAATTTTTTTGAGACAGGGTCACACTCTGTCACCCAGGCTGGAGTGCAGTGGTGTGCTCACACTCACTGCAGCCTCGACCTCCTGGGCTCAAGCGATCTTCCTGCCTCAGCCTCCCAAGTAGCTAGGACTATATGTTTGTGCCACCATTGATACAGTTTGCTGACAGATTTATCTAAGATTGCGACTCCTTTCCCCTACACTTCTATTACTACTCTGCTTTATTTTAATCCTTAGTATTTATAATCTAACATATGATATATTTTGCTTATTTATCTTATTTATTACCTGTTTCTCTCACTAGATGCAGCTTCAGGAAGGCAGGTGTTTTTGTCTTGCTGCGTTCCCTGTACTTAGAATACTGTCTGGCATCAGTTAATATTTGTTGAATGAATGTTGATTGGACCGGATGTGGGGTGTGAGCGAAAGAGAGGAGTCAAAGATGAAGCCAAAGGCTTTGGCCTGAACAAACTTGACTGAGCAGGAGGATTGAGGGAGGAGCAAGTAGCTTCCACCTGTTTGTAAAGGAAGCGGGAGACCTGGAATCACTTTTGATTCCTCCTCACCTGGCACATCTCATTGGTCATCTTATTGAATCTTCCTGCCTTTGCAATGCCATGCACTTCTGATCTCTCCTTATTCAGTATCTTAAATTGAGCCCTGAATACCAGTTGTCTGGACTACTTGTCTTCCTGTACTCCAGTCCTTCCACCCCTTCTGCCAGGCCGTCTTTCTTTCTTTCTTTTTTTTTTTTTTTTTTTTGAGACGGAGTTTCACTCTTGTTGCCCAGGCTAGAGTGCAATGGTGCAATCTCAGCTCACTGCAACCTCTGCCTCCCAGGTTCAAGCGATTTTCCTGCCTCAGCCTCCCAAGTAGCTGGGATTACAGGCTCCCGCCACAATGCCCAGATAATTTTTGTATTTTTAGTAGAGATGGGGTTTCATCATGTTGGGAAGGCTGGTGTTGAACTCCTGACCTCAGGTGATCCACCCGCCTCAGCCTCCCAAAGTGCTGGGATTACAGGCGTGAGCCACCGCACCCAGCTAGGCCATCTTTCTAAAACATATCTCTGCCATAGCCATTCTCCAGATGGAAAGCCTTCACGATGGCTCCTTGTTGTCTGCTGGGCAAGATCTAGTAGTAGTGTGTATGTGACACTTGCTTAGCTCACTTTCTCCTCATTCTCTTCCATATACACAGTGTACCCTCCCTCTACTTTAACTGCTTACAGTAAAAACTCTCAGACCTCTGGATCAGGAAAGTTTCATGTCTCCTGAGCAATGAGCCTTATTTTTCCCTTAGAGACAATGTGAATCTTGGGATTGTTTCACTCTTTGCTTTGGTGGCTGAGACTTGTATCTCCCACCATCTGTGACAGCTGTCAAAAGAGCTCCCAGACCAGCCACCTCCATTGTCTTGCATGGTGTGTGGCCCTATAGGTTCTGAGGCAGTGCTTGTGGACTGCCTGGCCATTTTGTAGGGGACAGTTTCCGTGGGAGGTTTCCTAGGGCTGAGGGATAGGGCAGGACTGTAGAGGGCACAGTTGGATCCCTGGCAAAATTGTGCTCTTCTGACTTAACTTAGATCTTTGCTCTCTTGGCGGTCATCTCCCAAGGCATATAATAACCACTGTTTATTAATCACTTACCATAAGTTAGGTGTAGGTATGACTTGACATGTATTACTTCATTTAGACTTCCCAGCAACCATATCTCATACATACCATTACTATCCCCAGTTTACAGATAGAAAGCCAAGGCTTAGAGGGACTAAGTAACTTTCCCACAGTCACACAGTACCTGCTGGAGCCAGGATTCAAACCCAGTCTAGCCTGACTCAGCTTGGATTATTCACTACTGTGCTATGAGCCTTTTAAATTGGGGGCTTTCAACTCCTTCAGGTACTGTATATTTGGAAGACAAAAATTAAATTTTGGCCGGGTGTAGTGGCTCATGCCTGTAATCCCAGCACTTTCAGAGGCTGGGTCAGGAGGATCACTTCAGCCCAGGAGTTTGAGACCAGCCTGGGTAACAGAGTGAGACCTCATCTCTACAAATTTTTTTTAAAAATTAGCTGGGGGTGTTGGTGCACAGCTGTGGTCCCAGCTACATGAGGGGCTGAGGCAGGAGGATTTTCTGAGCCCAGGAAGTCAAGGCTGCAGTGAGCCATGTTCACACCATTGCACTCCATCCTGAGTGACAGAGCAAGACCCTGTCTCAAAAAAAGAAAAAAAGAAAAAAACAAGGAAAAAAATACTAAATTTCTTAGCAACTCCAGCAGTATTTCATTCAACATCCCCTTTCTACATCTTCACTAAGTACCCCTGTGCCTCCTTTCAGTCAGCTTTTAGTGAACTTCTTGAGCTAATTTAAAGTCCCTGGCATATGGTTTGCCTTTGACGTAATTTTTTCTTCCCCTGATCCCTCATTTTTATTTACATATTCCTTGTTACACCAGCCTTGCCGAACACCAGATTCTGAATTTTATATATTTATGCCATGACGCCATCCCTTCATTCTGGTCCTCTTTCTGTGTAAACGTTCTTGTTGTTGCTGTTTTATTATGAGAATTTTCTAACATGCACAAAAGTAGACTCATACAAGCCCTGTGTCCCCATCACTCCTTATGAACATTTTGCCAATCTTGTTTTATCTTTTTTCCACACTTCTTTTTTTCTGGCATATTTTAAGGCCATTCTCGGACACTGGGTCATTTCGTCTATAAATACTTCAGTTCTGCGGGTGTTTGTAAAGATGGGAGCCTGTCTTACCCATGTCATCATTCATTTGGCAAGTGTGTGCCGAGTGCCTGCTGCGTGCTTAGTGCTGAGCAGACTGTGGCACGCTCACCAGACGTGCTGGCTGCCCTTGAGAAGAGCTTACAGCCTGTTTTTAGTGAGACAAGGAAGTGAACACGCAAATTATAACCACGAACTCATTTGTTCATCCTGTCCTGCGATTATTTCAGAGCAATAAGGAAGAGATAATACATGGAGGCTTTTTGGCAGGGCATGGTGGCTCACGCCTGTAATACCAGAACTTTGGGAGGCAAAGGCAGGCAGAGCACTGGTCAGGAGTTCGAGACCAGCCTGACCAATATGGTGAAACCCCGTCTCTACTAAAAACACAAAAATTTGCCGGGCGTGGTGGCCGCCTGTAGTCCCAACTACTCGGGAGGCTGAGACAGGAGAATTGCTTGAACCTGGGAGGCAGAGGTTGCAGTGAGCCGAAATCATGCCACTGCACTCTAGCCTGGGCGACAGAGTGCGACTCCATCTGAAAAACAAACAAACAAAAAAAAATGGAGGCTTTTATTTTTAAAGTAGTATCTGTATAAATATATGTGTGTGTGTGTATTTTTGTTGTTGTTGTTTTGACAGGGACTCACTCTGTCGCCCTGGCTGGAGTTCAATGGTGCCATCTCTGGTGGCACTCCCGCTTCCTGCGTTCAAGTGATTCTCGTGCCTCAGCTTCCTAAGTAGCTGGGATTACAGGCGCCTACCACCACGCCCGGCTAATTTTTGTATTTTTAGTAGAGACGGAGTTTCACCATGTTGGTCAGACTGGTCTCAAACTCCTGATCTCAGGTGATCCACCCGCCTCGACCTCCCAACGTGCTGGGATTACAGGCGTGAGCCACTGCGTCCAGCCCGTATCTGTATTTTTAATTAAGTTTTGAACTTAGTTTGAGTTAGGCTGCTCTTAAACAGTTATTACTAAGATAAAATAAGGCAAAACCAAACAGACCCCTGATCCTCCCGCCATTTCATGCTCCCCACAGAAAAACCACTTTCATTCACTATTTTGTTATCTATATTTCCAAATGGCATGCTACCTTTGCTCTTCTTGTTAGGCATTATTAATTGAATTTACAGTTGGAAGATGAGTATTTGTCTGTTTCATCTGCCTCCCCTTTGCATCACTCACATACACATACATATACTCACTGTTTAAACTAGTTATATTGACATTTGGGTCTAGCCTTGTGGCTCATGCCTGTACTCCTAGGTACTTAGGAGGCTGAGGCGGGATGATTGCCTGAGCCCAGGAGTTCGAAGGCAGCAGTGAGCCGTGATTGTGCTACTGCACTCCAGCCTGTGCAACAGAGTGAGACCCAGCCTCTAAAAAAATAAAACTAAAGGCCAGGTGCGGTGGCTCACACCTGTAATCCCAGCACTTTGAGAGGCCGAGATGGGCAGATCACTTGAAGTCTGGAGTTCAAGACCAGCCTGGCCAACATAGTGAAACCCCGTCTCTACTAAAAATACAAAAATCAGCCGGGCATGGTGGCGTGTGTCTGTAATCCCAGTTGCTTGGGAGGCTGAGGCAGGAGAACCACCTGAATCTGGGAGGTGGAGGTTGCAGTGGGCCAAGATCTTGCCACTTCACTCCAGCCTGGGCAACAGAGCAAGATTCCATCTCAAAAAGCCAAAAACATTTGGACTGGGTCAGTATTCACCATATACTTCATTATGAGTATTCAAATACTGGTGATAGTTGAGTCATATAACATACTGTGATTATTTTTCCTTTCTTGTACAACTCTGTTTTCCCTGGAGTCTTTTTAAAAAAAATTATTTACTGCTGGGCGCTGTGGCTCAAGCCTGTAATCCTAGCACTTTGGGAGGCTGAGGTGGGTGGATCACGAGGTCAGGAGATCGAGACCATCCTGGCTAACACGGTGAAACCCCGTCTCTACTAAAAAAATACAAAAAATTAGCCGGGCCTGCTGGCAGGCGCCTGTAGTCCCAGGTACTCGGGAGGCTGAGGCAGGAGAATGGGGTGAACCCGGAAGGCGGAGCTTGCAGTGAGCTGAGATCGCGCCATTGCACTCCAGCCTGAGGGACAGAGTGAGACTCCGTCTCAAAAAAAAAAAAAATTATTTACTATGTTTTCTATGGTACTTATCACTAGTTTATTCCTAACTTCACTCCCAAGTGTATAAGGCTCCTTACAGTGTGGTCAAATTCAGTTGGGTGTTCAGCCAACTTCCATCTTCTTCAGGAATTCTCTCCCAGAACCATCTGACGTGCTCCAGGCTGCCTCATTTGATCTCTGGGCTGGCAGCACTGATGTTGTCTTGGGATCTGCCTTCCTCAATATTCTGGGCATCAAGTGTCTCTCATCCTTAAAACAACCCTTGCTCAACTCCATGAGTCCTTCTAGTGACTGCCCTGTCCCTCTACTTGTGTTTACAGCCTACCTCTTGAAAGAATTCTCTCTCTTGTCTGGGCCTCTTGTGACATGGGAAGTGAAAGAGGAGATCTGGCCAGGCGCAGTGGTGCATGCCTGTAATCCCAGCACTTTGGGAGGCTGAGGTGGGTGTATCACCTAAGGTCAGGAGTTCAAGACCAGCCTGGCCAACAAGGTGAAATCCTGTCTATACTAAAAATACAAAAAATTAGCTTGGCGTAGTGGCTGGCACCTGTAATCCCAGCTACTCAGGAGGCTGAGACAGGAGAATTGCTTGAACCTGGGAGGTGGAGGTTACAGTGAGCTGAGATCGCACCATTGCGCTCCAGCCAGGGCAACAAGAGCAAAACTCCGTTCCAAAAAAACCCAAAAAACCAAAAACAAGAGACTGGGTGTGGTGGCTCACGCCTGTAATCCCAGCACTGTGGGAGGCCAAGAAGGGTGGATCACCTGAGGTCAGGAGTTCGAGACCAGCCTGGCCAACATAGTGAAACCCTATCTCTACTAAAAATACAAAAATTAGCTGGGTGTGGTGGCACACACTTGTAGTCCCAGTTACTCGGGAGGCTGAGACAGGAGAATCGCTTGAACCCGGGAGGTGGAGGTTGCAGTGAGCCGAGACCATGCCACTGCACTCCAGCATAGGTGACAGAGTGAGACTCTGTCCCCCCCAACCCCCCAAAAAAGAGGAGATTCTCAGTCCATGCACAGAGTAGGGATTGAAATCTGCATAGGAGTGAAAACCAGAAAAAAAAAAAGAAAGAAGGACTTTTCTTTTAATTAATCATTCATTGCAGGCCAGGAGCAGTGGCTCATGCCTGTACTCCCAGCACTTTGGGAGGCCAAAGCAGGCGGATCACCTGAGGTTGGGAGTTCAAGACCAGCCTGGCCAACATGGTGAAACCCTGTCTCTACTAAAAATATAAAAATTAGCCAGGCCTGCTTGTGCACTCCTGTAATCCCAGCTACTCAGGAGGTTGAGGTATGAGAATTGCTTGAACCTGGGAGACAGAGGTTGCAGTGAGCCAAGATCACACCACTGCACTCAAGCCTGGGTGACAGAGTGAGACTATGTCTCAAAAAAAAAAAAAAAAAAAAAAATCATTCATTGCTTTCTGGAGAAGATGGAATTTTCAAAATTGTCTGAAGCAAAACTTCCTGCTTTTTCCTGATTATATATTACATGCCCATTGTTGAGAATCTGGAATATTGGGCCAGGTGCAGTAGCTTACACCTATAATCCCAGCACTTTAGGAGGCCGAAGCAGGAGGATCGCTTGAGCCCAGGAGTTTGAGACCAGCCTGGGCAACATAGGGAGATCCCATCTCTGTTAAAAAATATATATTAAAATTTTGAAAAATTTGGAAAATGAGGAAAAGAATCAGGAGCAGAGATTTAGCTATTAACGTTTTTGCTTGTTCCTGCTTTTTATTTCATGCATATATAAATGTGTTTTTAATTAAAGTTGCGCTTATGTTACAACAAATTCCAAGTGAGAAAAAAGTTGGAATTGTGTTATAAGAAATTTCAGATGAGGCCTGGCTCAGTGGCTCATGCCTGTAATCTCAGCACTTTTGGGAGGCTGAGGCAGGTGGATCACTTGAGGTCAGGAGTTCGAGACCAGCCTGGCCAACATGGTGAAACCCTGTCTCTACTAAAAATGCAAAAATTAGCTGGGTGTGGTGGCACATGCCTGTAATCCCAGCTACTCAGGAGGCTGAGGCAGGAGAATTGCTTGACCCCAGGAGGCGGAGGTTGCAGTGAGCCGAGATCGCCTGGGCAACAGAAGGAGACTGCATCTCAAAAAAAAGAAAAATTTCAAATGAGAAAAAAAGTTATTTAATAGGAAGAGGGGGAGTAAATTACCTGGTTGCACAGCTCTGGAGGGCACCATTCACACTGTGTTCAGTAGCAAACCCAGCGATCCTGGGTTGAAGGGGTAAGAGCCTCCAGGCACAGTTTAAGAAACTGATAAAAAGCCTTTGTTTTGTCATATCCTTCGTGGCCACCATTCCCCCTCCCCCCCCCCCATTTAGTTGTTACATGCAATACTACTCAATTTGCAAAGCTAATACAACTGGATTCTCCACTGTTTTTGGTAAGAAACTATCAGTTCAACTAACACAGATACTTTTTTTTTTTTTTTGGAGGCAGAGTCTTGTGCTGTCACCCAGGCTGGAGTGCAGTGGTACAATCTCAGCTCACTTCAACCTCCACCTTCTGGGTTCAAGGATTCTCATGCCTCAGCCTCTCGAGTAGCTGGGACTACAGGCGGGTGCCATCATGCCTGGCTAATTTTTTGTATTTTAGTAGAGACGGAGTTTCACCGTGTTGCCCAGGCTAGTCTCGAACTCCTGAGCTCAGGCAATCTGCCCAATCCACCCGCCTTGGCCTCCCAAAGTGTAGGATTACAGGCATGAGCCAGCAGGCCCGGCTTAACTAACACAGATACTTTTTTTTTTTTTTAATACTTTTAGGGTACATGTGCACAACGTGCAGGTTAGTTACATATGTATACATGTGCCATGTTGGTGTGCTGCACCCATTAACTTGTCATTTAACATTAGGTATATCTCCTAATGCTATCCCTCCCCCCCTCCCCCCACCCCACAACAGGCCCCAGTGTGTGATGTTCCCCTTCCTGTGTCCATGTGTTCTCATTGTTCAATTCCCACCTATGAGTGAGAACATGCGTTGTTTGGTTTTTGGTCCTTGCGATAGTTTGCTGAGAATGATGGTTTCCAGCTTCATCCATGTCCCTACAAAGGACATGAACTCATCATTTTTTATGGCTGCATAGTATTCCATGGTGTATATGTGCCACATTTTCTTAATCTAGTCTGTCATTGTTGGACATTTGGCTTGGTTCCAAGTCTTTGCTATTGTGAATAGTGCCACAATAAACATACGTGTGCATGCTCACACAGATACTTTTTAACAACATGACCACTTTCTAAGTTCATTACCCTTTGAAACAAAATAAAACAAAACTCAGCTACACCATTTCTAAACAAAGGTGTAAAAAAAAAATTGAAGATCCAGTTAGCTAAGGAAGCCACTAAAAGAGTTGGAACAAAAGGCTCTCTCCAAATGGCTATGAATTTAAGCCTTTATAATTCATAAAGAACATATGAATTCAGGAAGAAAAATGTGCAGTTTATAGTTTTATATAGCATTAACCCTGGAAGTTGCTCTCAGATCTTAAAAGTCTTCAAACTCTTCTGTTACTTTTACATATGAAGATAGCAACGTATTTGGTTGATGATGGCTAAGAAAACATCTGGCACAGCCATATTAACAAGGGAATAGTTTGTTTTACGACAGAAGAGGAAGCTTCTGTTCTCGGCTAAGAGCCATGTCCTCAGATACCATGGCAATAAATGGAAAGCTTGTCAGTAAGTGGTTGCCTCTTTGTCTTAAATTTTTAAGCAGTTTAGTAGTTAGCTCCAAATTAGGAAATTAACTGGCAATCAAAGCATTGGAGCAGGAAAACCCATTATAGCTCTTCCAAATCTCCAAAAAAAAAAAAAAAAAAAAAAAGGTTAGCATTACGATAACTCTTTGTAGGAAGAGGAATACAGCAGGGCGCGGTGGGTCATGCCTATAATTCCAGCACTCTGGGAGGCTGAGGTGAGCAGATCACTTGAGACTAGGAGTTCCAGACCAGCCTAGGCAACGTGGCAAAACCCTGCCTCTACTAAAAATGCAACAACAACAACAAAACTAGCCGGGTGTGGTGGCGTGTGCCTGTGGTCCCAGCTACTCAGGACGCGGAGGTGGGAGAATCACCTGTGACCAGGGAGGTTGAGGCTGCAGTGAGCCAAGAGTGCGCCACCACACTCCAGCCGGGGTGACAGAGTGAGAACCTGTCTCAAAACAAACAAACAAACAAAAAAAATTAGAAGAATTGAAAGAATTGACTGGTAGATGGAAACATGCTGGAATCTGTTGGCTTGCTTGCAGGTATAGGGGCCTCAAAAGGTATCTCCCCATTTAGAACCTTTGTGTTTGTTTTACCAGTGGCTTTAATTATTTCTCAGCTCAACCCCACTGCTTCCCTAAACACTGGATAGTAGTGGAATAGCTTAGTGGTGACATCTTATAGGCCCAAGAATAGAAATAGCACCGGATCAGTTAACTAAGAACAAAATGTCATTCACATACATCTTGCTGAGATGGTGAAGAATATTCTCCCTTTCTTCGGCTTTCCTATATTTCTTTAGGAGACCTCTTGTACTGTGGTAAATTGTCAACATATCTCATGTAGTTATTCTCATGCATGCCATCTTCCTGAACAGCAACAGATACTGTGAGGCAGGAACTGTGCCTTATACTTTCTCCCCCACAGTGCCTAGGAGAATGTCTTGTACACAGTAGGTTTTCAGTAAATGAAAACTGGATACATTTTAGGAATCAAGCCAAGGGAGTGGCCAGCTGTAGCAACGATCAATGTGGCTCAACTACACTCAAGAGTATCCCATCTTCAGGACAAAGGACAGTCAATCTTGAGCCATTCTGAACTGATTATCATACTCCTAAGTATCATTGATTTCATTTGGCATTTTCAGTGAAGATGTGGGCTTTTTATTTATCTCTGGAATATTCCATCCAGAGTATTTGGGTTTACTTATAGCAAAAAAAAAAAAAAAATTCATTTAAAAACTGTTTATCAAACATGAGAGCAAAATGTATTATGTACTCAAGATGGTGATTTTTAAATTTTTTCGATTTCATTTTAACTATTGTTGAAGCCATCCACTGGGAGATTTTATGGTTTTCAAAAAAACCATACTTATATATGTATAAAATATATATAATATATAAATATATAAAATACATACATAAAATATATATACATAAAAAATATAAATATTTGTTGAGATGGAGTCTCGCTCTGTTGCCCAAGCTGGAGTGCAGTGTTGCTATCTTGGCTCACTGCAACCTCCGCCTCCTGAGTTCAGGTGATTCTCCTGCCTCAGCCTCCTGAGTAGCTGGTATTACAGGCGCCCACCACCACGCCCTGCTAATTTTCATATTTTTAGTAGAGATGGGGTTTCACCATGTTGACCAGGCTGGTCTTGAACTCCTGACCTCAGGTGATCTGCCTGTCTCAGTCTCCCAAAGTGCTGGGATTACAGGCATGAGCCACAGTGCCCAGCCAAAAAGCTGTAGTTTGAATGAGTGTTATAATGTAAACAGAGATTTGCTGTTGCCAAGTTTTTAGAGAGGAATGTTCCTACGAAGCATTTAGTTCTCAGTGTGTCCCTCCCCTTGGATGTATATTAAATGATCCTGACAGCTTCAGCTGACATGAGTTTTGAGGAATTCCAAGCTAATCTATTAGGTCATATCTACAGATACTTTGGGGATCTCTTGTTAAACAGTTGGGAAGTTCTAAATATTTCCATGAAAAAACTGCCAGGAAAGAGAAATCTGCTAATAAAAAGGAGAATGACATAGTTTGAGGGTCTACTTATTGTAAAGCAAGAGAAAGAACAGTAACTGGAGTAAAATGAGCTCACAGCTGTGATGAACGGCTGTGGTGGCTTAGCTATTGAGGCCAGGCTAAGCTGTTTACCACCAGATTTTGATACAAAGGGACACTACCAGAAAGGATCCTTTGGAAATACATGGTGGAGTTGCAAGAAATAAATCTTCATTCATGAAACTGGCAACCTTTGGGGCAATGCTGAATCACACAGAGGGGGAAGGCCTGTCCTTTGCAAAAGACAAAATGGTTTTCAACCAACTGTATTAGTCTTTAGAAAGTTATGGGCATCCTTGCTTTGCAGAAGTGTCAGAGTTTCCAAAAGAGATTTCTTTCACCAGGTGGCTACCCACTAATAAAGGCCATACTGCTTCTTTCAAAGATGACAAAGTTTAAAAGGTGCATACAGAACTCTGTAAATGCAATGATGATTACTGTTTGTCAAATGTGTCGTTGCTTCCTGCATGAGTCCTGTCTCCAGTTAGCTGTGGCAGTTTCTGAGATGAGCTGGCCTCTGTGGAAGACCCACTGGTGAAAGGTGGGCTGGATACAGGACCAAAAAGGTTCAATTTGGGGGTTCAATTTGGGGACCCCAAAATGCCTGCGGTCAAAGCATGAGGACAACAAAGAGTTGCCCCTTCTCTTTTTCTTCCGTTCCTCCTCCTCCTGCTTCCTGTGTCCTTCTTGCTCCACTTCTCTCAGCTCCTTACCAGAAGCCTGACTTAGGGGTCCAGTACCTGTCTGTTTCCATGGAACAATCTCTGACAAGTTAACCAGCCAGTCAGTTGACTTCCTATTCCCTAGGCTCTCCTCTTCCCTAGGCAAGTTGCCCTTCCTCAACTCTTAACCATTACTGGAAGGTAGCTGGAGGAAATGAGAAGCTGAGGAGAAACCAGTGCCTTTTTCTGTGTTTAGGATATATTAAGCATAAGCACAATTAGTAGTTTTATCTGAGAATAAAAGTATCCTAAATAGATCCTGGCTGTGTGATTTCAGGCGCTCGAGGAGTGCCCTCCTGGAACGTCAGTTTCCTTCCTCAAAGCCCCGAGGGCAGGTTCTTAACACTGGCTGGAGGTCAAATAGGGTACTGACTATATTTCCATTTCACCAGCGAACTCCAAGGTCAAAAACAAGGCTACACCTGACAGAACATTTAAAAAAGAATTACACTGCTGTGCAAATACAAAGAAGTGTCCACTGATTTTCACCAACCCTGGGTGCACTGCCTATGAGTTAGCCCAGCTCCTCAAGGAAATTTACGATTAAAAAATAATTCATTGCCTTTCCACCTTCCAGCATAGTACTTCAAGTTGAGATGCTCACCGGGGCCTCCTAACCCCTCTCTTTGGATGCAACCCCTTTCTTCCTAGGTGGTCCATCCTACAGGACTGTTAAACCAATATTTCTTATTTGCCATTTTGAATCCTCAAGGATTCACTGAGTGCCTACTCTACACCTTCGCTTGAAAACTTTCAGAGATTTCCTGTATTCTGCTTCATGCCCAGCTCCACCTTCCCATCTAAACATTGCCCACTTACCCTAAGCCTTCCAGTCTTGCCAACCTCCAAAGCACCATGCCATGGGGCCTAAAATGCCCTCTTCTCTCCCCTCTGAGCCTGTTCAAACTCAGCTCAGTCTCTCGTCCTGGGTTTTGGTGTCTCTCCAGGGTAAAGGGGTGGGGAGGGTGCCTTCATTCTGACTGGCTCCCAGTGAGGCAGCCCCCCTTGAGGAAGAGGCTGAGATGCCAAGTGACTTGCCTGGAGTCATTTGCCAGCAGGCGATGGAATAGGGACTACGAGACACCCTGCAGCCTCTCCTGGGAGGACAACGCCCCTTCTCCCTCTCCATGCACTCTTGAGGCAGCAAAGAGGAGGCATCTGGACGCGTTTACCTCCTCCCCACCCCCACAGCTTGGCCCTCACTAAACTATCTTGTGTCCTTCCTCCTGCTATGATTGATTCGCCCAGGAAGGTGGGGCTTCATCTTTACCTTTCAAATATAATTCTTTAGTTCTCCTAATTACAAGGTGGGGGGTGGGGGGTGGGGGTGGGGTGAGGCGGGGGGTACAAAACAAAACAAAACTCCATGAAGCAACTTAGAAAGCACGACCGCAAAGGCCCTCCATCATCCCCACCCAGAGGTGAGGACAAGGTCTGGGGGTGCTGGGTGGCTTCAGACCTTCCACGGGTCCAAGCTATCTGCTTCAAGAGGGCATCGAAAGGTAACTCATAGACTTACCGCCCCCGCCCCCCGACTTTTGCAGGAGGGAGCGCTCTCCCCTCCTCTGGGAGGCTGGAGACTCGGGGACAGAAGATGCGCTGGAGGGAAGAGAACGGAGCGTCGGACACCAGAAAAACTTTGGGGGATTCGGGGTGAGAAAGAAGGCGTGAAGAGAGAAGGGAGGCTCAGCAGGGGAGGAGGGGCGGGGGCGGGGGCGGGAGCGGGAGGAGTCACTGCGCCGCGGCCGCCCCTCCCCGCCCTCCACTCGGCGGCCCCGGGTCTTCCTCCCCCTCCTCCTCCCCCTCCTCCTCCCCCTCCTCTTCCTCCGCCTCCTGGTGTGGCTGGCTGCGGCCAGAATCGGAGCCCCAACCGCGCTGCCGGTGAGTGACCAGCCCCAGGGGACAGAGACGGGAGGCCTGGGACCCCCCCTCTCCAGGGTGGGGCCTCCCGCCGTGTCTGGGAAAGTTTGCGGGCGCCCCGGGACGCGGGCATCTCCAGGGCCGCTCGGCGCCTCCCCATCTCCCCGCGCCCGCCCTGGCCGCCCCCAGGGGCGCCCTGGGGCCCGCAGAGGGATGGCCTCCCGGCAGGGACTCCTCGGCTCCCCTCTGTTCTGAGACTGCTGCTGGGACCGGGGTCCGACTCTAAAGAGAAAACTCAAACAGCAAAAAAAGGAATATCGACTCAGTTCCGAGGGCGGGGGCCGGGGCTCGTTCTCACCCGCGCGCGGCCCCTCGACCTCTCGGACCCGGGCCACCAGCTCTGCGCCCCTCACGCCTCCCTCGGGGTCTCTGTGTCTCTCTCCCGCTCCCGGACTCCCTCCTCCTTCTGACTGCTGTTATTTGGGCTGTTGTCCCTCCCCGCTCCCTGGTACCTCAGCTCGGACCTTAGCCTGTGCCTGCAGCCCGGAGTCCCCTCCTGCCCTGGAAGGCAAGGAGCCAGGCCACGGGGCCACAGCCGCGGGGGCCACCACACTGGCCCAAATATTTCCTGCAGGTATGACCATTCACTGGGTATTGGGGTTGGGTCCCTTGGACCCACAAACTGAACCTCGTGGGTACAGGGAAAAATTAAAATATATTCCTCCTTAGGATTGTACTGCTTCTGTTGGTTTGGCATCTTTTTATTTTTAACCCTTCTAACTGTGCTTTCTTCGAATAATAATGATACTTCATGTAATTAGCGTTTCTAATATCTAAAGACAGAAGAAGGAAGAAAATAAACGGAAGAGAGAGAATGCTTGCTAAAAATACTCATTTTTGACTTCAGTCCACACTCGACTGTTTTCCTGGGAGATAGAAGTTCAGTGTAGCTTGTTTTCAGACTAACCGCAAACACGATTACAGCCTCCTCCAGGCTAGAAGTTTTAATTTGCCTGACATGCAGCACACTGTTTGTTGGTATTCCCAGCCTGGCATTCCCGTCTGCATAGCTCTAGTCTCCCTCCCAACTCCCCCACCCCCACTTTCTTTCTCATAAAAGGGAGCTGTGAAAACAAGGCAATGGGAGAGGCTCAAACGAGCTGGACCACATAATAAAAACAGCCCTACTTATTTTAATCCTGAGGCTATGGACTCCCCTGGACTCTGATTGGGTGGAAGAATTGTTTAGTTCATTTGTGTGGTTTTTCTGTCAGTAGTTATTATGGTTGAATCAGTGTTTCCATGACAGTCTTGCTTCTGTGGGCACGATGGGGAGCCTGTTAATTCTCGGATGGGTCTGGACAGATCAAGTCTGGAGTCTGGAGAGATTTTTCAGGGCTTGACCTGGGCTGATATTGCAAACCTCTGCACACTCACTCAGAACCAGAGCAGCCGGGAGCAGCCTGAGCTGGGGTTTTCTTCCACATGATCTGGGAAGAAAAAGCTCTACCAAGGAGCGAACTGTGTGAGCATGGTTGCTGGGGGATGTTGAATGTTTTACGTTTTTAGGAAGAACACACTTCTCAAAACTTTAGCCATTCCTGTTTCCATACAAACAATAAATGTGGTTGTAACAAATGTAGTAGATCAGATTCTGAACAACCCCTTAAAAAACAGGTCCAAGTATTGAACCATTTGGAAATAAAGATTTTATTTTATTTGAATTCTACTGGAAATAAAAGAGTTTATGTTAAAAAGGATGTAATTCACTTCTCTCCACTGATGCAGTTTGACAGTTCCCCATTGGTATGAATCAGTTAGGTTTTATTGTGGTCTCAAAACATCATTAAGGCAGGGCACAACATCATTAAGGCAGGGCACGGGGTTCATGCCTATAATCCCAGCATTTTGGGAGGCCGGGGCGGGCAGATCACTTGAGGTCAGGAGTTCGAGACCAGCCTGGCCAACCTGATGAAACCCCGTCTCTATTAAAAATACAAAAGCTAGCTGGGCCAGGTGGCGGGAACCTGTAATTCCCAGCTACTTGGGAGGTTGAGGCGGAAGAATCGTTTGAACCTGGGAGGCGGAGGTTGCAGTGAGCCGAGATTACACCACTGCACTCCATCCTGGGCGACACAGCAAGACTCTGTCTAAATAAATAAATAAATAAATAAATAAATAAATAAATAAATAATTGATAGGCAAGTGTTGTGACTGTGACTTCCATTCAAAAAGTAAGTCCAAAAAAAAAAAAAAACAACAAAAGTAAGTCCATAAATTCTGAGCTTGTTTGGCCCTGTTGCTTAGAAAAACAATGTACTGTGCTCAGATAAAAATCTTCAGTCTCTTCCTCTTCCTGAGAATTTTTAATAGTGCATTTAATATCCTGTAAGTCAACCTTATACTGTTTACAGAAAAGTTGCCTTTCTGCCTTGTCCAGCTTTTGCACTATCTCATGAAATATTGTTAGACTGGATGGTTTGCCACGGGTACAAGAGTCTGCCCAGCAGCCCGAGGAGAGGCTGGGGTTGTAATGAAGGCCACGGGGGCCTGGACCTAAGGAGCAGGTGGTCTGGATGGTGAGATGAAGGCTACATCCCCAGACAGCCACAGAAAGCAGCCACTGATCACCTGGACAGGTCAGATGAGTTGGAAATATCAATACATGAAGTGTGGGACCAGTGGAGAGCAAGGAAGGCAGAGGTGGTTAAGAAGCAAAATGATACAAATAAATAAAAAAGGAAAAGGCCAGGCACAGTGGCTCATGCCTGTGAAGTGCTAGGTGTGGTGATTCATGCCTGTAACCCTAGCACTGTGGGAAGTGGAGGCCAGAGGATCACTTGAGGCTAGGAGTTAAGACCAGACTGGGCAACAAAGTGAGACCCCATCTCTTAAAAAAAAAGATGGGCCGGGCGCGGTGGCTTCCGCTTGTAATCCCAGCACTTGGGGAGGCCAAGGCAGGCAGATCATGAAGTCAGGAGTTCCAGACCAGCCTGGCCAACATAGTGAAACCCCGTCTCTACTAAAAACACAAAAATTAGGTGGGCATGGTGGCGGGCACCTATAATCCCACCTACTCGGGAGGCTGAGGCAGGAGAATCACTTGAACCTGGGAGGCGGAGGTTGCAGTGAGCCGACTGCACCACTGCACTTCAGCCTGGGCGACAGAGCGAGACTCCGTCTCAGAAAAGAAAAGAAAAAAAAAGATGTAGGCCAGGTTCAGTGGCTCATACCTGTAATCCCAACATTTTGGGAGGCCACGGCAGGTGGATCGCCTGAGGTCAGAAGTTCGATACCAGCCTGGCCAACATGATGAAAACCTGTCTCTACTAAAAATATAGAAAATTAGCTGGGTGTGGTGGCAGGCACCTATAATGTCAGCTACTCGGGAGGCTGAAGCAGGTTGCAGGGAGCCAAGATTGTGCCACTGCACTGGAGCCTGGGCAACAAGAGCAAAACTCCGTCTCAAAAAAAAAAAAAAAAAAAAGAGATAAAAGATGTAAAATAACCCAAAGGAATACTCTGTGACCTTTTAAAATCATGTTGTATAAGAATGTTGAATTACACAGGACTTTTTTTTTTTTTTTTTTTGAGACAAAGTTTTGCTCTCGTTGCCCAGGCTGGAGTGCAATGGCGTGATCTCAGCTTATCGCAACCTCCACCTCCTGGGTTCAAGCGATTCTCCTGCCTCAGCCACCCGAGTACCTGGGATTACAGGCATGTGCCACCATGCCTGGCTAATTTTGTATTTTTAGTAGAGATGGGGTTTCTCCATGTTGGTCAGGCTGGTTTCGAACTCCTGATCTCAGGTGATCCGCCAGCCTCAGCCTCCCAAAGTGTCAGGATTATAGGTGTGAGCCACTGTGCCTGGCCTGGGGTTAATTTTTGAAAGCAAGTTATAAAATGGAAAGCACTATAATTTTACTCTTTGAAAATACATCGAGAAAATACTGGAATTATGTGCATCAAAATGGATGGTGAGAGTATAGCTGTTTTTAAATTTTCTTTGTACTTGTATTTCTCAACTTTTATAGTAATAATAGCTAACATTTACTGAGAACTAAGCACTTACATATGGTATTTTATTCGAAAACTCTTTGAGGTAAATATTACTATTATTTTCATTATGGAGTTTCAGAAACTAGAACCAGAAGGGTAACTCATCCATGGTCACACAGCCACTAAGTGCTGGAATCAAGTGTTGAATTCAGGTCGGTGGCTAAAGTCTATGCATCTCTGTCACTACTGTCTACCATCTCCCTGCACATGTATTATTATTATTTTAATTATAAGGAATAAGTAGAAAAGGAAAGGGAAAATGTTTCATGCTTTAGTAAGAACTGATGGGCACAGTGGCTCATGCCTATAATCTCAGCACTTTGGGAGGCTGAGGTGGAAGGATCACTTGAGCCCAGGGGTTGAAGACTAAGTGGCACAAATTAGTCAGGCATGGTTGCACATGCCTGAGTCCCAAGTACTCAGGAGGCTGAGCTGGGAGGATCACCTGAGCCTAGGAGATGGAGGCTTCAGTGAGCTATGTCACGCTACTGCACTCCAGCCTCGGCAACAGAGCGAGACCCTGTCTCCTAAGAGGGGGTGAGGAGGGAGAAAAACAAAAACAAAAACACACTGATACGTAAAATGGAAAATGCCTCCCATCTCTTCCAGCTCCGCCAGTCACTTCTCTTTAGAAGTCTTTGGTAACTGCTCCAGATTTAGAGGTAGCTCACCCCTTCCTTGCAAACCAGCTCCACTCACAAGAAGAATCCCGAATTCCATGGAGGCTTCCTGGCCAGCCTGGAATTCCAGGTACCTTATGGGATTCTGGAGCAGTCCTCAGTACAGGGCAAGATTTTTAAAGTAGATCAGGCAAATTATGTCTTCAGAGCTCTGCAGATTACAGGGTGTCATCATTCTTTGCAGCGTCAGGAGAGTGTGATAGGTAGAAAGACCCAGGGAAAGCACCGAGGCTCAAATGTACCTGTGTGTTACATGGAATGCCAGGGGAAATAAAGGGTTTACCATGGAATAAGAAAGAGAAAAAAAAAACCTCATTGCTGGATGCTTATTACTATGAACACACAACAATAAATTATCTTTCGAAAGCTTGCCTATGTGGGTGATCCCATGCATTGGTGAGTTTGACTGATTGGGTGAGGTGGAAATATTTAGTGTGAGTGATTCTGGGGAGAGCTCTGGGAAAAAATGCCCACATCCTGTACTACCATGTCCCCTCACAGGCAAGCAGCTCCTGGGATCACTCATCCATTCTCTTTGTGGAAGGTACCTTGAGATCCCCAGAAGGATCAGCATTCTTAGAGCCCCTGGCCCATCACATAACAAACATGCCTTAAGAAGAAGGCTTTCAGCTGGGCGCAGTGGCTCATGCCTGTAATCTCAGCACTTTGGGAGGCCGACGTGGGGGGATCACCTGAGGTCAGGACAAGAAGTCTGATCACAAATGATTGTCATTTTATTATAATCTGCCTTCTCCCTGGTAGCTTTTAAAATTTTCTCTAAAATGTTCCACAGGTATGTCTAGGTATGGATTTAGAAAATTTTATCCTACCCAGCAGTCAGTGAGCATTTGTGATTACACAAATTTGTGTAGCTGGGCACGGTGGTTCATGCCTGTAATCCCAGCACTTTGGGAGGCTGAGGCGGGCTGATCGCTTGAGCTCAGGAGTTTGAGAACAGCCTGGGCAACAAGGATGAGACCCTGCCTCTACAAAAAATATAAAAATTAGCTGGGCATGGTGGTGTGCCCTGTGGTCCCAGCTACTTGGGAGGCTGAGATGGGAGGATCACTTGAGCTGGGGAGGCAGAGGTTCCAATGAGCTGAGATCAGGCCACTGCACTCCAGCCTGGGTGACAGAGCGACACTCTGTCTCAAAAAATAAATCAAAAAACCTAAAAACCAAATTTGTGAGGATTTGTGATTACCCAGTGAGCTGTGTGACCTTGGGCAAGTTGCCAAGTTCTCTCAGTCTCCTCATCTATGAAATATAAATAATGATAGTATCTATTACAAAGATACTGTGAAGAGATAGTGCATGAAAATGTCAGAATACGCCAGGTGTGGTGGCTCACGCTTGTAATCCCAGCACTTTGGGAGGCCAAGGTGGGCAGATCACCTGAGGTTAAAAGTTCGAGACCAGCCTGGCCAACATGGTAAAACCCCATCTTTACTAAAAATACAAAAATTAGCCGAGTGTGGTGGTGGGTGCCTATAATCCCAGCTACTCGGGAGGTTGATGCAGGAGAATAGCTTGAACCTGGGAGGCGGAGGTTGCAGTGAGCTGAGATCGTGCCATTGCACTCCAGCCTGGGTGACAGAGTGAGATGCCATCTTAAAAAAAAAAAAAAAAAAAAAAAAGTTAGAATAGTACCTGCTATATAAGGAAGAACGCAAAAATTGTTAGCTATTATTACTTTTTTATTTTTTCAGAATTTCTGGGCCATCTTGGATTTGACCAATTTATATAAACGTTAGTTTGTCTAGTTGCACACACACAGAAAATCCTGTTGAGATTCTCTTTGAAATTGCATTCAATTAATACTGACATCTTTACAGTGCTGGCTTTTCCTATCTTCTCCTTTTATTCAGGTGAATGATTACTGGTGATTTCCCCTATAAATGTCTTCTACAACTTTTGCTGTATTTATATCTTATAGATTTGGTTGATATTTTAAACAATATCTTTTGTCCTAGTATATTCTCTAGTTTACTTGCTGGCCCATAGAAAGAAACATTGCTGATTTTTGAATTTTGTTTTTTTACCCAGCATCCCAGCTGATTCTCTTATTAGTTCTAATAGTCTGCATATAGATAATTCTTGAATTTTCTATATAGACAATCATAAAACAACGATAATTTATCTTTTCCATTTCTGTGACTCCTACATCTTTTTCTTACCATACTGCATTGGGGTAGATGGTCCAGTACAGTGTTCAATAGAACTGTGATGACAGGCACCCTTGCCTTGTCTTCTTACTGTCTTTAACTTTAACTGCTCTTAAAGTTTCTCCATTAAGCGTGAAGTTTGCTTAAGGTTTCAGTAGATAGTCTTTATTAAACTAAGAACTTTGCTCTATTCTTAATATTTTTTAACAAGGTAAAAATTATATCATGACAGTATATATTTTACTTAATGCTTTAATGTCTTTTTCATAACTATATGAGATGATCATTTTTTCTTGATATTACATTGTGATAAGATGAGCGTATTAATTGTGTTGAAACATGTACATAAATATACATATACAGGTATATTATTCTGTAGGGTATCGGTTGCTAGTATTTTACTTTGGATTTTTGCAAATGTTCATAAGTGAAGTTGTTCTAGAATTTTCTTTTTAAAATATTGGTCTGGCTGGGTGTGGTGGCTCATGCCTGTAATTCCAGCCCTTTGGGAGGCCGAGGCGAGCTGATCAACTGAGGTCAGGAGTTCAAGACCAGCCTGGCCAACATGGCGAAACCCTATCTCTACTAAAAATGCCAAAAATTAGCTGGGCGTGGTGACATGCACCTGTAATCCCAGCTACTCGGGAGGCTGAGGCACGAAAATCACTTGAACCCGGGAGGTGGAGATTGCAGTGTGCTGAGATTGCACCACTGCCCTCCAGACTGGGCGACAGAGCAAGACTTCATCTCAAAAAAAAAAAAAGAAAAAAAAAGGAAAAAAAAAGGAAATTGTTCTTATATTGTTTGGTATCAAGCTTGTATTGGCCCTATAAAGTAATCATAAGTATATGTCTTTCTTTATCTTTTTTTTTTCGAGACAGAGTCTTCCTGTTTCCCAGGCTAGAGTGCGGTGGCATGATCTTGGCTCACTGCAACCTCCGACTCCCGGGTTCAAGCAATTCTCCTGCCTCAGCCTCCTTAGTAGCTGGGATTACAGGCACGCGCCACCACGTGGGCCCAGCTAATTTTTTGTATTTTTAGTAGAGATGGAATTTCACCGTGTTAGCCAGGATGGTCTTGAACTCCTGCTCTCATGATATCCCCTCCTCGGCCTCCCAAAGTGCTGGGATTACAGGCATGAGCCACCGTGCCTGGCTGGCATATATGTTTTTCTTAACTAGTTTGTAAGAGATAAAGATTATCTGTTTCTTAAAATTTGGTAAAACTCATTACGAAATCATCTGAACCACTTATAAAGGGCATATGGGTCAAGTTTTTGGTGATTCAGTTTCATAAATGATTAGTGATGAATTTAGGCTTTCTATTCCTTCTTGATTCAGTTTTGATAATTTAGTTTAGATGATCCATTCATGTGTTCTTGGGCTTCTTAGCATAGTTATTCGTAATTTTCTCTTAGGGTTTTATAAATATTGCCTCTATCTTTTTTGTTTTTTAATTTTTTTATTACCTTTCCTATGGTGCTGAGAATCTAGCTTATATTTCTTATTTATTTATTTAAGACAGAGTCTCACTCTGTTGCCCAGGCTGGAGTGAGTCATGCGATCTCGGCTCACTGCAACCTCTACTTCCAGGGTTCAAACAATTCTGTTGCCTCAGCCTCCCGAGTTGCTGGGATTACAGGTGTGCGCCACCACACCCAGCTATTTTTTTTTTTTTTTTTTTTTTTTTTATATTTTCTGTAGAGATGCAGTTTTGCCATGTTGGCCAGGCTGGTCTCGAACTTCTGGCCTCAAGTGATCCGCCTGCCGCGGCCTCCCAAAATACTTGGATTATAGGGATGAGCCACTGCTCTCGGCCTATTTATTGATTTTTTAGAGATGGGATCTTGCTGTGTCACCCACTGCTGGAGTGCAGCGGCACCATCATAGCTCACTGCAGCCTCAAACTCCTGGGCTCAAGCTATCCTCTTGCCTCAGCCTCCCTAGTAGCTGAGACTACAGGTGCGCACCACTATGCCCAGCAAAGTTTTGTATTTTTTGTAGAGATGGGGTCTTGCTATGTTGACCAGACTGGTCTGAAACTCCTGTCCTCAGGTGATCCTCTTGCCTCAGTCTTTGAAAGTGTTGGGATTACAGGCATGAGCCACCACTCCTTGCCCTTTTTTTATTCTTAATATTGTTTATTTGTGCCAACTCTCTTTTTCTTTATTAATATAGATGTCTACTACTTAATCTTTTCAAATAAACAGCTTGTTCTTATCTATATTTTTGTTTTTCATTATTTTTACCTTTATCTACATTTCTTCTGTTTCTAGCTACTTGAATTCATGCCTAGCTTACTTTTTGTTTTTCAGTAAATTTATTTAAATCTATAAATTTACCTCTAAATACTGCTTTAGCTACATCATGCAAGTTTTAACCCATGTGTGGTGTTATGATATATGTTTTCTTTTTTGAGATGGGATGGAGTCTCGCTCTGTCACCCAGGCTGGAGTGCAGTGGTGTGATCTTGGCTCACTGCAACCTCTGCCTCCTGGGTTCAAGCGATCTTCCTGCCTCAGCCTCCTCAGTAGCTGGGACTACAGGGGCATGCCAGCACACCAGGCTAATTTTTGTATTTTTAGTAGAAACTAAAGTTCCTGGGCTCAAACGATCAATGGGCCTCAGCTTTCTAAAGTGCTGGGATTACAGGCGTGAGCCACTGTATACATTTAACCTTATTTCTTGCATGTACTACACGCCTGATTTCAAATTTTATAGGCCACTCATTTTCTACTCTTTGCCCAAGCAGATGACAAGGTTTCTGGCTGTTTTCTCAGGTTAGTAAATGATGTTCCTCTAGACCTATTTCACATATGGAGCAGCTTTTTATGACCTCCAGCTTTTTGTAAGTGCCTCACTAACAGCTCATGGTGTAAGGTGACCATCTCCTGGACCCCCTCACTGCATGTATGGTCATTAAAGCCCCAGCTCGCAGGTATTTAGGCCTCTTGCTGCGGTGGATTTCTCTATGAGCCCCTTGGCCTCAGCTTCCATACATTGACCTAACTTCCACTTCCCTCTGTTTCTGGTACCTGGAGATTTCTACTTTATCTAGGTTTTAGATGATATTTTTGTTATCATATTTTTGTTCAGTGTTTTGAAGTGTTTGGATGGGAGGATGTGGTGTTATGATATATACTAGTTTTTATCCATGGTTCCTGGCTCATAACACCCCACAGCCCTTGTTACAGTTTTTGTTGTTATAATACTGGGTGTGTTAGGCCTCAGAGGCAGCCCTCTGACCTTCTGCCCTCCTTTCACTTACCCCAAGGCAGGACTCTAATGTTCCGCCTGTGAGAGTGTTGATGCACCCAATGCCCTGGAGGAAGGAATGCTGACATTGTGAAGCTTCCATAAAAACCCAGGAGGACCGGGTTGATGGAGCTTCTGAATAGCTGAACACAGGGAGGTTCCTGGAGGATGGTGCACCCAGGCAGAGCATGGAAGGGCTGTGCCCCTTTCCTCATACTGCCCTACACATCCGCTTATCTGTATCTTTCGCAGTATTCTTTATAGTAAACCAGTAAACCTAAGTAACTTTCCCTGAGTTCTGTGAGCTGCTCCAGCAAATTCGCTGAACCCAAAGACGGCGCTCTTGAGCCTCAACTTGAAGTGGGTCAGTCAGAAGTTCCTGAGGCTCAGACTTGTGACTGGCATGTGGGGAGGGGCAGTCTTGGGAACTAGCCCTCAGCCTATGGGATCTGACACTATCTCAGAGTAGATAGTTCATTAGAGGACACCCAGCTGGTGTCTGTTGCTTGGTGTATTTGGAAAAAGCCCCCACACATTTGGTCACAAGAAGTCTTCTGTGTTGGTGATTATTATGGTGTGAGAGTGGAGGAAAAACATGGTTAGAGAGTTTTTCCTATACAGAGGGATATTTCTACCCAATCCGTCATACTGACTGAGGTTCTTAACTCCTAATTAACTTAATTAAATTAACTCCTAATTTAAAAGTTTATTTTGGGCCGGGCACAGTGGCTCACGCCTGTAATCCCAGAACTTTGGGAGGCTGAGGCGGGCAGATAGCTTGAGGTTGGGGAGTTCAAGACCAGCCTGGCCAACATGGTGAAACCCTGTCTCTACTAAAAATACAAAAATTAGCTGGGCATGGTGTTGTATGACTATAATCCCAGCACTCAGGAGGCTGAGGCAGGACAGTCACTTGAACCTAAGCTGGGGCGGAGGTTGAAGTGAGCTGAGATCCTGCTACTGCATCCCAGCCTGGGAGACAGTGTGAGACTCCATCTCAAAAAAAAAAAATTATTTTCTTATATGTAAAATAGAATACAGCGAAGTCGGCCGGGTGCAGTGGCTCACACCTGTAATCCCAGCACTCTGGGAGGCTGAGGCAGGCGGATCACTTGACATCAAGAGTTCAAAACCAGCCTGACCAACATGGTGAAACCCCATCTCTACTAAAAAAAAAAAAAAAAAAAAATACAAAATTAGTCGGGCATGGTGGTGCACGCCTGTAGTCCCAGCTACTTGGGAGGCTGAGGCAGGAGAATCACTTGAACCTAGGAGATGGAGGTTATAGTGAGCCGAGATTGCACCATTGCACTCCATCCTGGGTGACAAGAGTGAAACTTCGTCTCAAAAAAAAAAAAAAAAAAAAAAAACCACACAAAAAAACAGAATACAGCAAAGTAAATACATGTACATTGGCTCCTGCATGTGAAATCTCCTGCTACTAAGAGAATGCGGGAGAGAAGAGGTCTGAATAAATAATACCGTGTGCCACTGCCACCATCTGGAACCCTGCACGCTTACTGCGGTGTCTCACTCTCATCTGGCCAATGTTTTCAGTCCAGAAAAGATCTGAATTTCCCAACCATGCTGCTCCAGTCCCTAAATGCTGTCCTTTAGATTCTCTATAGTAGATCAAAACCTCATGCTCAACTAGCATCTTAACTCACATCTATGTTGAAAAGAAAAAACATGTGGAAAAGTTCCTGTTGTCCTTGGATATGAAGACGATGTTCTGTTTCTGCTGGGCATGCATGTGTACGTGTGTCTCTAACAGTGCAGAGGTTTACAGTGAGCAATTGATTCTTTACTTGTGGCTGATTCCATCTCTGGGAATGTTGATCCATATCAGTGGAGCCTATTTATAATGCTGAAAGCAGTCTACACAAAGATATTTTCCCCATAGTCATTGGCCTTCTCCTCTGGCCCTTTTAAGAGCTTTATCAGTGTCCTTCTATCAGTGACAATGGGAAAGAAATGGGCTTTGGAGTCAAGCAGATCTGGGTTTGAATCTAAGCTTTGCCACTAATTAGATATGTGGCCTTTGGCAAGTTACTTAACACCTCTGAGTCTAAATTGTCTTCTTTATAAAACAGTAATAACAAAATCCACCTCAAAAGGTTGTTCTGAAGATCAAGTGAGATAACTGGAAATAATATAACCTTATTATAAGCATTATGTTAATGCTCACAAATGTTAGTTTCCTCCCATTATCTCCACTCTCCTATTCTTATTCTTTCAAAGTAGAATTGTGCTTCAGGAGGTCTAATCAGGCTAGGCATGGTGGCTCAAGCCTATAATTCCAGCACTTTGGGAGGCCGAGGTGGGTGGATCACTTGAGGCCAGGAGCTCAAGACCAGCCTGGCCAACATGGCAAAACCCCATCTCTACAAAAATACAAAAATTAGCCAGACGTGGTGGCACATGCGTGTAATCCCAGCTACTCAGGAGGCTGAGGCACAAGGATTGCTTGAGCCGGGGAGGTTGAGGTTGCAGTGAGCCAATATTGCACCAAGGCACTCCCGCCTGGACAACAGAGTGAGACTCTGTCTCAAAAAAAAAAGAAGGTCTAATCAGAGACACTTTTGGGGAGTGGCCGTGGTTACTCCTAATATCTTGACTTTTTTTTTTTTTTTTTTTTTGAGATAGAGTCTCACTTTATTGCCCAGGCTGGAGTGCAGTGGCATGATCTCCACTCACTGTAACCTCTGCTTCCTGGGTTTAAGCGATTCTCCTGCTTCAGCCTCCTGAGTAGCTGGGATTACAGGCACCTGCTACCATGCCCAGCTAATTTTTGTATTTCTAGTAGAGATGGGGTTTCACCATGTTGGCCAGGCTGATCTCAAACTCCTGACGTCAGGTGATCCGCCTGCCTCGGCCTCCCAAAGTGCTGGGATTACATGTGTGAACCATTGCACCCGGCCATATCTTGATATTTTTGGTAATCAATTTAGATTTATTTTGGGCGAATTTCCTGAAACTTTTTGGACAGCCAGTTTATTTTGCTTCTGTACCAGCTGTTATAGCCCTCCCAGCCTATTGTTGGATCTTTCTGTAGAGTAGCTATGTTGTTACTTAAGAACCATGTCCCTCTTAACCAGAAATATCTCTTTGCCTTATTTGTTAATGCTCCTGCCTTTTAGGAGATAAAAACTCTTTATTTCATTTTTAAAGATAACTTTTTTTTTTTTTTTTTTTTGAGCTGGAGTCTTGCTCTATCACCCAGGCTGGAGTGCAGTGGTGGGATCTCGGCTCACTGCAACCTTTGCCTCCTGGGTTCAAGCAATTTTCCTGGCTCAGCCTCCCAAGTAGCTGGGACTATAGGCATACACCACCATGCCTAGCTAATGTTTGTATTTTTAGTAGAGATGGGGTTTCTCCATGTTGACCAGGCTGGTTTTGAACTCCTAGCCTCAGGTGATCCGCCTGCCTCAGCCCCTCAAAGTTTTGGGATTACAGGCGTGAGCCACCACTCCCGACAACGATAACATTTTAAATGAAAAGACCCCAGAGAGACTATGTAACATGTAAATATAAGCTAGATCCACTTCTGGGACTAGGTTTTCCCAGGAGGGATCATGAAGTCCCCAAGTGATTGAGGAGTAGGTGGGGGTAGGGAATCACCAAAGGGGTGGCTGGAGGAGATAGAAGAACTGAAGGTATTTTTTTGAGAATTTTACAAGACCTAAAATCTGCCTGTTTCACAACAGTCATTTATCTGGGCCCTGTGGAATCTGTATTTGGCTCAGAACATGTTGCTTTTTGCAAGTATCTCATCAGAAATAATAATAATGATGATAGCTATGACTATTCTTTTTTTTCTTCTCTGGATTTTGTGTGTGTGTGTGTGTCTGTCTGTCTAGACCTCTGATCATGACTTCTTAAGGAGAGGAAAAGACTATCATGAAAATAAAACGTAATTGGAATTATGGATTTGCCTTCATGTAAATATCTGTGGCTCAGAGCACAAAAATAGCTTTTCCATTGCAGAGCTAAGTCAGGAGTTTCATGAGAAATTGAGCATTGATGATCTAATTTAAAACAGCTATGGCCCAGAAATTCAGAGAAAGGGCTGACACATTGGCCTCTGTTTATACCTTTGAATATTTTCTTCCTAGCTTATGGTAACTCATATTCAGGGACAGTTTGGAGGGATGATAAGGCCATAAGTTTTTTTGGTTTGTTTTCGTTTTTTGTTTTGTTTTGTTTTTTTGAGACAGAGTCTTGCTCTGTTGCTTAGGCTGCAGTGAAATGGCATGATCTTGGCTCACTGCAACCTCTGCCTCCCAGGTTCAAGCGATCCTCCTGCTTCAGCCTCCCGAGTAGCTGGGATTACAGGCACCCACCACCATGCCTGGCTAGTTTTTGTATTTTTCGTAGAAACAGGGGTTTCACCGTGCTGGCCAGGCTTGTCTTGAACTCCTGACCTCAAGTGATCCACCTGCCTTGGCCTCCCAAAGTGCTGGGATTACAGGCGTGAGCCACTGAGCCCGGCCATAAGGTTTGATGCTACAAACCTTGTTTTTGTTGGCATTGGTTTAATGTTAACACGAACGTAGAGAAAAATTTTAATCTCAATCCTTTGCAACCAGGAATCCCTCCTAGTGTAGCTCCAGGCCTGTTGCTCATTTGTGGCTTGAGGCAGAGCCTTATACATTTTGTGAAACTCCCGGTGACTCTTGTTAGTCTTGGTTTCAGCAGAGGGTGCCTAATTGAGGTCATTCTCAGCAGCACACTGGTGGTCAGGTGCTCCTGATTTTCAGAAAAAATTACCTTGTTTAAAAAAATGTGATCAGGCTTTCCTGGGAATTGTCTGATAGGCTTGGACTTGCCTAGGTCAACATTTTTATTCGGTAAGGCAGGAAATTGTTGTTTTAGGCATCTGACATCATCTTTATCAATCACCTGACTATAAACTCCAAGTGAGAATGGCTTTATAACACATGTGATGGGGTTTCGCCAGCTTTCAACAGCCCCTGCTTGTCGGTATTGGCCTCCTCTGCACCCACATATTCCCATCTCTGCCAGATGTTCTGACTTAACTGCTCACATGTGTGCAACCACACGGGCGCGCACAGACCCCGGCCAGACATGTGTCCCTGCTACAAACTCCTGCCCCTAGCGGCTGGCTTGCTGTCTGTCTAACCAGAGGGGCCATCTTTCCATGATTCTTTCGAGGGCTGCCTCAGTCACTCTCTGCCTTTGGAGACGGAGACACAGAATCTCCTCACCAGACAGGCGCTGGCTCCTTTAGTGGTTTCCTCATCTGCCTGTGCTCCTCACTCTCCATGGCTATGTATCACCTAGTTCCTTTAACCTTATCCTTCCTGGAACTTTTCTGTTTGTCTTCTGATTTGTTACTTTGCTTGGACTTGACTTCTCAGTCCTTCCCAGCACTGACCTCACTTTGTTTAGGACTTCTCTACCTCCACCCCTTTGTGATGTATGTGGCTCAGGCATTCAGCCCCCACTTAATGAGCAGCTGCTCTGTTTCAGGTACCTACATATCACAATTGGTCATGATGCTAAGGCTGACATTACTTTCTGGGGCCACCAAGTCACTGTGGAGAATGATGAGGGTGATGTTGCAGTTCTGCAAAGCTTTGGGGAAATTTCCCCATGCTGTGGGATATGTATATGAAAAACAATTCTTTCTCTCCTCTTATATTTCATACTTAAAAAATAAATGTGTAGGGGCAGAGTTGTCAGGTTTCAACCCTCATGTCTTACCTGAGTTCCTGCCATAGCCTCCTATCTGACATTCTTGCCATTGGCCTTGCCATCTTCCGGTCTGTCCTTCACTCTTTCTAAAATTCTGATTTGACCCTGTTTATTGTCTCTTTTAAGTCTTTTCACTGCATCCTCATTTTCTTTTGGATAAAATCAAGCTCTATCGTGAGACAGAATGGCTTCTTCGACCTCACTTGCCTGTAGTTCTCTCCCTGTGTCACCTGCATTAACTCCTGGCTCCAGCTTGGCTGTCTCCCTGCAGTCAGGCTCTCTCCTGCCTCCCTGTCTTTGCACACACACTCAGCTCTGTGCACTCTGTTCTGCCTGAGCATATCAGCCTTCAAGATTTAGCTCTGAAGCTCATGTTTCCATGAGGTGTTTGGAGTTCTCCAGGACCTGCATCTTTGTCCCCCCATCACAGTTATGGACACTTGCCACCATCATTCCTGCCAATCTTGATTAGGCATCTGGCTTTGTGTCCCACAGAACACTGGATTTGTCTTTGTCACATGAACAAAGTACTTCAGAATTGTCTCCTAGACAGAAAATGCCCTAAGCTAAAGGACTATGATGTGTTTTTACTTGCAGCAGTGTATAGCATAGTTTTAAGAGTTGTCAGTTATTGCTATTGCTGTTGAATGAATGCATGGAAGAATTATTATTTTTAGAGATGGGGTGTCTTGCTATGTTGCCCAGTCTGGTCTCAAACTCCTGGCCTCAAGCAATCTTCCTGCTTTGGCCTCCCAAAATGTGGGGATTACAGGTATGAGCTGCTGTGCCTGGCTATACAAGAATCAATTCACACACACCTTTCACCACATTGCATGAACACACACCAAGACATAGATCCCAATGGGCAGCTTACTTCAAATCTTACTGAGAATATTTACAAAGCACATAGTAGGTGCTTAGTGAGTTTCTGTTGAGTCAAATAAAGAATGAATGCACATCCACACAAACTATGGAAAATATACTCAGAAGAGAGGCATAATGTAACCTTACTTCCTTTTAACTACAGAAAGAATATGGGGCTGGAAAATAAGATTAGAGCTCATGTTTATCTTCTCAGCTATGTTACTCCAAATGAATCAGTTGATCTCTCTGGACTCTTATTTCCTCATCTCTCAAATGAAATGTTAGAAAAGATAATATTTAATGCCCATTGAACAGTCTAACTTCAATCATTATTAGGCTTAAAGTCAAATGACCGGTGCTTTACATTAAGTGGCATGAATTTGGGACTCTGATTTTTAGGCCTCACCATGGAGTGTGTTCATGACAGGCCCTTAGCACTGGGCAGAGCTGCAAAGATGAGACCAAGAGATGGACCAGAGTTCGCCTAAAGTGAGGCAGGAGGCCACAACCTAGTTGTTAAGCAAACATAGAGCTACGAGGCATGGCCAGGATGAGAAGCCCTGAGGCGGGGATAGCAGTCAGTGTCCCATGGTCGTGCGGGGTCAAAGCTGGCCTGAGATCACCAGGAAACAAGTGTGGAAGCAGGCTGGGCAGTGTGCTTTCAGGGATATGCTGAAAATGTGCCCTGCTCTCAGGGAAGACTTCCAGAAATCTCTGTGAAAGCCATCAATGCCAGCTGTTTGTCTCAAGTTATCTGAAGGGTGGTCAAGTGAAAAGTGTTTAGATTTAGTTGATGTCTCCCGGAGCATAGATAGAAGCCGGGAGGAGGTTAATTTGCGGTTAATAGGAAGGAGAAAAGTTTAATCTTGTCTACATGATAATGAGATGAACTCACTTATACAGTAATGAGGTCTCCTTCATTGGAAGAGTTTACGCAGCACAGGGTAATTCCTCATCAGGAACATTGTATTAGGGATTTCTGAATTGTGAGCATTGGGCTAGATGCGTTTTAAAGTTTTTTTCTGCTTCTCATGTCCTTACCAAATCAAGTCTAGGTAAACACTTTCAGATCCCATAGCCCTTCCTTTTGTGAAATGATCTCAGCATGCCCTGATGTCCTGGTGACCAGCCTTTGGTAACTCTTTAGTCTTTGAATGTCCCCCTTAAAGTGGAGCTCCTTGAATGGGACCTCATGTGCCAGGATGTGGCTTGGCCAGGGCCTTTCTAGGGACATGACACAATTTTTACAGGTAGTGGACTTCATTTATTATTTCCTCATCTATTTTCTCGCTCTGACCTGAGCTGTAAAAGCACATAGCATTGAGCCTTGGCTGCTTCTGCTACATGCTTATGCCACCTCAGGTGATGGGAGACTTCCTTTCCTTCCATTCCACTTTTGTCTGCTGGGGACCCTGGGGTAAATGTAATCTAGACAGTGACTCTGAGGCTCTGTACTGGGAACTTCCATGGCATTCCATTCTTGCTTTCTCAAGAGCCTCATACTTTATGCCAAATGCTTGCTTTCTCTGTCTTTTGTTTCCTTTCTTCTTTCATTTTTCTTTTTTTTTTTCTTTTTTTTCTTGAGACAGGTCTCCCTCTGTTGCCCAGGCTGGAGTGCAGTGGCGTGATCTCGGCTCACTGAAGCCTCCACCTCCCGAGTTCAAGTGATTCTCAAGCCCCAGTCTCCAGAGTAACTGGGATTACAGGCGTGCACCAGCATGCCTGCCTAATTTTTGCATTTTTAGTAGATGTGGGGGTTTCACCATGTTGCCCAGGCTGGTCTTGAACTACTGACCTCAGGTGATCTGCCTGCCTCACCCTCCCAAAGTGCTGGGATTACAGGCGTGAGCCACCATGCCCGGCCTCATTTTTCTTTTTTATCTCTTCCTTCTAAACCCTCCATGCCCACTGAATACTACAACATTTTTACTGCACAGTGTTTTTCTTTTCAAACTCTTGGCCCTCTTGGTATCCGAGTGAATAGGAATGTGGGCGGCTTCTAAGCTCCTTTGTGCACATGAAGAAAAATGCCCAGAGAAGTTAGTGACTTGCTTAATTTACTGGCAGAGTCAATGAGCCCGGAACCCACATTTCTTGATTTCCCTCACCGCCTCTGTCTTGGAGATCACAGTGCATTTGCTAATAGCACTGGAGTCACAAAGAACAGCAAGCTGTTTTCCCTCTGTGTGGTCATTGTACCAAAAGAATTTATCCGGGAAACAATCCCAGGCCTCCATAGACTCAGTAAGACCACACTAAAGTAAACTAAAAAGAGTAACAAGAGCAGAAGAATTTATCAAGTGCTTCCTATTTTTCAAAGAAACTTTCAAGTCCATTGCCTTATATGATGCTCCCTGAAGCACCTTAAGGTAGAAGAACCCGCAGGAGCCTCCTTTTGTAAGTAAAGGTCAAGGATGGAGTCCAGGCCTGGGGTGGGTAGAGGAGGTTGCTGGTCCACAAACCTTCCATGGAACTATGCTTCAGAAAACCAGGGAAAGGGAATGAATGAGTTGTTTCCATCTGGTATCAAAGATGTGGGTGCCCTGAGGACAGACCTAGGGTTCTGGTTTGTCAGTGGTTCAAGAAGCATCCTAGGCCGGGCGCGGTGGCTCACGCCTGTAATCCCAGCACTTTGGGAGGCCAAGAAGGGTGGATCACCTGAGGTCAGGAGTTCAATACCAGCCTGACCAACATGGTGAAACCCCTTCTCTACTAAAAATACAAAAATTACCCGGGTGTGGTGATGGGCTCCTGTAATCCCAGCTACTTGGGAAGCTGAGGCAGGAGAATGGCTTGAACTCAGGGGGACAGAGGTTGCAGCAAGCCAAGATTGTGTCACTGCACTCCAGCCCGGACGACAGAGTGACTCCATCTCAAAAAAAAAAAAAAAAAAAAAAAGAGAAAAGAAAAAGCAGCCTAGGTCCAGGTTTGGAGGTAGGAACCTGGCTGGGGGTGGGTGGGGTGGTGGGACCGACTCTTGTCCTCAACATCAGGCCAGCTCCAGCTGAGCAGTTTGGGAGAATATAAGTCCAGACAGGAGGGAAGAGTACTGGCTTGGGAAACCAGTTGTTAAGACATGGGACAGCAGGGCAGTGGCCCCCTGGGCAGTGAGGTGACTTCTGGGATCTAGTAGATGCTCTAGTTGAGGATTCTGAAGTGTGGAGCAAGACTTGCTCTCACCACATGGGAGTCTTGTCAGAATCTTAGGTTATTCAGTCATTTATTCAGCAGCTATCAACAAGTACTCAGTGAATATAAATATATCTTAAGCATATTTATATACTGGGCGCGGTGGCTCATGCTTGTATTCCCAGCACTTTGAGAGGCTGAGGGGAGTGGATCACCTGAGGTCAGGAGTTTGAGACCAGCCTGATCAACATGGTGAAACCCTCTCTCTGCTAAATACAAAAAATTAGCTGGGCATGGTGGTGCGTGCCTGTAATCCCAGCTACTTGGGAGCCTGAGGCAGGAGAATTGCTTGAACCTAGGAGGCAGAGGTTGTAGTCAGCTGAGATTGCACCATTGCACTCCAGCCTGGGCAACAAGAGTGAAACTCTATCTCAAAAAAAAAAAAAGACAAAAACCCCACATATTTATAGTGTTTCTTATGAGGATATATATGTGTGTGTATATATATATTATATATATATATGTATCTTATATATTTACTCTTTTTAATGCACATAACCAAACCATGGGAATATGTAATATTATTCTCTATTTTATGAATTAGGAAACTGAGGCTCAAGGATGATAACTGGTTAGCTCAAAGTCCAAAGTTCCTGTCTTCTGAATTCTTTCACTGATGTTTATAGCTGCTTTCCACATGTTAAGCAGTTCCTAAATTTCAAGGTGTATGCCTGGAAGAAAATAGAGGAAAACACCTTCAGAGTTATTGCTCAAGGCATTACTTTATCTTTAGGGACTGGAAAACCTAAACACATAACTGAAATTCAACTTGAGTCCTTTTTGTTCAACCTCTAAGTGAGCAATTGTATGGTTGGCATTCACTCTTTTTCTTTTCTTTTTACTTAAAAAAAATTTTTTGTAACTATTTTTTCTTTCTTTTACTGGTTTCTGTATTTATTATTATTATTATTATTTTTTCAACTTTTAGATCATTTTAGATCTAGGGGGGTACATTTGCAGGTTTGTTACCTGGGTGGCATTCACTCTAAGCCAATCAAGAACAACTTCTTCTTAAACCTGGAATTAACATCTATGCTCTGGTGTGTCCTGACTTGTGTCAGGCACCCTAGTTATGTGGCCAAGTGGAACATCGCAACAGGGAGAATGGGTTGGACTATAGATGGGTGTTTCCTGGGTAAATTTGTTATGGGTGAGAGGCTTGGGGACATAGTGCAACAAATCTGAGTCCTCCTGCAGTGAAGGAAGGTCATGCCCCAATGCTTCCAGGGCTGGGGTATGCAATTGAGCTCATAGTTCAAGTTCCCTTCCCTACTTTCCATGGCCTGTGCCATGACCAAGGGCCAAGCCCCTCTGACCCTGCCCCTGCCCCTGGCCTTGTCTTGTTGGCTCAGCTTGATGCCCTAGATACCTTCCTAACCTTCAGATGGTAAAGTCTCTGCCAGCTGTGGCTACCTGCCTGATTCTGGGGACGGGGCGCTTTGATGGAGATCCTGAGCTGTCTGGAAGTGAATTTTTCTCTGACAGAATGTCCTTTTGCTGCTTCCTCTCCCTTTCTTTCCCAGCCAGAAGCAGTTAGTCTCCCGCATTTTCCTTGGCATGGCTCTTGCCTTGCAAGGAGCATGTAAAAAACTCTGGGATGAGTCAGAACCTGGCTGAAGTGTCAGGTACATTTACCAAACATTGATTGGACTCCAGGCCCTCAGCCTATGCCAGGGCAGAGAACCCAGGCATGAATAAGATCCTATCATCCCCTGTGCTGGAGTTGCTCCCAGCCTAGAGACCTGAGGAGACACCCAGCCCACTGTGACAAGTGATGTTGGGAGCTCCAACCCGGATTCCTGGTCAGTCACCAACTTCACCTACTCTGAGGGTTAGTTCCTGGTGTCCTGTGTTTTGGGTGGACTCTCCAGGTCCTGACATCTGCCGTGGGAACCCAGCTCTGCTTTCCATGGCTGCATTGCCTGCTGCTCCAGTGATCTGTTGCTGCAGAGCAGCTACTCCAAAATGTTGAGGTTTTCATCAGCAGATGAATGGATAAACAAAATGGGGCATGTCCATGCAATGGAATATTATTCAGCCTTAAAAAGGAATGAAATATTGATGTAAGCTTCTGTATGGATGGGCCTTGAAGACATAATGCTATGTGAAATAAGCCAGACACAAGAGGACACATACTGTATGATTCCATTTATATGAGGTACTTAGAGTAGACAAATTCATGAAGACAGAAGGTAGAGTGGTGGTTGCAGGGGCTGGAGAGAAGATGAATGAGGACTAAGTGTTTTATGGGTGCAGAGTTTTAGTTTGGAAAGATGAAAAAGTTTTAGAGGTGGATAGTGGTGATGGTTACACAACAATGTGAATGTATTTAATGCCACTAAAGTGTACACTTACAGGCCGGGTGTGGTGGCTCATGCCTGTAATCCCAGCACTTTGGGAGGCCGAGGTGGGCAGGTCTCCTGGGGTCAGGAGTTCGGGACCAGCCTTGCCAACATGGTGAGAGCCCGTCTCTACTAAAAATACAAAAAAAAAAATTTAGCAGGGTATGGTGGCAGGCGCCTGTAATCCCAGCTACTCAGGATGCCAAGGCAGGTGAATCGCTTGAACCCAGGAGGCAGAGGTTGCAGTGAGCTAAGATGGCACCACTGCACTCCAGCCTGGGCAACAGAGTGAGACTCCATCTCAAAAAACAAATAATAATAATAACTAAATAAAAGTGTACACTTACAAATGGTTAAAAGGGTAGATTTTATGTATGTTTTATCACAGAAAACATGTAGAGGTTGAAAATCACAATTTAATATTTTCTCTTCTGGTTCTATGGGTTGACTGGGCTCAGCTGAGTGGTTCTTGCTTGAGGTTTCTCATGTAGTTGCAGCCTGATGGCAAATGGACATCCAAGGTGGTGCCTTGGAGTGGCTGCTCCATGTGGCTTCTCTATCCAGCAAAGTAGCTGGGCTTCTTACATGGCATCTCAGACTCTGACAAGTCAGAAACGGAAGCTTCTGGGTCATTTCAGGGGTATGACTAGAATTGTCACAACATCATGTTTGCTACATTGTATGGTCAGAGCAGTGACAGCGCCCACCAGATCCAAGAGGAGGGGAAACAGAGTCTTCCTCTTGATGGAAGAGGGGCAAGATGACATTTCAGAAGAGCAGGGTATGAAAGATATTGTTGCTGTGCCTTGGAAAACCTCCGGCCTGAAGGCTCAAGAGTTTAGACAGAAAGGCAGCTTCAGGGGGCAAATACCTCTCTGTAGACCCTTCCCTTCCCTTCTCTTCCCTTCCCTTCCCTTCCCTTCCCATCCCGTCCCATCCCCTCCCCTCCGCTCTTCCTCCTCCCTTTCTCTCTCTCTCTCGTTTGTTTTGTTTTGTTTTTTTCCTGTCCTGTCCTGTCCTTTCCTCTTTCCTTTTTTTGAGGTGGAGTTTTGCTCTTGTTTCCCAGGCCAGAGTGCAATGGCATGGTCTCGGCTCACTGCAACCTCTGCCTCCCGGGTTCAAGCGATTCTCCTGCCTCAGCCTCCCAAGTAGCTGGGATTACAGGCACATGCCACCATGCCTGGCTAATTTTTTTATTTTTAGTAGAGACACAGTTTTATCATGTTGGCCAGGCTGGTCTTGAACTCCTGATCTCAAGTGATGCACCTGCCTCGGCCTTCCAAAGTGCTGGGATTACAGGCGTGAGATACCATGACTGGCCTTAGACCCCTTCTTAGGAGAATTGATCCTCGTAGATTGTTTGAGTTTGAAGGGACCTTGGAAACTGCTTGATAGCAGTGACTTGTTCAAACTTACAAAGGCAGAGAGAAGCAGAGTTAGAAGAAAACCTAAATACTGGCTTCATGGTTCCCAGGCCAGGCAAATAGCTGTGGGGACTTCACCCAAAGGACTTCTGTGTGCTGTGAGCAGGAATACAAAGTCTGTTGGAGAGATGGGTGTGGGGAGAGAGCAGAACCCTGGGTGGTGTCCAGTGGAGACCATCCATCACCTTAGAGGTGGTGTGAGCTCCTGGTTGTGCTGGGCTGCATCTGTTGGGAGCTAGTGTGCCTTGCTGAGCTGGGCTGTGCAGAGGCACCTGAGATGACTTGGGCTTCCTGAGGAGGCTGGGTGTTACTCCTTTATTTTATTTTATTTATTTGTTTATTTGTTTTTGAGACAGAGTCTCTCTTTGTCGCCCGAGCTGGAGGGCAATGACACAATCTCGGCTCACTGCAACCTCCACCTCCCTGGTTCAAGCAGTTCTCCTGCCTCAGCCTCCCAACTAGCTGGGATTACAGGCGTGCACCACCATGCCCAGCTAATTTTTTGTATTTTTAATAGAGACGGGGTTTTACCACGTTGGCCAGGCTAGTTTCGAACTCCTGACCTCAGGTGATCTGCCTGCCTCGGCCTCCCAAAGTGCTAGGATTACAGGCGTGAGCCATTGCGCCCGGCCTTTTGCTTCTTTAAATTGGACTCAGAGTTGGGAGGAAAGAGGTTAGCCTGCCAGGGGCTCAAGCACCCAAGGTTGAGACTTAGAGATCTGTAAATTTACATATAGGCTAAGGTCGAAAATGTCAGTTGGCACATCCAGTCATTGGCTCCCACGTATGCGTTTCTACTCAAACTTTAAGTGCAAAATTTTTTTTTTTTTTTTTTATTTATTTATTTATTTTTTTATTGATAATTCTTGGGTGTTTCTCACAGAGGGGGATTTGGCAGGGTCATGGGACAATAGTGGAGGGAAGGTCAGCAGATAAACAAGTGAACAAAGGTCTCTGGTTTTCCTAGGCAGAGGACCCTGCGGCCTTCCGCAGTGTTTGTGTCCCTGATTACTTGAGATTAGGGATTGGTGATGACTCTTAACGAGCATGCTGCCTTCAAGCATCTGTTTAACAAAGCACATCTTGCACCGCCCTTAATCCATTTAACCCTGAGTGGACACAGCACATGTTTCAGAGAGCACAGGGTTGGGGGTAAGGTCACAGATCAACAGGATCCCAAGACAGAGGAATTTTTCTTAGTGCAGAACAAAATGAAAAGTCTCCCATGTCTACTTCTTTCTACACAGACACTGCAACCATCCGATTTCTCAATCTTTTCCCCGCCTTTCCCGCCTTTCTATTCCACAAAGCCGCCATTGTCATCCTGGCCCGTTCTCAATGAGCTGTTGGGCACACCTCCCAGACGGGGAGGTGGCTGGGCAGAGGCGCCCCTCACCTCCCGGACGGGGCGGCTGGCCGGGCGGGGGGGGCTGACCCCCCCCACCTCCCTCCCGGATGGGGCGGCTGGCCGGGCAGAGGGGCTCCTCACTTCCCAGTAGGGGCGGCCGGGCAGAGGCGCCCCTCACCTACCGGACGGGGCCACTGGCCGGGCAGGGGGGCTGACCCCCCCCACCTCCCTCCCGGACGGGGCGGCTGGCCGGGTGGGGGGCTGACCCCCCCACCTCCCTCACGGACGAGGCGGCTGGCCGGGCGTGGGGCTGACACCCCCACCTCCCTCCTGGACAGGGCGGCTGGCCGGGCGGGGGGCTGACCCCCCCACCTCCCTCCCGGATGGGGCGGCTGGCCGGGCGGGGGGCCGACCCCCCCACCTCCCTCCCGGACGGGGCGGCTGGCCGGGCAGAGGGGCTCCTCACTTCCCAGTAGGGGCGGCCGGGCAGAGGCGCCCCTCAACTCCCAGACGGGGCGGCTGGCCGGGCGGAGGGCTGACCCCCCCACCTCCCTCCCGGACGGGGCGGCTGGCCGGGTGGGGGGGCTGACCCCCCCATCTCCCTCCCGGACGGGGTGGCTGGCCGGGCGGGGCGCTGACCCCCCCACCTCCCTCCCGGACGGGGCGGCTGGCCAGGCGGGGGGCTGACCCCCCCACCTCCCTCCCGGACGGGGCGGCTGGCCGGGTGGGGGGGCTGACCCCCCCATCTCCCTCCCGGACGGGGTGGCTGGCCGGGCGGGGCGCTGACCCCCCCACCTCCCTCCCGGACGGGGCGGCTGGCCAGGCGGGGGGCTGACCCCCCCACCTCCCTCCCGGACGGGGCGGCTGGCCGGGTGGGGGGGCTGACCCCCCCATCTCCCTCCCGGACGGGGTGGCTGGCCGGGCGGGGCGCTGACCCCCCCACCTCCCTCCTGGACGGGGCGGCTGGCCAGGCGGGGGGCTGACCCCCCCACCTCCCTCCCGGACGGGGCGGCTGGCCGGGCAGAGGGGCTCCTCACTTCCCAGTAGGGGCGGCCGGGCAGAGGCGCCCCTCAACTCCCAGACGGGGCGGCTGGCCGGGCGGAGGGCTGACCCCCCCACCTCCCTCCCGGACAGGGCGGCTGGCCGGGCGGGGGGCTGACCCCCCCACCTCCCTCCCGGATGGGGCGGCTGGCCGGGCAGAGGGGCTCCTCACTTCCCAGTAGGGGCGGCCGGGCAGAGGCGCCCCTCACCTCCCAGACGGGGCGGCTGGCCGGGCGGGGCGCTGACCCCCCCACCTCCCTCCCGGACGGGGCGGCTGGCCAGGCGGGGGGCTGACCCCCCCACCTCCCTCCCAGACGGGGCGGCTGGCCGGGTGGGGGGGCTGACCCCCCCATCTCCCTCCCGGACGGGGTGGCTGGCCGGGCTGAGGGGCTCCTCACTTCCCAGTAGGGGCGGCCGGGCAGAGGCGCCCCTCACCTCCCGGACGGGGCGGCTGGCCGGGCGGGGGGCTGACCCCCCCACCTCCCTCCTGGACGGCACGGCTGCCCGGGCGGGGGGGCTGACCCCCCACCTCCCTCCCGGACGGGGCGGCTGGCCGGGTGGGGGGGCTGACCCCCCCATCTCCCTCCCGGACGGGGTGGCTGGCCGGGCTGAGGGGCTCCTCACTTCCCAGTAGGGGCGGCCGGGCAGAGGCGCCCCTCACCTCCCGGACGGGGCGGCTGGCCGGGCGGGGGGCTGACCCCCCCACCTCCCTCCTGGACGGCACGGCTGCCCGGGCGGGGGGGCTGACCCCCCACCTCCCTCCCGGATGGGGCGGCTGGCCGGGCGGGGGGCTGACCCCCCCCCACCTCCCTCCCGGACGGGGTGGCTGCCGGGCGGAGACGCTCCTCACTTCCCAGATGGGGTGGCTGCCGGGCGGAGACGCTCCTCACTTCTCAGACGGGGCAGCTGCCGGGCGGAGGGGCTCCTCACTTCTCAGACGGGGTGGTTGCCAGGCAGAGGGTCTCCTCACTTCTCAGACGGGGCGGCCGGGCAGAGACGCTCCTCACCTCCCAGACGGGGTCTCGGCCGGGCAGAGGCGCTCCTCACATCCCAGATGGGGCGGCGGGGCAGAGGCGCTCCCCACATCTCAGACGATGGGCGGCCGAGCAGAGAGGCTCCTCACTTCCTAGATGTGATGGCGGCCGGGCAGAGACGCTCCTCACTTTCCAGACTGGGCAGCCAGGCAGAGGGGCTCCTCACATCCCAGACGATGGGCGGCCAGGCAGAGACACTCCTCACTTCCCAGACGGGGTGGCGGCCGGGCAGAGGCTGCAATCTCGGCACTTTGGGAGGCCAAGGCAGGCGGCTGGGAGGTGTAGGTTGTAGTGAGCCGAGATCACGCCACTGCACTCCAGCCTGGGCACCATTGAGCACTGAGTGAACGAGACTCCGTCTGCAATCCCGGCACCTCGGGAGGCCGAGGTTGGCGGATCACTCGCGGTTAGGGGCTAAGTGCAAAATTTTTTGTTAAAGCCTTTGGTAGTCTTTGAAATTCAATAAAGTTCACAAGTATTTTGCAAGCACTCCCCATAGACTTGGAGACTTAAATATTATTTTTTGTGTGCTGAAGTTTGCTTTTGAGACTAAGACATTACTAAAGTTAATGCCAATCTTTTATAACTGCTTTGTATATAGGACCTTAATAAAGAATTTTAAAAATCTGTCAGGTGCGGTGGCTCATGCCTGTAATCCCAGCACTTTGGGAGGCTGAGGTGGGTGGATCACCTGAGGTCGGGAGTTCGAGACCAGCATGACCAATATGGAGAAACCCCATCTCTACCAAAAATACAAAAATTAGCTGGGCTTGGTGGCACATGCCTGTAATCCCAGCTACTCGGCAGGCTGAGGCAGAAGAATCGCTTGAACCCGGGAGGCAGAGGCGGCAGTGAGCCAAGATCGCACCATTGCACTTCTAGCCTGGGCGAAGAGCGAAACTCTGTCTGTCTCAAAATAGAGAAAGAAAAAAATCTTTCTCTATTTTGAGTATTGTTCAAGTTGTTACGTATTTATACACATATATATCAATGGAATTCCGTGGAAGTAGAGAGGAATAGAAGCAAACATGCTGTTGTTATGTTATCTGTAATTCAGCAGTACTTGCCTGTGTCCACAGTGATGTGGACATTTCCAGGTGAGCATGATGGTCAGCAACAGCCTAGGACTGGCCATGGACAAACCAATATGCATTTGATTTTGTGGCACACACACAATACTGCTAATCTCTGCTCAGTGGCTTGTGGCCCAGTTTAGGCAGCCAGAGAAGAGATCTGCCATAGCTATGATCACAGTGTGTGTAATTGGATTTTGTATCTGCTTACTGGGGTGAATAAAGCCAGGTGGGAGAAATTCTTTTACACTGGCGTTAACTGGCACATAACTCAAATCAACAGAAACATGAGCAGAGGGTATAGTGGCAAAGGGCTTGTTTGCTGCCCTATGTCTTTACTCAAGCAGATGTCCCTTCCCCATGAAGCCTTCCTTGCTCCTGAGCCAGGGCTGCATTTGATACTGCTCATTCCTAACCTCCCAGTGCACTTTAGCAGAGAAGGATGAGCACATTTTATCTTTCATTTGTTGTTTTCTCTGGCCTTTCCTACAAGGTTATAAAAGCCTTAGGAGCAGGCATCTATACAGGTTGAGTGTCCCTAATCCAAAATCTGAAATCTCGAAAGTTAGGACCTTTTCGAATGCTGACCTGAGGCTGAAAGGAAATACTCATTGGAGCATTTCAGATTTTGGATTTTCAGATTAGGGATGCTGAGCTGGTAAGTATAATACAAATATTTCAAAATCTGAAAACATCTGAAATCTGAAACACTTCTGGTCCCAAGCGTTTTAGATAAGGGATATTCAACCTGTAGTAACAAGAGCTTCTATTTAACATCTCCCCCATGTACCTGGCATTTTACAGATGTTACTTTATTTAGTATGTGCAAGAATCATTTAACATAACTGTCTTACTCCCTTGAGCTTGCTATAACAAAAAATAGCTTAGATTGAGTAGCTTATAAGAAGAGAAATGTCTTGCTCACAGTTCTGGAGGCTGGGAAGTCCAATATCAAGGCTCCAGTGGACTTGATGTCTGCTGAGGTCCTGTTCCTCACAGATGGCACCTTCTATGTGTTCTCAGATGGCGGAAGGGACAAACAAGCTCTCTGGGGCCTCTTTGATAAAGACACTAATTCTGTTCATAAGGTCAGAGCCCTTATGACCTAATCACCTCCCAAAGGGCCCACCTCTTGTTACTGTCACATTGGGGATTAAGTTTCAGCATATGAATTTTGGGAGACATAAACATCCAGAGCATAAACGTAACTAATGTTATCCTTGTTTCACACCTGAGAAGACAGAGGCTCAGGGAATTGAAGTAACTTGCTCCATGTCACTGCTAGGCAGTGGCAGGGCTGGGATTGAAACACAAATCTCTCTAACTTCTAAGCCCTTTTCCTACCATACCACCAGGGAATCAGACCTCTGCAGTTTCCATGGTGCTTAACTCAGAACCCAGCACTTAGGGGATGTGGTCTTTGCTGAATGAATAAGCAGGGGATGTGTGATACAAGAATTTGTACCAGAACCTTTGGCCAACATTTCCCCAAGGCCCAGCATCCAATGGTAGAGATCCTGGGTGACTCTCTGTAGATGGTGGTCCTTCACTTCTCATATAGGCCATTCCAATCTGAATGCAGCTTGTTTTGTGTGTGGGAAGGAATTACGTTTTAGGGTATTAAATATCCTTTCTGGGCCATTTAGTTACTTGTCTCCTCTCAAAACACTAAAAGCAATTACATGGTAATTAAGATAAATTACTTGACCAATTTTCATAGCAAACTGATTGGTTTCACTTATCCCCCCACTGAACTGTTAAGACCTGGCGAGATCCTTTTTATAGTTCTTTAAACTTCCAGGACTTTCTGCTTATCTTCAGGAAGGACAGTGGACCTTCAGGGGAGAGGAGAAGGAGGAAATTTGCATATTTAAAATGTGTGATCTGAGCCAAACGCTCTTCAGCTAACTTGATCTCGCATCATTTTCCCAGCTTCCTTTGAGAATTCAGAATCAAAATTCAGGCATCACCATCTAGTGACCACAGGGTCCTGCACCCCAGCCCAAACCTGGGGACCCCTTAGGGATAATGCCCTTTCTCATTTGTCTTTGAGTGCCCTGCTCTTTCCACTGAAGAGCCCACAGAACACAGATGCCAGCAGGCAGCCCTGAAAGCAGGCCTTGTTTGCAGGTCTTTGCCTGAACGAAGCCTGCTTGTCTGCCTCCTTCTGAAGGCCAGGGGTGGGCTACATTTTTTGGAGAGTAGGAAGCCCAGGGGTCCTCTTCGTGCTGCTCCTGAGAACAGAAGGTAGATAGGGTATGAAGAGGCAGCCGTTGCTAGGGCTGCCAGAAACCAGTCCACCCAGGAAACAACACAGCTCCACAGCTGCAGTGAGCACAGCTGCAGAAACCCAGGAGCTGGGCGAGAGGGTGGGGGTTAAGATCCAGGCCTCTACCCCAGGCCCCAGCATCCATGCTGGGCAAGCAGGCCACGTGCTCCCTTGCTTCCAGACTGGCAGCCTAGCCTCCTTGAAATTGGCCCTCACTTTATCCCCACCCACCTAATCAGCAAGCCCCAAAGTCTCCCCTTGTCTCTGCTCTCTGCTGTTCTTCTAGGGCCCATGAGGGAACTTTTCTGCCTTGGGGGCTCCTCCACCTCCTGGTTTCACCTTAGCTTTTTGTGTGTGTCTTACTTTCTCCTTTTCATTTCCTCCTCTTGTAAAGTGACCCAGCCCTGGGGCTTTACCCATTGTCTTGCATTCAGCTCTCACAGCGCTGAAAGACCTCCACTCTCTACCTCTAGCCCTTGGTTTTCTCTCTGGATACTGCCTCTTGTGTCTAGCTTCATGAATGAGGCTTCCATGTGGACATACCTCAGACCTGACCAATGTGCATAAAACCAGCTCCCTGTCCTGTCTCTCCTGTGGCTCCACTAGTCCAAGGGCCAGATGCCCCACTCTCCTTTGTTTTCTAGATTATATTTGGTGTACAAATCCCATCAAGGCTTTACAAATATTCTTTTATCTGCCCTTTCTCCCTTCCGATTTCCATCTCGGAAGTCAGTATACTATAGGGCAAAGTGCAGAATTTGGGGCTATGGACAGGGTTCAACTCTGATAGCATCATTTTCTGATTGTGCGAACCTCAGGAAAATCATCAAATAGAAGCCTCTGATTCATTATCTACGAAGCAGACACATACAGAAGGGTGGATCCCAGCTCACTGACCTCCTTGCTTTTGACATTTTGGACTGGAAAATTCTTGTTGTGGGGCTGCCCTGTGCATTGTAGAATGTTTAGCAGCATCTCTGGCCCCTACTTACTAGACGCTAGTAGCATTCCTGATTGTCAGTTGTGACAATGAAAAATGTCTCCGGACACTGCCAAATGTTTCCTGGGGAGTTAACTTGCTCCTGTTTGAGACCCATTGGTACAGAGTAATGCTAAGTCCTGGGTGGTGGTAATGAATATTAACCCAGGTTTTCAGGTTTTCACCTTTCAGTCGTCAGCCACATGTATGAAGTTCCCACATTACTTTTATTTTTTATTTTTTTGAAACAGAGTCTCACTCTGTCACCCAGGCTGGAGTGCAGTGGTGCAATCTCAGCTCATTGCAACCTCTGCCTCCCCGGTTCAAGTGATTCTCGTGCCTCAGCCTCCCGAGTAGCTGGGATTACAGGCGTGCGCCACCACGCCCAGCTAATTTTTGTATTTTTAGTAGAAACGGGGTTCTACCACGTTGGCCAGGCTTGTCTCTAACTCCTGACCTTAAGTAATCCACCCACCTTGGCCTCCCAAAGTGCTGGGATTACAGGTGTGAGCCACCGCACCTGGCCTCATGTTACTTTTGATTAGTCTTTTTCCCAGTTAGTTTTGACATCTGCAGGTGCTGTTCTGACTTGCTTGATTAATTAGTTCCTTTCATGTTACACATTTTTCAAATCAGAACACACTGGGATTGAACCTTGATATTCTGTTGTTTGAGAATGAGAGACCAGTTCAGAGTTGTTCAGAAACCTCAGAACTCCCAGTGGGGATGCCTGCAGGTTTGACACCGCCTTGCTGCTCAGGGATCCTAGGCTTGTAGCAATGGCGAATGCTGATTTGAACACCCTGCCCATACTTGTGACAAGCATTTGTTTAAAGTGCCTACTATGCAGAATTTTGCTAACGTTAATTTATTTGGTCCTTGTGAAGTAGGTGTTACTTATTTTCACTTTACAGAAAAGCAAAGTGAGGCCAAAAGATACGAAGCAACACTGCCTCAGAGATGCTAAGTAGAAGAAATGCCATGAGAGGCCAGGTGACTTTGGCATGAAAGCTGGTGATGCTAAATCTCTGTGCTCTTCTGCCTTTTTGGGTTGAGCCTTTGCTGTGGCTAGAGCACAGAAGCTTATGAAGGAGGAGCTCCTTTTAATTGTGGCTCAGAAGTTGCCCATCTTGCCACCTACAGGTTCTGTGGGTGGAGAGCAGACCTATAGGCCAGACAGATGGCTGGTTGAGACCATGAGCCCCAGCACTGTGTCCAGCACAGGGAAAGCCCCCATTAAGGGAGCTTCCTCCTTGATAACTTGGACAACACTTGGTTGAACAACACACTGGATGCTCACTTTCCCCAGAGAGAACAGCCCAAGAGTTCAGTGATACTTACTCAAATTGTAGATGAGAGACTGACTGACCTTGCCCTCTGAAGTGGGAAACTGAGGAGGGTTCCCAGAGGCCTGTGAAGGGCAGGTAACCAGGAATGGTGACATGGTAAGGTTGAGTGGAGACAGACTGTGGCCCCATGGCCCTAGGCAGAGTGCACACTGGGCATCCTGCAGCATTGCAGAGACCCATTCCCATGGGAAATCCCCTGATTTCTCCACCTTAGCCAGGAGAGTCCTGGGGCCTATGGGTGGGAGGCTTGAGTGTTGACAGTCAGAGGGGCTGTGATGAGAGCTGCCAGGTGCCATTCTCAATGCCCAGAGGATGCTCTGGGGAAGAAAGCCCTCACATGTTTGCCAAGGTCAAAAGCAAGAGCTCATTCCAGTCATGGTCTGTGTGGAAGCTCTTTGGTCTGCTGTCTTGGAAAGCAAAGGCAGGGATGTCCTCCTACGCGGACTGCTGGTCTCCCAGGAAAAGAATCTGTGGCTCTTACTTGTCCTGAGTGATGCTAAGACCCTGCTAAGTCAAAGAAGCTGCTATAGGCACAGAGCCAGTACCCATGGTCATAGCAGACAGTGGGCAATAGAATACAAAAGGCCGAGGTGTCCAGAGGTAAAGGTGGACTGTGTGTTCCCTAGTCTCAGACTCTTGTGTCTTCAGCATGCTCCTGAGGGTTCTGAGGCACACCCTCCACGTGGCTTTTTTTGTTTGTTTGTTTGTTTTTGTTGTTGTTGTTGTTTTTGAGACGTGGTCTCACTGTGATTCAGGCTGGAGTGCAGTGGTGTGATTTCGGCTCAATGCAGCGTCAACCTTCCAGGTTCAAGCAGTTCTCTCACCTCGGCCTCCTAAGTAGCTGGGACTACAGCCACATGCCACCATGCCTGGCGAATTTTTTTTTTTTAACTTTTAATGGAGATGAGGTCTCACTATGTTGCCCAGGCTGGTCTTGAACTCCTGACTCAAGCGATCCACCCACCTCAGCCCTCCAAAGTGCTGGGATTACAGGTGTGAGCCACCACGCCTGCCCTCCACGTGGGTTCTTAAGGAAAACTACCTGTTTCTCCCTCCTGTTAGAGGCCCGTGACTGGCTCTGGGAAGGATTGCCATGAAGAGACCTGTAAGCCCTTTCTGATAAGGATTTCTCAAAGGCATTTGACCATGGGTATTTTCTCCACAAACCTATTAAGTTTTCTCCATTTAGAGAGATGGTATCTTCAAGAATGTCTTCAAGTTTGAGCTACTATCACAAAATACCATAGACCAGGTGGCTTATAAGCAACAGAGATTTATTTCTCACAGTTCCAGAGGCTGAGGTCTAAGATCAGGGTACTAGCATGGTTGGGTTCTGGTGAGGGTTGCAGATGGCTGATTTCTCATTACATCCTCACATGGCAGAAAGAGAGTGAGCTAGGTCCTCCAGTGGCAGTGGCGGTGTCTTCTTCTTCTTCTTCTTCTTCTTCTTCTTCTTCTTCTTCTTCTTCTTCTTCTTCTTCTTCTTCTTCTTCTTCTTTCTTCTTCTTCTTCTTCTTCTTCTTCTTCTTCTTCTTCTTCTTCTTCTTCTTCTTCTTCTTCTTCTTCTTCTTCTTCTTCTTCTTCTCCTTCTCCTTCTCCTCCTCCTCCTCCTCCTCCTCCTTCTCCTTCTCCTTCTCCTTCTCCTTCTCTTTCTCCTTCTCCTTCTTCTTCTTCTTTCTTATTTCTTCTTCTTCTTCTTCCTTCTTTCTTCTTCTTCTTCTTCCTTATTTCTTCTTTCTTTCTTTCTTTCTTTTTTTTTTTTTTTTTAAGATGGAGTCTCACTCTGTCACCTAGGCTGGAGTGCAGTGGCACGATCTTGGCTCACTGCAACCTCTGCCTCCTGGGTCCAAGTGATTCTCCTGCCTCAGCCTCCTGAGTAGCTGGAATTACAGGCGTGCACCACCACGCCCGGCTAATTTTTGTATTTTTAGTAGAGACGGGGTTTCACCATGTTGGGCAGGATGGTCTTGAACTCCTGATATCAGGTGATCCACCTGCCTCAGCCTTCCAAAGTGCTGGGATTACAGACGTGAGCCACTGTCCCTGGCCCTCCGGCTTCTTCTTTTTTTTTTTTTTTTTTTTTTTATAAGAAGGAGTCTCGCTCTGTCGCCCAGGCTGGAGTGCAGTGGTGTGATCTCTGCTCACTGCAAGCTCCGCCTCCCAGGTTCATGCCATTCTCCTGCCTCAGCCTCCCGAGTGGCTGGGACTACAGGCGCCCGCCACCACGCCCGGCTAATTTTTTGTATTTTTGGTAGAGACAGGGTTTCACCATGTTAGCCAGGATGGTCTCGATCTCCTGACCTCGTGATCCACCCGCCTCGGCCTCCCAAAGTGCCAGGATTACAGGCGTGAGCCACCGCGCCCAGCCTCCGACTTCTTATACAGGTACTAATCCTATTCATGAGGGCTCTACACTCATGACCTCATTACCTTCTAATGGCCCCATCTCTAAATATCATCACATTGGGATTCAGGTTTCAACATAGGAATTTTGTGGGGACACAAACATTAAGCCCATAACAAAGGAGGATCCCTGAGCAGGGAATTGGGCACAGGGATCTAAGACAGGGAATTATATTATCAGATCCCCAGGGCAGAATACAGGCATGGTCATAAGTTAGGCAGAATGGAGACACAGTTCTAGAAAAAGATTCATAGCAAGTTGTCTTGATGGTAAACCAAGGTCCAGAGTTGGGCCTCTTTAGCTTCCTCCTGACTGGAGAAAGCAGGTGTTCTAAAGGCTAGAGTAGGGACAGAGGAGGAGAAAGGAAAACTAACATATATCGAGTACATTTATGAGGCAATTTACATATGAGGTAAAATTAATATTACCATTTTACAGATGAGGAAACTGTGGCTCAGTGACCTGCTTAGCAAATTTCTATAGCATCTATGGCAGTGACATGAACATGGTATGGATACATCATAGAAATGTCATGATAATAAGGATAAAATTCTAAAATCCGAATACCCACCCAACTCCAAATCTTCTCTTTGTTCATGTAATGACCATTTTCTGGGACTAGCCAGTTTGGGTTGGATTCTGTTCATATTACTGTCAAAGATAAACACAGCTGGACATTAGTTAAAGTGGTGAGAATAGATTTTTAATTGGTAATAACTATTGCAACAGGGAAAAGAGTCTAGCTTGAACCAAACTCAATTTCCATTTGTACAGAGGTGACTGGGCATATTAGTTTTTATTTTTTTGAGATGGAGTTTCACTCTGTCACCCAGGCTGGAGTGCAGTGGCACCATCTTGGCTCACTGCAACCTCCACCTCCCAGGTTCAAGTGATTCTCCTGCCTCAGCTTCCCAAGTAGCTGGGATTACAGGTGCCCACCACCACGCCCGGCTAATTTTTGTATTTTTAGTAGAGACGGGGTTTCACCATGTTGGTCAGGCTGGTCTCGATCTTCTGACGTCAGGTGATCTGCCCACCTCAGTCTCCACCATGCCCGGCTAATTTTTGTATTTTTAGTAGAGACGGGGTTTCACCATGTTGGTCAGGCTGGTCTCAATCTTCTGACGTCGGGTGATCCGCCCACCTCAGTCTCCCAAAGTGCTGAGATTACAGGCGTGAGCCACCGCACCCGACCTGTGACTGGGCATTTTAAAGGGAGAATGAGCTCAAGGGAGTCAGGGAAGTGAAAAATTACAAAAAGTGGGAAGGAGGGGTTGGTCCATGTGAAATCCATCTGGGTTTGCAAACTGGCATTTATCAAAGTTAGGCTCCTACTCTCCCACTGACGCTAGAGGGACCCTATCTTCAGGCATTGATTGAAACAAACATTGAATTCTTCAGGCAGCCTTGCGTTTTCTCAGGCGGGCACTTTAAGAGGGGCTGGTGTTGTGGTGGTGTGGCCTCGAGCCATTGGAAGCAATATTAGTGTTTGTTCAAGTCGTTACAGGCTGAAGTTGAAAGGCCTATTCAAGAAGCAGACTCTGAGCCTGGCTAGAATTTGGTCAAAGAGAGAATCTATGTCACTATTCTCTAAATTTAGGAAATGAACAGATTATTAGAACAAGGTAAAAAAAAAAAGTTGGCACCCAAGTTTATGCTGGAAAAATGAAGGTTAAATGCCGTAGGGGAGGGGCAGTGTTAGGGAATTGAGCTGGAACCAGCACTGACAATATTTGAAAGCATGGTTAGGTTTTGCTGTGGTTTAATATTTTACAAATGTTATTCCCTGTCACATAGCTGAACTAAATACCCCACATGTTTGCGATTAAGCATTATGAGCTGCAGAACATATGTGCTAATAATATGGTTCATGCAGCCTGTGGGCACTTCTCCCATGACCTAAGATGAAGGTGAGGCTTTTTGATTTTCCTTAAGGTATTGTGTTTTCTGATGATTCCTTTTTGTTCCAAACTTTCGCTTTCCCCTTTAGAACGAAGCCTTTTACAGGAATGATATTTTATTTTTATATATTTATTTTTTTTGAGATGCAGTCTTGCCCTGTCATCCAGGCTGGAGTGCAATGGCGCGATCTTAGCTCACTGCAGTCTCCGCCTCCTGTGTTCAAGCGATTCTCCTGCCTCAGCCTCCTGAGTAGCTGGGATTACAGGCGCCCACCACCGTGCCCGGCTAATTTTTGTATTTTTAGTAGAGACGGGGTTTTGCCATGTTGGTTTCGGACTCCTGACCTCAGGTGATCTGCCCGCCTCGGCCTCCCAAAGTGCTGCGATTACAGGCGTGAGCCACTGCACCTGGCCAGGAATGGTATTTTAAATACTGTCATAGCAAGCCCTTAAGAAAATTCTTCACAGCTGCATGTTAACACACTGGCCTGTCCCTGACTTTGGCTTTGTTTCCAGGATATACAGTTGTTTCTGGAATGTACAGTAGCTAGATTGCAGCCCTCCAATCATACAAAAACAGACTGAGGGTTTGGAAATGCTGCTAAAGTCTAGTTACAGTGTTGCTCTTGAGGAGTCTGGCGCTATAGGGAGTCTGAGAATTCCTTATTTGAAAAACAGCCAATGGAACCGCACAGACACACTGAAATTAAGACATTCTTTCTGTAGATTATGCAGCATTGTTAGAGAGCAAAGAAAAGCCACAGGAATAAAGGACTCAATTCAGCCCTCTGCTGAAGGAGAGGGTGTTCCTGAGGCTTGAGTAGGAATTGACCCAACAGGGACAGTTTGGTTGGGCTGATACCAGGAGGCTACTGAGAGGTGTCGATGATGCCTTCCTGAGCTCTGCTGAATACCTCCTTGGCATCAGTCCTCCCCCAACATCTAGCAGAAACAGAGGAGCCAGACATTAGGGACCACATTGGGGCGTGCTTTTCCCCACAGATGCATACTGAAGTGGGGACAAAGTCTTCAGCTGCCATATGACCTGGATTGCTGTTTCACCTATCACATGCATCTAATCTGACTTCAACAATCTACAGGAGAAGGTAGAACTTCATATTTACATTTTATTTGAGTGGTTTATGAAGAAAAGTAGAGGAAAACTGCAAAGAACGGCAGAAGTAGACTCTTGAGGTTGGAGGGGAGTAGGGGATGATGGTGTGGGAGGGATGAACTTTGCAGGGAGTTACACAAAATTTGGAAAATTACAGAGAATACTGGAATCGCCACTAAAAGAGAGGCAGGGCACCTAAATCTATTTATTAGACAACAATTCTGAGAAATTATTCATCACTAAGGGCAGGACAGTCAGTTGATGCAGTCAAGAAGGGGCAGGAAATAGGGCGAGCTGAGTTATGAAAGCCATTCTCAGAAATGACCCAAATTTGTACTGAGCTGTTGTTCTTGAGCAACCTTGGGGAAAATTATCAGTCTGCTTTTCCCACAGCCTGATGTCCAAGGGGCAGATACGTGTGGTGGGCTTGCTGGAGAAATAGGCTCTTCTCACGTGAGAACAGCATCCTTCCAATCTAGAGCTCCTGGCTCCAGGAAGTGGTGGTGGCTCTACCCTGGTGCTATTTCATTAGTGAAGGGTGGGGTGGTGGAAAGTGCAGAAAAGGCAGGACCCCTGACACCAGCAAGGCATTGGATCTCTCTGGACCTCCGGGTGGTGGACTTTGGGACTGGACAGACCTGGTCACAGTCTAGGTTCTACATCTTACTGGTCGAGCAACTTTAGGCAAGTAGCTTAACTCCTCCGAACTTATTTTCCTTTTCTACCAAATAATGATAATATTACTTCATGAGTTTGTGAGTATTAAATGAGATCATGCATATACAGCCTACAGCCCTTAGCACACCATGAACACATAGTTATTTGATAAATGTTTGTTAGTGTGGTTAATTGAACAGAAAGCCTTAAATGTCTTCCTAACCCTAAAATCCAGTGATTCTTTGAACTGGGGAGGGCAGTAGAGAGATTTAATTTGTGGAAAAATGAAAAGACCATTTAAAATTATTCAATCAGAAATGTATTAAGCTTTGTGTATTTGTGTCAGGCATTTGTAGACAGTGTGGAAAATGTCTTATCCAATGATTCTTTGAACTGGGAGGGAAGTAGAGAGACTTAATTTGTGGAAAAGTGAAAAGACCATTTAAAATTATTCAATCAGAAATGTATTAAGCTTTTTGTATTTGTGTCACAGGCATTTGTAGACAGTGTGGAAAATGTCTTAATAAATGAGACATGCTCTTTCCTTGAAAAAGCTTCAGTCTGACTCACAAAGAGTATATGAATTTTTTCCTATGATGGCTTGAAAGATTTTATCTTCAAATTCCTTTTTGTGAGATTGTTTTTCCATACCAGTGCTTCTTATTTATAGGGCTTGTTGCAAGTAATTTGCAATATTGTTACAGGTTGAGTATCCTTTACACCAAATGCTCAGACCAGAAGTGTTTTAGATTTTTTTGGATTTTGGAGTATTTGCATCCCCAAATCTAAAATGCTCAAGTGAGCTTTTCCTTTGAGTGTCATGTTGGCATTCAAAACATTTTGAATTTTGGAGCAATTCAGATTTTGTGTTTTTGAATTAGAGATAATCAATTTGTAATAATATTTAAGGTATTGCTGTTTGTGAAAGATGTATTTTTAAACGATTTAGAGTCAATTCATGATAATCTCCGTAATACTCTTACAAGAATTCCAGGCTGGGCATGGTGGCTCATGCCTGTAATCCCAGCGCATTGGGAGGCCAAGGCAGACAGATCACTTGAGGTCAGGAGTTTGAGGCCAGCCTGGCCAACATGGCGAAACCCCATCTCTACTAAAAATACAAAAATTAGCAGGGCATGGTGATGCACATCTGTAATCTCAGCTACTCGGGAGCCTGAGGCAGGAGAATCACTTGAACCCGGGAGGTAGAAGTGTAGTGAGCTGAGATTGCACCACTGCACTCCAGCCTGGGTGACAGAGTGAGACTCAGTCTCAAATTAAAAAAAAAAAGAATTCCAATATGATTTCTTAAGTGGGAGAAAGGGGTGGATTGTACAAACTGTGTGCAAGTGCAACCTTTGTTCGTGTTTTGTGTGAACCCTCCTATTGCTGATCACCACTTAAAATGGTAGGGACAATTAGTTAGTTCAGGGCTTCCCTAAATATGGGGAGTGCTAAATTCTGGGTACATCCAAGAGCACGTGCTAGGCTTTTGAATGCCATTTGTCACACATATTGAGGTCTAAGGTTGCAAACCATTGTATACTAGATCCTTGTTATTCCTGGTGTGAATAGGCATGTGTGCCTACTTTTAATTTCTTCTTGAGTTCAGTGCTTTGAAAACAGACAGCTGAAGAAAATGTCTAATAGTCTAAAGAGGAAGCAAACACTTTCCTAGAAACCTTCGAAACTCAGAAATGGATTTCTAGAAATTCTAGCCATAATACATACTCCTTTTCTTTCTGGGCCTCATTCAGAATCTTGATGTCTCAACTGTCTCTGAGTTTTTTTTTTTTTTTTTTTTTTTTTTTTGTCTTTCCCCAGACAGAGTCTTGCACTATCCCCCAGGCTGGAGTGCAGTGGAGTGATCTTGGCTCACTGCAACCTCCACCTCCTGGGCTCAAGCGATTCTCCTGCCTCAGCCTCCCGAGTAGCTGTGAGGAGCACCACCACACCCAGCTAATTTTTGTATTTTTGGTAGAGACAGGGTTTCACCATGTTGGCCAGGCTGCTCTTGAACTCCTGGCCTCCAGTGATCTGCCCGCCTTGGCCTTCCAAAGTGCTGGGATTACAGGCATGGGCCACTGTGACTGGCCTTGTCTCTGAATTTTGTGTGGAATTGTCCTCTAGGAGTTTGCAGGGTATTCCAGATTGAAAGTAGACCTTTGAAAAGTATGGGGCATGCAGGCTGGGATGGAATCCACAGCTGAGGGAAAAGCCAGGGAATCAAAATAGAGGAATCTTTGCTTCAGAGGAAGGCAGCTGGGGACTTGGTGCCAGGAGTGTTTGGTTCCCAGCTCTGCACTAACTGGATTTGAGACTTTGGGGAAAGTGCCCAGAAGCTGTGGTCTGCTCTGGATTGTCATGCAGTTTAAATGAGACGTTGCCTGTGAAGGGCTTTCTGGGAGGAACAGGTACATATCTAGACCAACCCTACTTGTAATGCAGGAACAAAACAAAACTGAAATTACATAGATGCTGCCCCTTGAATACTCTTGGATTCCAGGGTCTCAAAGTGCATAGGGTAAAGTAGCAGATGACTGAGGAAAATGCATCTAAACTTCTCTTAGCCTTCTTATCTCTCGGAGACCCAATAGGCTTCTAACAGACCAAGGCTCTGGACAGGGTGTGGCCCCCTTTCCTATGAGAGGATTAGGAGGGAAGGAAAGGGAAAGAAGGTGCTGCATGAAATTGATCTTAGTTGTTGACTTTGTGCCAACTGGCTGGTGGGGGTTTTGAGACCAGAATAGAAAGATGAAGTCATATAGAAGGATCAGCTGAAAGAGGTAAGAGAAACGGAAGCAAGTGTAAAAAGGATTGATAGGCTGGGCACGGTGGCTCACGCCTGTAATCCCAGCACTTTGGGAGGCCAAGGCAGGTGAACCACAAGGTCAGGAGTTCGAGACCAGCCTGGCCAACATGGTGAAACCCTGTCTCTACTAAAAATACAAAAATTAGCCTGGCATGGTGGTGGGCGCCTGTAATCCCAGCTACTCGGGAGGCTGAGGCAGGAGAATTGCTTGAACCTGGGAGGCAGAGGTTGCAGTGAGCCAAGATCATGCCACTACACTCCAGCCTGGGTGACAGAGGAAGACTCCATCTCTGGAAAAAACAAAAAGGATTAATAAAGGAAGATAGCAAGAGATTGAAGAGGGGAGGAAGAGGAGGGCAGTGGGAAGCAGGCCTCCCCTCGACAATGGGGAATCAGAGCTGCTGACTCCAGAACAGTATTAAACTTCCAGGACAAAGGTTTGGGTTCCTATTGGGCACCATATGAAGTTCTATTTGGTTGAATAAACTCACATCACATTTGCTGAGTGCCTCCTATGGAAGAGTCCTGGACGGGGGTGAAAGGTGGACAGTGAGGGGGTAGGAGTGCACTTTGCATAGATCTGGGTTTCAAGGTAGGAGATGTTTGTGTAAGGTTTGCTTTTAAAAAATTCAGGGCTGCTTACAAAGTAATGGGCTTGATTTCTTTTCTCCTGCTTATGGAAATCAGTTTATTTGTCTCATAATAAGCAAAAACTGAAGAAACCAACACCACTGTTGCAAATTTTGAAGCTACAAGGAAAACTGATGAGGTGAAATTTTTGGCATACATCAGAATCGTATTCAGTCTGAAACGGAATTATTTCCTCTTTTTCTTTTCTTTTTAATAAACCCAACTAAAGTAAATATTTTCCTGAGCTCTCACCCCTATAGGAGGGTTATTTTGGCCTTCTGAAGAGGGTGAGATGGAGATATAGTGCTGCTGATTTCCTACCTGTGAGCCTCCTCGTGGGTCCCATCGAAACCCTGCTCTCCCTGCTCTGAGGGAAGGTGCTTCACAGCAACTTCAGCCTAAGGGCAGTGACAGTGAAATGGCCTCCAGGGAGCCAGCAGCCTGGGCTGCCCTCCGCTGTGTGTTTTTGTGCCCTCAGGAATGTGTGGATGCAGCAAATGACAACAGTGAGTGCTCTGTCCCTAGCGGAGCCCCAGGCCCTGTCACTTTTTGTCTTGGCTGGTTTCCAAGGTTGAATGATTGCATTGGTTGAAGCTTCATTATCCACAAGGGGAGGCAAGACAGTGGGCTGGAGGGAGAAAAATAGGCCTTTCCCACGGGCATGATTCCAGCAGGGTTTGCATTTTTACATCAGTAGATCTCAGGGACTTTCATTTTCTGTCAGTTTGGGCCGTTTGCCCTATCCCAGCTACTTGGGAGGCTGAGGCAGGAGGATCACTTCAGCCCAGGAATTTGAGACCAGCCTTGGAAACAGCAGGATCCCACTTCTGAAAGATAAATAAATAAATATCCCAGCACTAAAGCCCATGTATTTAGTGGTAATACAATTTCTGCTTTTGACAGCATTTTCCACTGGATGTCAGCCGCCATAGCATCACTTTGGAGTTGGAAAGGACCACAGAGCTCATTCTAGTGTAATCCCTGAATGTCTGGAGAGGCTGTGCACACAGCTAGTGAGTGACAGAGTGGTGCCCAGAATTTGGGTTACCCAAGCCCCACATCAGTGTTGTGGTCCCTACACTTCACTGCCTCTGGTGTCATTAGAATAATTTCAGTAATTTGTTGTATCAGGTTGGGCTGAAGTGACCTGTATTCAAATCCTGGTTTTTCCACACCTAGGTATATACTCAAGAAAAAGGATCACACGAAACTTATACACAAATATTCAGAGCAGCATTTTTCAAAGTAACTAAAAAGTGGAAACAAACCAAATGTCTATCAACTGATAAATGGATAAACAAAGTGTGATATTTCCATGCAGTGGACTACTCTTCAGCCTTGAAAAGGAAGGAAGCAGTGATATGTGCTACCACATGGATGACCTTGGAAACATTATGCTAGGTGAAAGAAGCCAGACACAAAAGCCATATGTTGTATGATTCAGTTTACATAAAATGTCCTGAATAGGCATATTCACAGGCACAGAAAGTAGTTTAGTGGTTTCCAGGGCCTGTGGGGAGGGGAGTATGTGGAGTGACTACTAATAAGCATACAGGGTTTATTATTGGGATGAAAAGAATGTTGTGGAATTTGGCCAGGTGCAGTGGCTCACACCTGTAATCCCAGCACTATGGGAGGCCGAGGCAGGTGGATCACTTGAGATCAGGAGTTTGAGACCAGCTTGGCCAACATGGTGAAACCCTGTTTCTACTAAAAGTACAAAAATTAGCCGGGTGTGGTGGCGTGCACCTGTAATCCCAGCTACTTGGGAGGCTGAGGCAGGAGAATCGATTGAACCCTGGAGGCAAAGGTTGCAGTGAGTCGAGATCGTGCCACTGCACTCCAACCTGAGCGACAGAGTGCAACTCCATCTCGAAAAAAAAAAAAAGAAAAGAAAGAATGTTGTGGAATTTGATAGTTGTGATGGTTTCACAATTGTGTTAACATACTAAACATACTAAAAGCCACTGAACTGACACTTTTTTAAAAGGGTGAATTCATGGTATAAGAATTATATCTCAGTAAAGCTGTTATTTAAAAAATTCTGGCTCTACCTCTTACTGGCTGGGCGACTTTAGGCAATGAACCTAAAGCCAAGTCATCTCAGCTATGAAACTGGAATAATAATACACTTCACAGGGTCTTTTTGATAAACGAGATTGTGAATTTGAAAATGCTTCTAAAGTGTAAACCTCACATATTTTTGGACTGTCAATGGGTTATAAGTTCATTATAAATTGGATTTTTAATCTTCTCCTCCTGTGTTTTTCACAATACTAACAAGGTCTGGGTACATAGTGATCACTCAAATAAAGATTTATTGAGTTGATTCAAATGTATTTCAGTTTTATTCAATTGTGGTAAATGAAACTACACAACAGGAAATCTACTCTTTTAAAAGTTTTCAACTGTTAAAAACGGTGTTATGAACGATATGCACATTGTTGTACAGCAAATCTCTAGAACCTTTTCATCTTACATAACTGAAACTATATCCACTGAACAGCAACTTCCCATTTTTACCTACTCCCAGTTCCTGGCAAATGCCATTTTACTTTCTGCGGTATGAGTTAGACTACTTTACATACTTCGTATAAGAGGAGTCATGTAGGATTTGTCCTTCTGTGATGGGCTTACTGCACTTAGCATAATGTGCTGAAGGTTAATCTATGTTGCAACTTGCGTCAGAATTTTCTTCCTTTTAATACTGAATAATATTCTATTGTATGAATATACTGCATTTTCTTTATGCATCCATCCATCAATTAACATTTAGGTTGTTTCCATCTGTTGACTATTGTAAATAATGATGCAGTGAATATGAGAGTGCAAATATTTTTTCAAGACCCTGTTTTAAATTCTTTTGGATAGGCTGGGTTCTGTGGCTCACACCTGTAATCCCAGCACTTTGGGAGGCCGAGGAGGGTGGATCACCTGAGGTCGGGAGTTCGAAACCAGCCTGACCAACATGGAGAAACCCCATCTCTACTAAAAATACAAAATTAGCCGGGCATGGTGGTGCATGCCTGTAATCCCAGCTACTCAGAGGGCTGAGGCAGGAGAATCACTTGAACCCGGGAGGCAGAGGTTGCGGTGAGCCGAGATTGCGTCACTGCACTCCAGCCTGGGCAACAAGAGCAAAACTCCGTCTCAAAAATAAATAAATAAATAAATAAATAAATAAATGAATTCTTTTGGATAAATACCCGTAAGTGGATTGCTGGATCATATGGTAGTTCTATTTTTAGTTTTTGTTTGTTTTTTTTTTTTTTTTGAGATGCAGTTTTGCTCTTGTTGCCCAGGCTGGAGTGCAATGGCGTGATACCCATTCACTGCAACATCTGCCTCCTGGGTTCAAGCAATTCTCCTGCCTCAGCCTCCCAAGCAGCTGAGATTACAGGTGTGCGCCACCACGCCTGGCTAATTTTGCATTTTTAGTAGAGACAGGGTTTCACCATGTTGGCTAGGCTGGTCTTGAACTCCTGGTCTTAGGTGATCCACCTGTCTTGGCCTCCCAAAGTGCCTGGATTAGAGGTGTGAGCCACCGCACCTGGCCCTATTTTTAATTTTTTGAGGGCCTTCCATATTGTTCCCCATAATGGCTGCACCACTTTACATTGCCAGCAACAATGCACAAGGGTTCCGATTTCTTACATCCTTGCCAAGATTTGTTGTTTTCCTTTCTTTTTTTTTTTTTTTTTTTTTTTTTGAGACAGAGTCTCACTGTGTTGCCCAGGCTGGAGTGCAGTGGGATCTCTGCTCACTGCAACCTCTGCCTCTTGGGTTCAAGTGATTCTCATGCCTCAGCCTCCTGAGTGGCTGGGATTTCAGGCACCCACCACCACACCCAGCTAATTTTTGTATTTTTAGTAGAGATGAGTTTTCACCATGTTGGCCAGACTGGTCTTGAACTCCTGACCTCAAGTGATCCTCCCGCCTCGGCTTTCCAAAGTGCTGGGATTATAGGTGTGAGCCACTGTGCCTGGCCATATTATCCTTTTTTTTTTTTTTTTTAAAAGAAAATAATGGCCATTCTAAAAGGTATGAGGTGATAGATACCTCGTTGTAGTTTTGATTTGCATTGTCCTGATGATTAGTGATGTTGAGCATCTTTTCATATATTTTCTGGCTATTTGTATGTCTTTTTTGGAGACATGTTTATTCAAGTACTTTGCCAATTACTAAATTGCATGATTTATTTTCTTGCCGTTGAGTTTATTGAGTTCCTTATATGTTTTGGATATTAATTCCTTATAAGAAATACCGTTTGCAGGCCGGGCGCGGTGGCTCACGCCTGTAATCCCAGCATTTTGGAGGCAGAGACGGGTGGAGCACAAGTTCAGGAGATTGAGACCATCCTGGCTAACACGGTGAAACCCTGTCTCTACTAAAAATACAAAAAATTAGCCGGGCGCGGTGGCGGGCGCCTGTAGTCCCAGCTACTTGGGAGGCTGAGGTAGGAGAATGGCGTGAACCTGGGAGATGGAGCTTGCCGTGAGCCAAGATCGCGCCACTGCACTCCAGCCTGGGCGACTGAGCGAGATTCCATCTCAAAAAAAAAAAGAAAAAAAGAAAGACAGAAATACCGTTTGCAAATATTTTCTCCTATTCTTTATGTTACCTTTTTACTCTGTTGATTGTTTCCTTTGCTGTGCAGAAACTTTTAAGTTTAATGGTGTCTCACTTTTCTGTTTTTGCTTTTGTTGCCTGTGCTTTGCTGTCATATCCAAGAAATCATTGCCAAGACCAATGTTATGAAGATTTTCCTCTGCATTTTTTTCTCAGAGTTTTATAGTTTTCACCGGGCGCGGTGGCTCATCCCTATAATCCCAGCACTTTGGGAGGCCGAGGTGGGCAGATCACGAGGTCGGGAGTTTGAGACCAGCCTGACCAACGTAGGGAAACCCCATCTCTACTAAAAATACCAAAATTAGCCTGGCGTGGTGGTGCGTGCCTGCAATCCCAGCTACTCAGGAGGCTGAGGCAGGAGAATTGATTGAACCAGGGAGGCGGATGTTGCAGTGAGTTGAGATCGGGCCACTGCATTCCAGCCTGAGCGACAGAGCGAGACTCCGTCTCATAAAAAAAAAAAGAAAAAAAAACAGGTTTTTTTGTTTGTTTGTTTTTTGTAGGGGAGGAGATTCACTCTTGTTGCCCAGGCTGGAGTGCAGTGGCACAATCTTGACTCACTGCTACCTCCACCTCCTGGGTTCAAGCGATTCTCCTGCCTCAGCCTCCTGAGTAGCTGGGATTACAGGCGTCCACCACCACTCCCGGCTATTTTTTATATTTTTAGTAGAGACGCGATTTCACCATGTTGCCCAGGCTGATCTCCAACTCCTGACCTCAGGTGATCCGTCCACCTCGGCCTCCCAAAGTGCTGGGATTACAGGCATGAGCCACCGAGCCCGGCCAAAAAAAACCAAAAAAACAAAAAACCCCCCAGAGTTTTATAGTTTCAAGTCTTATGTTTAAATCTTTTATCTATTTTTTTTTTGAGACGGAGTTTTGCTCTGTCGCCCAGGCTGAAGTGCAGTGACACAACCTTGGCTTACTGCAACCTCTGCCTCCCAGGCAATTCCCCTGCCTTAGCCTCCAGAGTAGCTTGGAATACAGGTGTGTGCCACCAGGCCTGGCTAATTTTTTTGTATTTATAGTAGAGATGGGGTTTCACCATGTTGGCCATGCTGGCCTTGGACTTCTGACCTCAGGTGATCCACCCACCTTGGCCTCCCAAAGTTGTTGGGATTACAGGTGTGAGCCACTGCACCCAGCCTCTTCCATCCATGTTGAGTTGATGGTTGTGTATGATATAAGACAAGCTTGTCCAACGTGCAGCCCACAGGCTACATGTAGTCCAGGACGGCTTTGAATGCTGCCTAACACAAATTTGTAAACTTTCTTAAAACATGAGATCCTTTTTTTTCTTTTTTTAACTCATCAGCTATCTGTAGTGTTAGTGTATTTTGTGTGTGGCCCAACACAATTCTAATTCTCCTTTTTCTCCTCCTCCTTCTCCGCTTCCTCTTTCTCCTCCTTCTCCTCCTTCTCCTCCTTCTCCTCCTCCTCCTCCTCCTTCCTTTTTTTTTTTTTTTTTTTTTTTTTGATATAGAGTTTCTCTCTGTCGTCCAGGCTGGAGTGCAATGGTGCAATCTCAGCTCACTGCAACCTCCTCCTCTCAGGTTCAAGCAATTCTCCTGCCCACCACCATGCCTGGCTAATTTTTGGGCAGGTACCCACCACCATGCTTGGTTAACTTTTGTATTTTTAGTAGAGACTGGGTTTTGCCATGTTGGCCAGGCTGGTCTCTAACTCCTGACCTCAAGTGATCTACCCACCTTGGCCTCCCAAAGTGCTGGGATTATAGGCGTGAGCCACTGTGCCTGGCCTTAATTCTTCCTCCAGTGTGGCTGAGGGAAGCCAAAAGATTAGACATCTCTGGTATAAGATTACAGTTTAGTTTCACTCTTTTGCATGTGGATATCAAGTTTTTTCAACACCACTTTTTTTTTTTTGTTTGAGACAAAGTTTCGTTCTCCTTGCCCAGGCTGGAGAGTAATGACACAGTCTCTGTTCACTGCAACCTCTGCCTCCCGGGCTCAAGCGATTTTCCTGCCTCAGCCTCCTGAGTAGCTGGGATTACAAGTGTGTGCCACCATGCCCAGCTAATTTTTTGTATTTTTAGTAGAGATGGGGTTTCTCCATGTTGGCCAGGCTGGTCTCGAACTCCTGACCTCAGGTGATCTGCTCTCCTCAGCCTCCCAAAGTGCTGGGATTATAGATGTGAGCCACTGCACCCAGCCCTCTTTCTTCCTTTTTTTTTTTGAGACGGAGTCTCACTGTGTTGCCCAGGCTGGAGTGCAGTGGCGCATTTGTGGCTATAAAGTTCCCTGTGAGTACTGTTTTGGTGTGCTGTGTTTTCATTTTCATTTGTCTCAAGATATTTTCTAATTTCCTTTTTTATTTCTCCTTTGATCCATTGGTTGTTCAAGAGTATGTTAATTTTCAAATATTTGTGAATTTTTTAGTTTTCCTTCTATTATTAATTTCTAGTTTTATTCCATTGTGGTTAGAAAAAATGTTTGTGTGATTTCAATCTTCTCACATTTGTTAAGATTTGTTTTGTAACCTAACGTGATCTGCTTTGGCAAATGTTCTGTGTGTGCTTGAGAAGAATATGTGTTCTGCTGCTGTTAGGTGGAATGTTCTGTATATGTATGGCAGTTTAGTTGAGTTTATAGTGTTCAAGTCTATTGTTTCTTTAGTGGTCTTCTGTCTGGATGTTCTGTGTATTGTTGAAAGTATGGTGTTGAAATCTCCAATTATTAGTGGGTGGCTATCTATTTCTCTCTTCAGTTCTGTTAATGTTTGCTTCATATATTTGGGTGCTCTGATGTTGGATATATAAATATATATATATTTTCAGATGGAGTTTCACTCTGTCACCCAGGCTGGAGTGCAATGGCACTATCTCAGCTCACTGCAACCTCTGCCTCCCAGGTTCAAGAGATTCTCCTGACTCAGCTACCTGAGTAGCTGGGATTACAGGTGCCCACCACCATGCTTGGCTAATTTTTGTATTTTTTTGTAGAGACAGGGTTTTGCTATGTTGGCCAGACTGCTCTCGAACTGCTGACCTCAGGTGACCTGCTTGCCTCGGCCTCCCAAAGTGCTGGGATTACAGTTGTGACCCACCATTCCCAGCTGGGTTAATATATATTTATAATTGTTGCGTCTTCCTAGTGAATTGACTCTTTTATCATTATATTATGTCCTTCTTTGTCTCCTATGATAGTTTTTGACTTAAAGTTTATTTTGCTTAAGCATGGCTACTCCTGCTCTCTCTTGGATAACATTTGCATGGAATATGTTTTTTCATCCTTTCACTTTCAGCATATGTCTGTCTTTAAATCTAAAGTGAGTACCTTATAGACAGCATACAGTTGGATCATGTTTTTTTTTTAATCCACTTAGCCACCAACAGAATTATAATTTTTAAGCATTTATCAGAAGTAAAGACATTTAGTAATGATTCCCCCCTTCATTTTATATACCTATTTTCTCTTTATTTTATTTTTTTAACAGAGTCAACCTATTTGATTTCTTGACAAGACCACAATCTGATCCCAAAGATGTGCTCCACAAATCCAGGCAAATGGGTCACCTTTGATGATGATCCTGCTGTTCAATCTTCTCAAAAGTCAAAGAATTTTCCTCTGGAGAATCAAGGTGTCTGTAGACCAAATGGACTGAAGCTGAACCTTCCTGGCCTCAGGGAATTTCCCAGTGGATCTTCCTCCACCAGCAGCACTCCTCTCTCCTCCCCCATTGTAGATTTTTATTTCAGTCCAGGACCTCCAAGTAACTCTCCTCTTTCTACACCTACCAAAGACTTCCCAGGTTTTCCTGGCATCCCCAAAGCAGGGACTCATGTGCTTTATCCTATTCCAGAATCATCTTCAGACAGCCCACTCGCAATATCAGGAGGAGAATCTTCCTTACTGCCTACCAGACCAACATGTTTATCCCATGCCTTGTTACCCAGTGACCACTCATGTACACATCCAACTCCCAAAGTAGGTCTTCCAGATGAAGTTAATCCTCAACAGGCTGAAAGCCTAGGATTCCAAAGTGATGATCTCCCCCAGTTTCAGTATTTTCGAGAGGACTGTGCTTTTTCAAGTCCATTTTGGAAAGATGAAGGCAGTGATTCCCATTTCACCCTTGACCCACCAGGAAGCAAAAAGATGTTCTCATCAAGAAACAAGGAGATGCCTATTGACCAAAAAAGCCTAAATAAGTGTTCACTCAACTATATCTGTGAGAAGCTTGAACATCTCCAGTCAGCTGAGAACCAAGACTCACTTAGAAGTTTGTCTATGCACTGTCTATGTGCTGAAGAAAATGCCTCTTCCTTTGTCCCCCACACACTCTTCAGGAGTCAGCCAAAATCCGGATGGTCTTTCATGCTGAGAATTCCTGAGAAGAAGAATATGATGTCTTCCCGGCAATGGGGACCAATTTTTCTGAAAGTTTTGCCTGGAGGAATTTTGCAGATGTATTATGAACAGGGATTAGAAAAACCATTTAAAGAGATACAGCTTGATCCATATTGTAGGCTTTCTGAACCCAAGGTTGAGAACTTCAGTGTAGCAGGAAAAATCCACACTGTGAAGATTGAACATGTGTCTTACACAGAAAAAAGGAAATACCATTCTAAGACAGAAGTAGTTCATGAACCTGACATAGAGCAGATGCTGAAGTTGGGGTCCACATCGTACCATGACTTCCTTGACTTTCTGACTACTGTGGAGGAGGAGCTGATGAAGTTGCCAGCTGTTTCAAAACCAAAAAAGAACTACGAGGAGCAAGAAATTTCCTTGGAAATTGTGGACAACTTTTGGGGTAAAGTCACAAAAGAAGGAAAATTTGTTGAAAGTGCTGTGATAACTCAAATTTATTGCCTCTGCTTTGTGAATGGGAACCTGGAATGCTTTTTAACCTTGAATGACCTTGAGTTGCCGAAGCGAGATGAATCCTATTATGAGAAGGACTCAGAAAAAAAGGGGATTGATATTCTTGACTACCATTTTCATAAGTGTGTGAATGTACAAGAATTTGAGCAATCAAGAATCATTAAGTTTGTACCTCTGGATGCCTGCCGGTTTGAGCTGATGCGTTTCAAGACTTTGTATAATGGGGATAATCTTCCCTTTTCCTTGAAGTCTGTAGTGGTTGTCCAGGGAGCATACGTGGAACTTCAGGCTTTTGTCAACATGGCCTCATTGGCGCAGAGGTCATCCTATGCTGGTTCCTTAAGGTCCTGTGACAATATAAGGATACACTTTCCTGTCCCATCGCAGTGGATCAAGGCCCTTTGGACCATGAACCTCCAGAGGCAGAAGTCTCTGAAAGCTAAAATGAACCGCCGAGCATGTCTGGGGAGTTTACAGGAACTTGAATCTGAACCTGTCATTCAAGTCACTGTGGGGTCAGCAAAATATGAGAGTGCCTACCAGGCAGTGGTATGGAAGATAGATCGGCTTCCAGACAAAAATTCAAGTAAATATTCAACACCCCAAGTTTATTTTCATGGGAAATAGCTTAAATATTCTTACCTTCCTCCTTGGGTTGAAACCAGGTAGAGACAGATGGCAATTTGTCAGCTGAGGCTGTGCTTTGGGGTAGGAGATGGAACATTTAGCTAAACAGCTGGTTTATTTGTTTCCTTTTGCACCTATTTCTACCAGATAAGTTTAACTGTTGAACATTTTTTAAATATCATACGAAATACCATGCTAGGCTAGGAATTTGTTGTGGATGGCGGCACTAAGAGAAAATTCGTTGATATCCATGGTTGAGATTAACGCATCAACTTCAAATGTTAAAAATATTTCTAATATAGCTGAGATTCCCTAATTAATCTCTAAAGATCTGTCATCCATGAATATACCTGAACTTCTTTGCATTCTCAGCTGATACCACTTCTTCCTTAGGTTTGCTCCCTGCTCTTTGAAATAAGACTGCTTTCATTTTTACCCAAATTGATTTTTGTTGACTGAATTCACCCATTTGGTCATCTCAACTTGTATTGTTTTTGTTTTTGACATGGCATCTCACTCTGTCATCCAGGCTGGAGTGCAGTGGCACGATCACGGCTCACTGCAGCCTCCACTTCCCAGGCTCAAGTGATCTTCCTGCTTCAGCCTCCTCAGTACCTGGGATTACAGATGCATACCATCGTGCCTGGCTAATTTTTTGTTTTTTAGTAGAGACGGGGTCTCCCTATGTTGCCCAGGCTGCTCTTGAATTCCTGGGCTCAAGGGATCCTCCCACATTGGCCTCCCAAAATGCTAGCATTACAGGTGTGAGCCACCTCATCTGGCCTAAACTGGTTGTTTTAGAATTAGGTGGACACACGTGAGTGTTAAAAATTCAGTTAATTTTTAAAAATTTTGCAAATAAAAATTATCTAAAAGTCAGAACTTGAAAAGACAGTTATAGTACCACATTTATTTTGGAGTAGTAAGTAAATAGTAGTGGACATAATATAATAAAGTCAAAAACCAAATTTTAAAATTAGAGCTCTTTCCTATTTTAGTTGAGGGTTGTTGGTTTTTTTTTTTTTTCCCCCCTAGCAGAGCACTGGTCACTGGTCTCTGGAGTTAAATTGGAGGTGGGGTTGGGGGACCTGAGTTGATGCATTCATGCATCCATCGATCCATCCATCCATTGATCCAAATCTTTTTTTTCTTTTTTTTTTTTTTTTGAGATGGAGTCTCGCTTTCTCACCCAGGTGGAGTGCGGTGGCACAATCTCGGCTTACTGCAACCTCCGCCTCTCGGGTTCAAGTGATTCTCCTGCCTCAGCCTCCGGAGTAGCTGGAACTACAGGCGCCCACCACCATGCCTGGCTAATTTTTGTATTTCAGTAGAGACAGGGTTTCACCATATTGGCCAGGGTGGTCTCAAACTCCTGACTTTGTGATCCTCCCACCTCGGCCTCCCATAGTGCTGGGATTACAGGCTTGAGCCACTGTGCCCGGCCCATCCATCCAAATCTTTACTGAGTACTTACTGTATACCAAGTGCCACATCAAGTGCTGGGGATAAAGATAAATAAAAATCTGATCCCTGTTTCCAGATGGCTCACAGCTGCTGTAGTCCTTCAGAGAAATTTAAGCTCATCTAGGCCCCTCCAGGCTGTGGACTTCAGAGGAAGCATTTTTCTTTGGGGTGGCCTTATGGCAGTGTTTCTCAAACCTGGCTATATTATTATTATTATTATTTTGAGATGGAGTCTTACTCTGTTGCTCAGGCTGGAGTGCAGTGCGATAGCTCACTGCAACCTCTGCCTCCCAGGTTCAAGTGATTTTCCTGCCTCAGCCTCCCGAGTAGCTGGGACGACAGGCGTGAGCCACCACGCCTGGCTAGTTTTTTTATTTTTAGTAGAGACGGGGTTTTCCCATGTTGGCCAGACTGGTCTTGAACTCCTGACCTCAAGTGATCCACCCGCCTTGGCCTCCCAAAGTGTTGGGATTACAGGTGTGAGCCACCATGCCTGGCCAAACCTGACTATATTAGAATAACTTGAAAGCTTTTAAATCATCTCAATGTTTAGGTTTCACTTCATGCTAATTAAATCGGAATCTCTGGCGGGGGTGGGCGGTGGGGAGGGAGCCAGATTCCAAGTATTTTAAGATCTCTCCAGATACAAGGTGTAGCCAGAGGGAAGAACACTGCTCTCCAGGTGTTGTAAAGTTGTAGAACCAGAAGAACAAGCCCCAGACTACAATTGACTTGAGGGGCAGCACTGCCCGTACCCTGGAGGCCATGGGACCACCTTGTCCATGACTCTCTGTTTGTTGGTTTAACACCTGTTGACTGATGAGAGCTTGAGCTATGGGCAGGATCCTTCAGGTGAGAGACACAGGCCTAGTGAGCTGAGGAGCTCCAGGACCCTGTGCAGAAGGGAAGTTCCTACATTGTCTTTCTTCCTGACACCCCATACCCTTCTTCATTAATGCCAAATTTCACCCCACAGCGTTCTCAAGACTCAGATTAATTATGTTCAGTTCCCCCATACTAGCAAGGATAGCTCAGGCTTAGGGCAGAGTGAGGTGGTGATGGTGCAGCCTGGTCACAGTAAATGGTCTCAAACAGCACATTCTGATCAACTCTGCTGTGATGGGAGGGAAGGTCAGTATCTTCTATGATATAATCCACTGAGATGATGTTTCCTGCTTTCTTTTTTTTTCTTTTTTTGGGATGGAGTGTTGCTCTGTCACCCAGGCTGGAGTGCAGTGGTGCAATCTTGGCTCACTGCAACCGCTGCCTCCTGGGTTCAAGCAATTCTAGTGGCTCAACCTCCCAAGTAGCTAGGATTACAGGCCCGCACCACCACACCCGGCTAACTTCTTATATTTTGTGTAGAGATGGGGTTTCACCATGTTGGCCAGGCTGGTCTCGAACTCCCAACCTCAGGTGATCCACCCGCCTCGGCCTCCCAAAGTGCTGGGATTAGAGGTTTGAGCCACCGTGCCTGGCCCCTGCTTTCTTTTATAACTTGGCTAGAGAGGCAAATTGAACCATTTGCATCATCATGCCAGAGAAACCAGTTTTAAGGTCTTCATACAAGGTTCCAAATGGTCTATTCTAAAAGTTACTTGTGCTAGTTTTAGGTTAGAGGGTTTAAACAAAATCAGAGTATTAGCTTTTGTTTTGCTCAACAAAAAGGGAAAGAGAGGCAGGCAGAAAGTCAGGCAGGCTGGAATGCCTATTGGAAACTCCTGGATCTGCAGGTTTCCCCTGAAATCTGGGTGATAAACTAACTCCTGTTGTTTTCCGTTGATCCTAGAGATGGTCTCGAGGACTAGAACAAAAGGTCCAAAGCAGTTTTTGCATAGACTTGAAGTGGTAATTATGCTTTTGAGAGAGAAGCACAATAGGCTCAGGCTGTGGGCTTGCCCACGTGGTGTGAGAGGGACAAGAGCACAGGCTCCCTTTGTAGTCCATTCCTATTGCTCTACTTAGAGCAGGTGCTCCGGGAGGCCCTGAAGGAAATAAGCACTTGGCTAAAGCCTGGCCAGGGTAACCACACTTATTTTTCAAACTGAGAACCCATACCAATCATCTTTTCTAATTTTGGGAGTGCAGACACGTATGAAGCTTTTTGTGAAAATGATCCTGTTTATAATACTGCATTTTTTTCAGAGTCATTGGTGTAGTTAACTGATTCAATCAACAAGAATTTATTGAGAAGGAGTCTCACTCATTTACTCCACAAACATCTACTAAAGTTCTTCTAGGTATAGGTTCTGTGCTGAGTGTTTAAGAGATACAGACACAAACATGATTCCTACTCTACCAGAAACTTAACAGTCTAGAAGGTGAGACAGACTCTGAAGCAGCTACCCAAATGCACTGTGGAAAAGTGCATAGTTCCAGGCTTGGACAAACATATGCACTTAGGGATCCCAGAGGAAAGGGTAATAAACTGCCTGGGGACTAGGGAGGGCTTCGCTGAAGAGCTGATGGCTGGGAGAGTCAATAGAGTTTCCATCAAAGAAAGAAACAGCAGAACCACAGGTGTGTGGGTGGGGGATCTTACCTAAGTTTTGGGGCTGAGGGAGTGGTCGGGGAAGAGACCAGTGTATTAAGACCTTGTGGGCCATGCTGTGGGGTGTGAAGTTTATCTGTCAACAGGGCCTCGGGGTTGTTTTCGGCATGACTGCTACAGAATCATATCTTGTTTCAGAAAGGCTGGCATGCAGTGCAGAGGAAAGATTTAGGAGTAGATTATAGACACAGGGAAGTTGGGAGGAGGTAAGGGTTGCTGAGCAAAGGCAGTGGCAGAGAGAGAGAGGCAAGAGATGGGTGAGCGAATTCAGGGGAGGTGCCCCTAAGTGATGACAGATTCTCTATGGGCATGAGGGAAAGGGAGGGAATGGGACAAGGTCAGGTGCTCTGGCTGTGGTGGATAGGTGGGCAATGGTGCCATTAGCCGAGATAGCCTGGGATCTTCTCATCACTCATCCTTTTAAAGTCTGTTTCCCAGTCCTGGCCACATGTTAGCATCATTAAAGCTTCAAACACATACCCATATTTGGGCCCCATCCCCTACTAATCGGGCTCTATGAAGATGAGGCTCAGGTGTTGATGTTTATAAAGGCTCATGCAGCCGGGGTTGAGAACTACTGACGTGATCCCCTAGGCAGAGATCATTCCTCCCTGCTCTGCATATGCCTTTGTCTTCCAGACCTCTGTTATTGCTCTCCCATGAGTATTTATTTATTTATTTATTTATTTATGAGACGGAGTCTCGCTCTGCCACCCAGGCTGGAGTGCAATGGCACCATCTTGGCTCACTGCAACCTCCACCTCCTGTGTTCAAGAGATTTTTCTGCCTCAGCCTCCCAAGTAGCTGGGACTACAGGTGCGCACCACCACGCCTGGCTAATTTTCGTGTTTTTAGTAGAGATGGGGTTTCGCCATATTGGCCAGGCTGGTCTCAAACTCCTGACCTCGTGACCTGCCCAGTTTGGCCTCCCAAAGTGCTGGGATTATAGGCATGAGCCACTGCGTCCGGCCTCCCATGAGTATTTATTAGCAGTGGAGCTCACCAAGAACAATGACAAGAATGGACATTTCCAGGGAAACTGGCTGGACCTGATCTTGGCCTTCAGGAATTCTTTTGTAAAACCGTCATATCACCAGGCCCACAGAGGACAACATTTTACAGGCATTTCAGTCAATTACACAGTGATAATTCACTGAACAAATCCTTTGGGATCACAGCTGCTTTATTGAGATCAGGTCTGTGCACAAAGAGGAGGCCCAGGGAAAACACAGTGGGGCTGTGTCAGGTGGCGTCCAGAGGGCATGGTGCAGCTGTGGGCCTGGCTTGGGGCAGGACATTTCTGGGATTACAGGGCCCTGCCCCAAGCTTCTCCGTTGAGGGGGTAGGGAGGGCAATGCAGAGAGTGAGAGGGTGCCAGGGCAGGCTATAAGCTAATTTGCCTCTTGAGAAGTAGGGTAATAATAAGGTTGGAGCAGAGAGGAAATCTTTGTCCTAAGGCAGTGCTTCTCAAACTTTTGTGGGCCCAGGAATCACCTTGTTAAAATGTGGATTTTGACTGAGCAAGTGGGATCTGGAATACTGTGTTTCTAACAAGTGCTGATGTGACGCCAATGCATCTGGCCCAAGGAATACGCTTAGAATAGCAGGATCCCAGAATGCATCTCTATTTTTCTATATGACTTTTAGATCAGTTGTGTATTTAGAGAACATAAAGTTTTTAAAAAGCTCTTTAAAATTTTATCCTTTTCAAGATTGTCTCGGAAAACTTTGCATTATTTGAAAAGATACTTCGAAAATGGAAACTGAATGAATAGCACTGGAGTGCAGTGGCGAGGTCTCAGCTCACTGCAACCTCTACCTCCCAGGCTCAAGCCATCCTCCCACCTCAGCCTCCCAAGTAGCTGGGACCACAGCACGTGCCATCACACCTGGTTAATTTTTTGTATTTTTGGTAGAGATGAGGTTTTGCCGTGTTGCTCAGGCTGGTCTCGAACTTCTCAGCTCAGGCAACCCACCCGCCTTGGCCTTCCGAGTGCTGGGATTATAGGTATAAGCTACCTACCGCACCTGGCAAGAACATATAAACTAGTCTACTATGTTCTAATTATAAAACTTTTTTTTAAATTTTTTTTCCTTCCTGGGAATTTGAGGGATCAGGATTGACCTTTTTTACTGGGGAAATCACCTGTGATTTCTGGAAAGGTGGGGAGGGCTGCTGGTCCCTTAATGTCCCTTCTAACCAGCTTGTCAATGCTTAGTATTCCTTTGACAGTGGGCAGGTCTTTCATTTTGCAACAAAGGTTTGCCTGAGGCACTAGCTCACAGACTTCATTCATACTAAGGTGTGAATGACAGCAGAGGAGCTTAGGCTTTGTTGGGGTGATAGAGAGAGAAAGAGAAAGGAAGAAAGAGAAAGACAGCTGAAGACAAATGAGGATGCTGGTTAGCCAGAGGAGGTGTATATGGTGGCACAGAATTATTAAGGGGAATGAGAGTGGTGGAGGAGCAATTAAATATATCTACCTCTAACTTCCCAATTTTTCGACTTTTCTCTTTTTTTCTTCTGCCCTGTCATCAGCACGTTGGTTGCTCTCTCCTCCTCCACTCTGTCATCCTCTTGCTATTCTTTCCCTTCGGCCCTCTAACAGTTCAGTTTCAGGTGTAAAATATTTTGGTTCAGGAGGGACTGGATATCAACTAGACCTAAGATTTTGTGATTTACATTCCCCGTCCTAAGAAAAGGAATTATGTTGAGTGAACAATGACCAAAGCTGGACAGTTCCCCCTGGTGGTCAGCACTGCGACAACACGATTTTCCTCTATCTTTTATTCATTAATTGGTGAATTTGAAAATAATCTGTTAAGCCCCAAACATGACAGACATTGTGCTAAGGACAGACATGACACCTGTCCCTGTGGGGCAGAAAGTCTGAAGAGGGAGTGTGTTACTAAACATTGTAGAGCATTTAGCATTTTCAAAAGCCTTAAAAAATAAGCCAGAAAACTTGAAAGGAAAAAGGCTTTTACCATTTTTAAAGAAAAGCAGGTAGAAAGGTTTTGTTTCTGACATTTTTTGTACCACTAAGTCTTCAATTTGGGTTTAGTTCTTCAATTTTCATCGTAAAATTTCCCCAAATAATTTTTTCTTATAAAGTGTGAGTATCAAATCAGATCATGTGTAGTATAATTTTTAACTCCGAATGTGTAACATTCACAGTCCCTTTATTAGCAAAATTATAGTAATTAAATAATACTGGCTTTATAATTGAATAGCACTTTGCAAAATAATATGTCTGGCTCATCTATATTGCTATAGAATACTACTGCCCCAGTGCTGTATGCATATGAACTGGTTAATCCTCACAACAGCCCTTATAAGGTTCAGGTTATCCTCATTATCCACATTTTTAGATGAAGAAACTGAGGCTCAGAGAGATAAGCAATTTGTAACCCTAGCCTTAACCACTTTGCCATAACAAGACAGAAGAATGCCTGCAGTAAGTGTAAATGAACTTACTGTATCCTCACTGCAGACAGAGGACTAAAAAGAGTAATGGGGTTTGCAATCTTTCTGGGTGTGTGTGTATGAGAATGAAGTTATCACTTGCCTCCAGTGATCAGGTTGTTAAGAGCACCTCAGAGGCCACTGTTGTCCTACCCTTCCTGTAAGTGGTAGAGATGGCTAATGAGCATCTGTTGGTTAACTGATTGATGATTTCTCAAGGCTTTTTACAGCCTTAGAATTCTATTAGTCACTCTACAAGAAACAGGTTGTATGGAACGAAAGGTAATTTATCTTTTAAGAATTAAGTGAAATCCTTTAAACTCTTGTTTTTGTGCCTAAAGCTATATTCTGATGGAAATGCTCTTTCTCTAGCTATGTCAGTGGTACAGTAATTTAATCTGGTTCTTGAAATTACTCTTTATCTCATACATTTATTTAAGTAAAGATAGCCACATTAGATATGGAGATGCTATGAACAATGCAACAGAATCATGGAATGTTTGTAAAGCTGCTGCAGTGATTACAATGAAAATATTGATCATTTCCTTATAACACACACACACACACACACACACTATATGACCCCCATCTAAAATCTTTGAAATATATCCAGTATCTCTGGGTCTGGCACTGAACCTGGCCTGGCATAGCACAGATGCTCAATAAGTGACAAATTGAGTGAAAACCAATATTAGATTAAAATATTAAAGGCCAATATGCCCATTTCTACTCTGTATAGCTGTTCCAGTCAAAGTATTTTGGAAGGATGAGTGAGAATTACAGTAGGGAAAAATAATTTGTTCCACTGAAAAAAGAATTCTTGGCCTGGAACATTTTCTGAAAGTTAAGTTTAACTTTTAAAAATCAGAATTTTAAAATAATGCGACTTAATTTGGGCTGAAGTTTATTTTTGAGTTATCTGTAAATAGATGGTAAGGAAATGAATAAATTAATAATTATAAGATGTTACTCAGTCTAAGAGAAAGAGGCTTGTACAGGTCTTGAGCACATTGTAGCCAAATAATTATGTTTAATATAAATATTACTCATATCTTTTAATTAAGGAAAACAATTAAGTTTAAGCATATTACTATATTGTTTAATATAAATTAAACATTAATATTAAAAATATTGCTTAAAATAAATATTTAGCAAATTATATTAGTATAATATAGTAATTATATTGTTATATACTAATATAATTTGCTAAATATAGTAATATTTCTAATTAATATTAGTAATATTTCTAATTGAAAACATTTTTAGGAGTTCATCTGTGCCTGCATATAGTAATATATTTTTTATTTTTATATTTTTGCCATTCTTATTCAAAATAGTAATGAAGTTGTACTTGTTTTTAAAGCTAGTACTTAAAAATGGCAGACAGCTTTCCCCCTAGTTGGTGCAAAATTGTAGATTTTCATGGTATGTTGTTTAAATGGAATTTGCACTGCTGCAGTGCTAATGAAATTCCTTATTAAGGAGAGAGATGAGTGCCTTTTATGTTCAAGAGAAATGTTCAATGGCCATTAAAATACTTTGACTATTTGATTTTTTTTCCCTCGAGGTCTAGATCATCCCCATTGTCTGTCATACAAATTAGAGCTTGGATCAGACCAAGAAATTCCCTCTGATTGGTATCCATTTGCTACTGTTCAGTTTTCCGTGCCTGACACCTGTGCCTCAAGGACAGAGGTCAGGTCTCTGGGAGTGGAGAGTGATGTCCAGCCACAGAAACATGTTCAGCAGCGAGCTTGCTACAACATCCAGGTACATCCCAAAACTTCTAGAACTGTGACCTGATTTGGCTTTAAATATTTGTTTTGCTGTCTTTTGTGATCGTGTATGTGTTGTGTGTGTGTGTATATGTGTGGTGAGATTTGCCCTAGAGAGGATCTCAGCTATGGAAACTTGATGGCCACCATTGAGCTTAGTTCTTCCTATCCATTCTGGAGAATGTTGGGAACACTTAATAATTTAGCTCTCAATGAAAAACAGGACATTAAAAATGAATCTACATTTTAGAAGCATATTTATAATAAAAATTATGATGTTAGGACACCATTTCTCAAAATATGTGCTGCAGAACATGTGTCCCATATAATTATCCAACAAAAGAATAAGTTGGGGAATGCCGTATACTAAATTAATGTTAAATAAAGGCTCCCAAGAAGTCCTGCAATAAGGAAACTTGTTAAACTTAGTTAACCCAGTTTTTCCCAACTCATTGGCTATTGTGTCTTGTCTTTGTGGGTATGTGTATGTAAAACACTTATCCCTATCTTGTGGAATAGTGTTCTGTGGAGCATGCTTTAGGAAATGCTGAGTTACTCTATTATGGTAGTTTTCAGTTTTTTTTTTTTTAAGACGGCATCTCACTCTGTCACCCAGGCTGGAGTGCAGTGGCATTATCTTGGCTCACTGCAACCTCCGCCTCCTGGGTCCAAGCGATTCTCCTGCCTCAGCCTCTCAAGTAACTGGGATTACAGCCACCCACCACCACACCCAGCTATTATTATTATTATTATTATTATTATTATTATTATTCTATTTTTAGTAGAGATGGGGTTTTGCCATGTTGGCCAGGCTGGTCTCAAACTCCCGACCTTAGGTAATCTGACCCTCTCGGCCTCCCCAAGTGCTGGGATTACAGGCGTAAGCCACCATGCCTAGCCTATTGGTAGCTTAAAGTTTTATTTTAAATTTTTAAATAGAGATGGGATCTCACTATGTTGGTCAGGCTGGTCTCAAATTCCTGGTCTCAAGTGATCCTCCTGCCTCGGCCTCCCAAAGTGCTGGGATTACAAGCGTGAGCCACCGTATCCAGCCTGGTATTATGGTAGTTTTAAATGTTTGCCATCAGCTCTTCTGCATTCTTAGGCAGATGAACTAAAGGAGGACATACACTTACATCTGTTTCTAAACTTGTTTTCCCTTCTTATCCTCAAGTTTAGTAGATATATGGATGTCTCCTGCCACATATTTCCCACAGTATCTTGAAATGGTGATGCATCTTGCTGATTTTGTTTAAAAGGTTTTCTTTATTTTGAGACAGAGTCTTGCTCTGTTGCCCAGGTTGGAGTGCAGTGGCATGGTCTCGGCTCACTGCAACCTCCGCTTCCTAGGTTCAAGTAATTCTCCTGCCTCAGCCTCCCGAGTAGCTGGGATTACAGGTGCCTGCCACCACGCCTGGCTAATTTTTTGTGTTTATAGTAGAGATGGGGTTTCACCATGTTGGCCAGGCTGGTCTCGAACTCCTGACCTTGTGATCTGTCTGCCTCGGCCTCCCAAAGTGCTGGGATTAGAGGTGTGAGCCACCACACCTGGCCTAAAAGTATTTTTAACTAGAAAATATTTCAAAAATCACAAAAATTAAATAGTGCATTACAGACAGGTGGTTCAGTTTAGAATGTATGTTTCCCTTCTGTCTTTCACATGAGCAACATTTTATAATTTCTAATAGCATTTATTTTATTTTTAAAAATTTAAATTTTGCCTGTTACACAGCCCTCAGGAGGTCCTGAGAACATGTGCCTCTCAAATAGCATTTTAAAATCTATGTGTTGCTTGACTTGCAGCAAAGATTAATGCCATTCTGATTTTCTACTAATTTATTTCTATTAAAAATAGTGATATTATACATGACATCGCTAATATCAACTGGGTTTCCTATACTATAGTAATGTGAGTCAGGATTTTTCTTTATTTTGGACTATCTGTTTAGAAGTCTATGTTTGGGTCCAGTTATCTTTTTCTACTGATAAAAGTAATGATAGGTAGTGCTGTCCTGTGCAGCCCCTTCAGACCTGAAGGATGTATTTCCCCAGCAGGTGGGAATTGCCGCCGCTGAAGATAGCTGCCTTTCCTGAGGTCATGCCTCCTTCCTGGAATCTATGCAGGGGTGTATAGGCCCCTTTGCATCAACTTGGGCTAACGCTGTAGGTCAGCCCAGCTTCAGCTCTCCAGGGCATGGACAGAAGCCTTCATTCTGACTACATTGCATCCCAGCTTCTCTCTCTGCCCATTTAGCTTCATTTCCTGCCTCACTCCCCCATGAATGTTGAACTCAACGGCACTCTCCAGTAAACTTTCTGCACACAGATCTCCATCTCAGAGTTTATTTCTTGGGGAACCTGACCTATAACACTAGGTATATATATATTATGTGTGACTGAAATGTGGGTCAAGTGGCATGGAGACTGTGTTTATACTTATTTTCCTATTCACAGGGCATGCCAGGTTCATGCAATTTTAGTGGACAATTAAAAATTACTTTACAAAGTATCTCTTGCTTTAGTAGCATTTACTAGTTGATGTGCACCTGGTGGCAGTTTCAAAATGTTTTCTTCCATTTAGTAATTATCTGTTGCCAGATACTGCTCCACATGCAGGGACACAGCAGTGTGAACAGAGAGACAAAGTCCCTGTCCTCATGGAGCATAGTTTCTAGTGGGGGTAAACGAAAAATAGTTAGTAGATAAATAAATAAATAAATATGATTTCAACTAATAACAAATTCCAAGAAGGTAATAAAATAGGGTAACGGGATAGAGAGTGACTGGAGGGCTTTATCAGGGGTAGTCCTGGAGGACCTCCAGGAGGATGTGACATTTGAGCTGAGACAAAAATGATGAAGAGCAGATGGTTTACTATTAGGTTGCTGCAAAAGTAATCACGGTTTTTGCCATTAGTTTTGCAGCAACCTAATAGTTTGTAAGATGGCTTGTTTCAATTAGATAATTTTGGGTGCATTATAAATCTTAAGGGGGCCAATGGCTAGATACATGATACAGCCATATATTCAGGTAGAGGGATAATTGATCATATGTCTAGTCAGATCTGTAAATTTTTTTTCAGTATACATATTCTGTATACATTTTATAAAAACTACGTTTGACTTAGAAGACAGTTTTGGTGCTCTTGAAGACTTGACCCTGGCGGGGAGGATTTGAGGGGCTCTGTTGTTCAAAAGGAGAGCAGAGCGCCTCACTTGGAAGCTACTGTAGGAGGGTAGAGGGCTGTGTCTGTGTCCAAAGGGTGAGGTTTGTGCAGTCTGTGCCACATGTATAAAATAGGACTGAAGAGGTGTGAGTGCTGTGTTGCATTTGTTAATGCTGCCTGTGTTTTGCTTTTGCATAACAGGTTGAAATAGAAAAGAAGTGGATTAAAATCGATGGAGAAGACCCAGATAAAATTGGTGACTGCATAACTCAGTAGGAGTAGCAAGAGTTTATGATGACAGCCCACTTGTCAAATATGTAATTCACCGAAACCACACCAAGTCCTGCTACTGTAGAGTGGAAATGACTTCTGAATAGCGGTTTTAGGACAGGTCTGATGGCTGTGTTTAGAGAAGTTTAGACCTAAAACCGAACAATCTGTATTTTTTGCTTTTCATGTGTTTTTGTCCTAGGGGTTCGATCTAAAATGTTTCTATAATTCGTGTGATGTTTTGCTTCCTATTGAAACTCAAAGGCACTGTTACTCGTTGTGTGACCCCGCAGCCAGTATGATTTTTGATTACTCAGTGGCTGACTGTTTTGCTCTCTGGATTACTGAGGTGCCGTCTTCATTTCTTCCCATCTCTTCTTGCTGCTTAGTGTCTGTACTAGAGGGTAAGGGAATCAAAGGAGACATAAACCAAAATAGTTAATTTTCCCTCTTTCTTGCCTCTGAAATGTGGCTAGGTGTAGAATGATGTTGAAACCACAGGCTAAAATGTAGATCTGGAAGTATCTGTGCTTTTGAATTACTTATTTACCTGTCCTCTTACCGTTGGTAAATAATAATTGGCTATATTTGGTACCTGTCTCTCTCCTACTGTATTGTCATTTTCAAAATGTGTTTGTTTTCTGGCGCGTGCTGCAAAGAAGCTATTTCTGTTGTCCTACATATTTTAGTATAAATCACTAAGACATATTTCCTTTCACTTGGCAGGATTCCTTTCAAAATGGAATCTGAGTATTAGACACTAGTTAACATATTTGTGTATATTAAATATGAATTTTTAAAATTTATAAATACTATTTTCCAAAAGTACAGACTCTAAGGACATATTTTGATAAAGTATTATTTGTAATGAACACAAGCCTCTCTTGAGTAGAAGTCTAAATCACATTATGATTATTTTATACTAGTTCTGCTATCATGCTGTTTTATGCTAATTCTGCTTATTTTAGAGTATTTTTCATTAAAAGGTGAGCAAAGTGAAAGATACTTGGTATTTTACCCAGATTTCTAAGTGGCAACATTTTTATTCTTCAGAGTCAGGTAAATGACTATAATAGTTTGGTTTCTAATGAAAAGTCAATAGCATTAGCAGTTATAATTCTGTTTATAATTTCCTTTCAGCATTTACAGTGAAAAGTGAGAATTTTAAAATTTATGAAATCTATATTCCAGGTATTGTTTTTAGTCTGAAAAACAAACTCCCCCATGTGGTATTAATATACCTTCAATTTATGTTGAGTCTTAAACATAATTAGGAGATATTTTTCTCTATTTGCTAGATTTGTTTTGAGTCAAAACTGATTTAGTGTTCTTCCAAACAACATTTATGTGTTGGCCTACAGAGTTTATTTCATGTGTTTTTTTTAATATTTAATATTATATTACATTCATTGAAATCTGTTCAAAAACAGATTAAGACAAACATTTATGATGGTCTGTATCAATCAGCAGATTTTATTGCTTTTCATTATTTTACTGTAAAGGCAAAGAATGCAATAGGTGATGGTTGGTTGAAAGGAATTGTTATTGCTGTTTTTATTTTTTACTTTTTTTGAGACAGAGTCTCACTCTGTTGCCCAGCCTGGAGTGCAGTGTGTCATCTTGGCTCACTGCAACCTCCGCCTCCTGGGTTCAAGGGATTCTCCTGCCTCAGCCTCCAACTAGCTGGGATTACAGGCACAAGCCACCATGCCTGGCTAAAATTCTTTTGTATTTTTACTACAGACGGAGTTTCCCCATGTTGGCCGGGCTAGTCTCGAACTCCTGACCTCAGGTGATCCACCAGCCTCGGCCTCCCAAAGTTCTGGGATTAAATGCGTGAGCCACCATGCCCGGCCGCTATTGCTCTTTTTAACTTCATTTGATGCCTTGCTTATAATATCATATGCTTGAGGCTCACTGTTGATGTAGAGTAGGGCAAATCTGTGTGTGTATGTCATTAAAAAAATTCTACCATCTTTCTTTATCATCTGGTGTGGGCGCACTCTACAGTGACTTCAGTCTGCTCAGAACGAATGTGGAGGCCGGCCGAAACTGATGCTGCCCACAGTCCCAGTGAAGTTAGGTGGGTTAATTACTGCCATTCCTTTCTAAGTGTGTTTTATGGCATCCTGCCCACAAAGAACTCACAGTCTGATTAGGATGAACTTAATGACTATTTACACCTCAAAATATATTCAGCAAAGGGTTCACTTAGTTGCCCCTCATGCTTCACAGGTTGACTAGTATCTGTGGGTACCTCCCTGCCCAGGTTATTCACTCACAAGCCACCGGGCCTTCAGGACATCTCAAGATTCAGTCTTGACAATATAATAGCAAAAGCTGGACTAAAGCCCAAATGGATTGTCTGTGGCAATGCAGAAGCTGATAGCATTAACAGCAGGGTGTTACAGCATAATTGTTAATTCGCACATCTATTAGGATCCTTAAATATTCATTACTTAATGTTAAATTAACATTCTGTGTAGGGAGGGGAGGCTTATTCAATTCTTCTGACCTCAGAACTGGCAGAAGGTCAGATGTGACTACAGAACTCTAGGTGAAAAATCAGGTAGGGTTCAAATTAAGTAGAACTGCCCTTGCCGGAATAGTGATCTTCAAAAAACCCTTGCTTTTAGGGGAGGGAAGCGGGGAAGGAAAGGAATGAGGGAGGAAATATTCCTTTCTAGCATTCATTTTGCTTAGATCACTCCATTGTGAGTTTGACCATTTTGGAGTCAAATGAGCAGACTTCCAAGGAGTTGACCAGTTTGTGACTAGTCTGGTCACCTTTCCAGTTACAGGATCATATTAACTGTGTAAATGAATTCATGGGTAGATGATTTGTGCAGATCTGAATTTAAGAACATTTCCTTTTTCTGTGGGAATCACAAGAGTTTATCCACTAAAAAAAGATATGTAAAAAAGATACTTTCCAGCACATAAATAAAGGCTGGAATTTTACAACCTGATGTATATATTAGACAGTTCTAGGATGTTAGTTCCCTTCATTCCAGAGCTATGCTTGTGATACAGCCCCTTTTCTTATAAAGTCAGTTAGAAGGACTTCCTTAACAATGACTATTATAATGTCTTACTTAAAATACAGTTTTGTATTCTGTCAATGCAAATATAAGACAGGTTGAGCCTTAATCATGTAACAAAATATTTTGTAGATTACATATTGATTTTTCAAAAATTAAAAATGTATTTCAAACTATTCTTACTGTGCTGTGAATTTATATCTTCTTCTGCAAGACCTGGGGCTATTTTTTTTTCTTAAGGTATGAAATCAATTTCAATAACCTTAAACAATTGACCCTCTGTCAGGCATATGTCAGGCTCCACTCTTAAGGAGTCAGTGACCATGACCTCTTTGCATATCCTGGAAAAATGACATCATCAAAGTATAGTTGATAATGTTATAAAGGATGATTTTAAAAATAGGGTATAATCATGACTCACAAAGATATGAGGCTGGGTGTGGTGGCTCACGCCTGTAATCCCAGCTCTTTGGGAGGCTGAAGCGGGTGGATCATGAGGTCAGAAGATCAAGACCATACTGGCTAACACGGTGAAACCCCGTCTCTACTAAAAATACAAAAAAAAAAAAAAAAAAAAAAAAAAAATTAGTTGGGCGTGGTGGCGGGCGCCTATAGTCCCAGCTACTGGGGAGGCTGAGGCAGGAGAATGGTGTGAACCCGGGAGGCGGAGCTTGCAGTGAGCAGAGATTGCGCCACTGCACTCCAGTCTGGGCAACAGAGTGAGACTCCATCTCAAAAAAAAAAAAAAAAAAAAAAAAAGAAATATATGAAATGAATACATGCATAAGATTACCACTATTCAAAGCCTTTCACAATTTTTCCTTGAAAACAGGAAAAACTTTGTCCACAGAATTCCATGGAATTTTCAACCTTTGGCAACTTGTAGAGTAGTCCTGTAGAATTAATGTGCACCTAAAAGCCACATTTTTAAAGTTTAGAAAACCAGTTTTACAAAATTGCACAGAATATATATCAGGTAAGATATACGTGTGGGTGGTAGGGAGTTGGGGGAGAGTGGAGGAGAGTTGTGCGGGAGTGGAGGGAGGCTGTAGGAGATATGAAGGGAATCAGTGCTTATAAAGGACGAACCTAACAACCTCTCCACCCTCCTTTTTATAAGAAATCTGCCTTGTGTTGAAATTAAATTTTTATTGAGCTACTAAAGTTAATATTTCAAAAAGGCATCAGTACTTCATAGAAGACAGAGCATGAAGCACCATTTTAGCCACTGCTAGCACTCACAAGGCTTGGCCCTAGTTCTTCAGGAACAGCAAAAGGATTGACTGGCAAAAACTGACCATATTTGTAACAACAGTCCTCAAAATCCCATCAATCAATTCTTCCCTGTTTTGTCTCAACTCTGGCTAGACTGTCCCACCGCTTTTGTGTAGACACAGGGTAGATTTTGATGTTGTCTCTCCTAGACCCTCCCCATCCTCTGCAACTACTGTATTCCAAGGAACTTATACCCTTAGCCAGGGCCCTAAAACACAGGGTTATGTGTATTCTGTTGAATCATATGTAATCGCCAATATTTACCTTTCTTGATGGGAATTTCACGGGCTCAATCTAATTATCCACATATTTCCCTAGGTCATATGATACAAGCACTTTTTGTTATCCTGCTTAGAAATGGCAATGAAATATGAATTTGACTAATTTTTAAAGCAAGACAGAGTTGCTAGTCAAGAAGCAAATAGTTGAATTACAAAAATCCATAGATACAAGCTACAGATAATATTGTGCCTTTAAAATCATCTGTAAGGAATGTAATCATTTTCCTCTGTAAGGAAAAGGAAAACTGATTAGATTAATTGCCCCAAGTTTTAAAATATTTCAGTTCATTTCCGTGAGACTTCCTGGGGAAGAAAGGCACAGCATCATTAGACTCTGGGTTTTGCTGCTTACCCTTCATGTATCTGCACTCGCACAGCCTTCCAAACTTCAGAGGGAAGAGTGGCTTCTTTAAATAATATGACTGTGCGTGTTGACATTTTCCTGAGAAGTCCCTTTTGTAGAATCCAGAATTGTGAACTCCATGAAATGTAATTTGCAGTACATTCTTTAAACAGAAGAGGGTGCTCTCGGGCAAGCTGATGCTACCCAGCTCTAGAAATATAAGCATTTAAATTTGGTGGTGCTTGTATTATGATTAGTGCAAGATCTTGGGGGCATTTAATAAAGCATTTCAAAGCATTGTGAGTCCAGTGGAGTATAATTAAAATTAATGCAATAGACAAACACATTAAAGTATTCTTAATGCCTAGTCTAAAAATGCTGTCAAATACAGTTTTACACATCCGAAAGATTTAAATACTATGCTTGTCTCTGAACATTTCTAACTGTTACAGAGAAAGAAAAACAGTGTCTTCCTTCTCCACAGGTTTCAAACAAAATTTTTCTAATGAGAGTTAATAAAATCTTCTTTCTTTAAAAGATTTATAAGATATTATAATTAATTCATCCTGCTTTGGCATGTGTCAAGGTCAATGTGGTCTCTAAAAATCTCCAGTCCAGGATTGTACTTTCAGCTTCTTAGGTAAGAACAAGCAAAGATATATGCTTTCAGGAGAATATTTCATGCTGCCTTGACTCAGGGACAAGCCTTGGTTCTGTTTCAGTCCTCAGAAAGGAGTAATGAATATTGTTCTTTTCAAGATGGGCTCTGTATTTCTCTCAGAAATCTCCCTGGGTGGATGTTGTTGTTTTTTGTAAAGCCAGTTAGGACACTCTCTTTCCAAAAGTCTTATATCATGAGTAGTCTATGAGTGTAGCTGTACGCACGCAGCATTCCCAAAGCCTTCTGAAGTACAGAAGGCTTCCTAAAGACATTGGCTGCCAGTTTGGCACTCTGAGTCACCTCAAAATGCTATGTGACCTTCGTTCCAAATAATCATCTTGCTGATCATTCTAATTTTCTTAAGTGCTTACTATATGTCTGCATTTTTCTAGGTACTAGGGACAAGTAATTACAAAAACAGTTAATTCCTGCTGTTATAGAGAGCATATAATAGTGGGGGAAGTCAGGCAATAAATATCAAGTTGTGATTATTGCTATGCAGAAAAATAAAGCAGGGTAAAACAATAAAGAGTGGTAGAAGCGTGCCATTTTAGATAGGTTGGTAAGGGACGTTCTCTTTGATGAGATGACATTCTAGCAGCGAGACCTGAAAGAAATGAGGTAGAGTGCCACTCAGATCCCCAGGGAAGAGTGTGTCCAGCAGAGGGCTCTGCTAGTGCATAGGTGCGGGACTCGGGGTGCTAACCCGTCAGAGGAACATCACAGAGGACAGATGGCTGCTGGATGGCCATATCGGAGTGAGCAAGGGGGTGGGATGGAGGTGGAAAGAGATCAGAGAGATTGTGGGGAGGTGGGGGAGGCAGACCACCTAGGGTTTTGTGGGCCATGGATTTTACTCTGAGTGAGATGGGAGCCCCTGGAAGGCTTTGTGTAGAGGAGGGGTAGAACTTTGTTACATGTTAAGATGATCGTGTGGACATAAAAAGGAGGTAGAGGCAGAAGCAAAGAAAGTAGTTAAGAGTCTATTGCAGTATCTCAGGTGTCTTAGTCCTTTCTTGCTGCTATACCTGAGACTGAGGGATAGCAGAAATTTCTCACAACACAAATTTCTCACAATCTTGGAGGCTGGGAGGTCCAAGATCAAGGTGCCAATAGATTCAGTGTCTGGTGAGTGCCTGTCTGTTTCTTATAGTAGGCACGTTCTTGCCGTGTCCTCACATGGCAGGAGGGGCAAAAGGGCTCCCTGAACCCTCTTTTATAAGGGCACTAATCCTGTTCATAAGGACAGAGCCTTCATACCTAATTACCTCCCAAAGGCCCCACCTTTCACTACCATCATCTTGGGGGTTAGGTTTCAATATATGAATTTTGCGTGGGACACAAACATTCAGATGATAGCATCAGGTGAGAGGTGACGGTGATTGAGAGTGGTGACAGGAGATGAAAAATGGTTGAATTCAGAACATATTTGAAATATGGAGCCAATAGTATATGCCGATGGATTAGATGTGGCGCGTGAGGGAAAGAAGGGAACCAAAACAACTGCCAGATTTTTGGCCTGAGCAACGAAAGAGTGGAGTTGATTTTATGGACGAGGGGAAGGGTGTTGTAGGAGCAGGTTTTGGGGAGAAAGATCAGGAATTCATGTTTGGATGTGTTAACTTTGAGATGCCTATTAGACGTCTAATGGAGACAGCAAGTAGCAATTGAATGTACAAGGCAGGAAAGAGGGCTGGGATAAAGATGCGCCTCTTAGAGATATCAGCGCTTTCAGCCATGGGACTAACTGGGATCACCTGGGAGTAAATATACACTAGGAGTGGGCTGAGAATTGAGCCCTTGGGCTCCCTGGAGTTTAGAGGTCAGGAAAATGAGGGCAATGTCATAAAGGACACTGAGGAAGAGTAGCTGGAGTAGAAGAAAAAAGAGAATGGCATTCATTCCAGGGGTCAAGTGAAAAAGGATGTAATGAGTTTCCTCAAATGCTGCTGCTAGAGTAAGATGAGGACTGAGAGTTGACTACTGAATCTAGCAACATGGAAATGGTGACCTTGACAGAAACAGTGTCACTGAAGTGAGAGCAATGGAAGCAAACTCAAGCAGGTTTGGACTCAGGGAGTAAATGGCTTTGTAGGGGAAGCAAAATTTCCTTCTACCCTCTTCAGTTCTGTTGTTGGTCCAAGAATTAAACTGACATAAGACAGATTAACAGGAGAAAAGCATACCAATTTTATTAATATTTTTACACGGACGTGGCAGTCTTCAAAAGGGAAATGAAGACCCTAGGAAGACAGTAGGCCGTGAAGCTTATATACATTTTCACGCAAAGAACAATAAATTATGGGGATGTGACAAGACAAAGGGGCTTGGGCTTGGGGCATTAAATTGTAGGACAGTGCCTAGGAAATACATGGGGGAAATTAACGAAAGACAGGGTCGTTTTGGTAGTTTGTTGTGGAAGTCCATTTCGGCATCAACTCCTAGTCTCTGGTGATAAGAATGTTCTCTTCCTAGTACAGGGAAGGCACCTTTTTCATGGAAAATTTTATGATCTGTTTTTAGGTAGAAATGAGGAGGTCAGAGAGCCTATGTTAGTTTGTTTTGCATCGCTGTAAAGGAATACCTGAGACTCAGTAATTTATAAAGAAAAGAGGTTTAATTGGCTCACAGTTTGGCAAGCTGCTCAAGCATGGAACCAGCATTTGCTTGGCTTCTGGCGAGGCCTCAGGAAGTTTTTACTCATGGCAGAAGGTGAAGCGGGAGCAGGCATGTCACATGGTGAGAAAGAAGCAGGAGCGAGAGGAGGAGCTTCCAGGCTCAGCTCTGCATGAATGAACAGAGTGAGAACTCACTCATTATCGCAGGGACAGCATGAAGACATTCATGAGGGATCTGCCCCCATGACCCAAACACCTCCCACTAGGCTCATCTCTAACACTGGAGGTCACAATGCAACATAAAATTTGGAGGGGAAACACATCCATACCATATCAGAGCCCTTCTGCATGAGCTGTTTCTCAAGTGCCTTCAGATTAAAATAATCAATATGCCAAAACAGCATATTTTGGGATGGCACGAATCCCTTCAGCCCCCTTTTTTTTTGGGAATAGAGTCTTGCTCTTGTTGCCCAGGCTGGAGTGCAGTGGTGCCATCTCAGTTCACTGCAACCTCCACCTCCCAGGTTCAAGTGATTCTTGTGCCTCAGCTTCTCAAGTAGCTGGGATTACAGGTGTGTGCCACCACTCCCGGCTAATTTTTGTATTTTTAGTAGAGACAGGGGTTCACCATATTGGCCAGGCTGGTCTCAAAACTCTTGACCTCAGGCGATCCACCCACCTCTGCCTCCCAAAGTGCTGGGATTACAGGCATGAGCCAGTACACCTGTTCCCCTTCAGCTCTTTTGAGGAGTTTTGCTGTCAATATGAACACTGGAACAGTGGCTGGGGAGGATGAGATCTCAATACTTCCCTGACATCCCTTAAGACTCAAGTCTTGATACTTTGTCTGCTCTCTGGCTCTTTCTTTGTCATTACTATTATTTTTATCTTCTTGATGTTGACTCTTGCTAAAATTTTTTGTCTTCCTTATTGTTAATGCTTATAGAAAATGATTCCTTGTTATCTTTTAGCCCATGTCATCCGAATCATTTGCTGTTTCTAGCCTAGGTGCTTTGACTATGCCAGCTTGTATTTCTTCAGAATTTTCATTAACTATATGTGTGGTATTGTAGGCATTACATATTTTAAAATAAATTTAGCCATTGCTTCAATCACATCCTGCTTTGTTTTAAAATTTTTCTTGGTTGAATTTCACTGGGTCAATGTCATTTCATATTAGGATGGTAATCCCACTTCAAATTTTCTTATCAAATTCAGAATAATTATAAACCAGTTGCTGGTTTCATAATCTTAAGAATGCCAACAAAGTTCCTGCAGGATAAAAAAAGCACACCTATTTATTCATAGTTTTTATATCTACCTAATAGTTTGAACTTCGATTCTTTATTATAGATGATACACTAATATTCTATGTAAATAATTGTCCAGTAATTAATAAGTGAATTTTAATAAAATTAAAGTATCTGTGAAAGGTACAATTTAGGCAACTGTGAAATCATACTATTAGTGGGATATTTTATTGTTTTGATTCATTATTTATTTTAAAGCTGTTTTGTATGGTTCAAATAAGGAGGTGATCAAAATATTATTTCACGACTCACATGGCTTATTGTCACACACAGGGAATTTTTTCCATGATGTTTAAAGAGGGAAAGAATCACAAGAACAAATCTCATAGGGAATACACTTGATAGATGAAGTACATTAACCATGTAATGAATGAGTTCCAAAATTACTAAAGCCTAGTTGCTCAATTAGGATGAATGCAGGCTCTATGGAAAGTGAAAGCTAGTTGAAGTGTCAGGTATGAGTGTAAGAGAGGATTTTGGGAGAGATAGCTTGATCAGCACAACAGAGATCCATGCAGACACAGGAGGTCCCTCCATGCAAGAGTGTGGGTGTTGCTGCTGAGTCTTCGGAGATGACCCCAAAGGCTAACAGGATGTAGTCCTGCCATACCTGGAGCTCACGATCTTTGGAGAAGCAACTCAACAGAGTGCAGTCATGCCATGGCCTAATCTCTCAAAGTGTCTGCCAAACTATTAGATTTGTAGGTAAGTCATGCATTACTTACCAATGGGAAAATGTACAAAATGAGAAATGTGTTGTTAGGAGACTTCGTTGTTGTGCAAGCATCATAGAATTTACTGACACAAACCTAGATAGTATAGCCCACTACACACCTAAGCTATATAGTATGGTCTATTGCTCCTAGGCTACAAACATGTTTTTGGTAACAGCATGCTACTATACTGAATACTGTAGGCAGTAGTAATACAATGGTTTTGTGTATCGAAACATATCTAAACAAAGAAAAGATACAGTAAAACTATGGTATTATAATCTCATGGGACTACCATTTTATAAGCCGTCCCTCATTGACAGAAACATTGTTATGAAGCACACCACTGTATTTTGGAGTCCAGTAGTTGAAGTCAGTAGTTCACATATGGGGTTTGATAAGGTGTGATGTAACATTCTCGGAGGAAGTGGGAGTACATCGCAAGTTCTTATCATAGTAAAACATATGTCACTCATAGCAAACTATACATGTGTTAGGAATAATTTCAAAGCTGTGCAACAAAAACAGTTCACAATTAAAATAGAAGAATAAACTTCAATTTAAAAATATTATTACTCAAAAATAGTAAATATTTAATGTATAAAGTAATGAAACAAAACTTACTAAACAAAAATATTACATCTTGCAATTCACACTCCATTTTAGTCTTTTAAATTTAAAGATACAAATAAAAACTCCAAATGGTCACATAGAATGACAGAATTGAAGTAACCTAAGTTTGGCTGGGCACAGTGGCTCACGCCTGTAATCCCAACACTTTGGGAGGCTGAGGCAGATGGATCACCTGAGGTTGGGAGTTCAATACCAGCTTGGCCAACATGGTGAAACCCTGTCTCTACTAAAAATACAAAAATTAACTGTCCATGGTGGTGGGCATCCATAATCCCAGATACTTGGGAGGGTGAGGCATGAGAATCACTTGAACCCAGGAGGCGGAGGTTGCAGTGAGCAGAGATTGTGCCACTGCACTCCAGCCTGGGAAATAGAGTGAGACTCTGTCTCAAACAAACAAACAAACAAACAAAAAAATTGGCCAGGCACGGTGGCTCACGCCTGTAATCCCAGCACTTTGGGAGGCCAAGGCGGGCGGATCAGTTGAGGCCAGGAGTTTGAGACCAGCCTGGCCAACATGGTGAAGCCCTGTCTCTACTAAAAAGAACCAAGAACAACAACAAAAAAAACTAGCCAGACGTGGTGGCAGGGTCCTGTAATCCCAGCTACTCAGGAGGCTGAGGTAGGAGAACTGCTTGAACCGGGGAGGTGGAGGTTGCAGTGAGCCAAGATCGCACCACTGCATTCCAGCCTGGGCGACAGAGCAAGACTCCATCCAAAAAAAAACAAAAACAAGAAGTAACCTAAATTCTATTTCTTCATCTTTACAATCACAGTTTATTTTAAATCTATTGTTTAAATCCAAGAATACATGGTACCAAAGGAATAGAGACACAAATTGCACCTGGACCATTATGAATCCCGAGACGAATATGGGTATCAGTCCACATGTGTCAGAGGTCCAAGTGTATAACTGGGAGTTCTCCAAATTAACTTCTATGTAGGATACAATGTTTATTATACGCTAAGAAACTAAAAAAAAATGCTGATTTGAATCTTTCATTTGCATTATTAAAACTCAACAATTATTATACTTATTGTTTAGAATGCGTGCCAATATTAAATAAAAAATTGGTGGGGAGGGGAGATAGAGTATTTAATTGTGGACATTCTTTTGCCAGAATTGCCAGAACATGGTGATAATCAAAAGCTGACTGACTTTCTGTTGTTTCATCATTGTGTTTAAATTATCAGTAAACAATGCTTCTCATTATTGCCTGTGCCCAGGACTGCCCACTTCCCCATACTTGGTACACCACTGGATTGGCAGTGATCCACTGTTGAAAGGAATTGGCAATGATCCACTGGTGAAAGGAAAATTAATGATGCAGCAGGGTGCAGTGGCTCATGCCTATAGTCCCAGCACTTTGGGAGGCTGAGGCAGGTGGATCATCTGAGGTCAGGAGTTCAAGACCAGCCTGGCCAACATGTCAAACCCGATCTATTCTAAAAGTACAAAAATTAGCCAGGTGTGGCAGTGCATGCCTGTAGTCCCAGATACTCTGGTGGCTGAGGCAGGAGAATCGCTTGAACCCGGGAGGCGGAGGTTGCAGTGAGTCAGGATCGTGTCACTGCATTCCAGCCTGAGTGACAGCGTGGGTGGGGAGGGGGGAGGAAAAGAAAAGAAAATTAACGATGCAAAGGAGAGAGAGAGAGACAATTGCTAAGGCCATATCTCTGAGCAGATGAGAGGGGAAAGGACCCAAGGCGCCAGCAGAGGGGCTGACAGATAAAAGCACAAACAGTTCATCCACGGCAATGAGGCAAGACAGAGTCTATGGGTACGGATGAATGCAGGCCTGTCATCTAAGGTGTTCTTTCTTAGTTTCTTTCCCAGAAGTGGAACAGGGGATTCAGAGACTTTTCACCATCCCAGAGATGGAGGATCCTGTTTCTTTAAGGACTCTTTATTACCGATTTTAATTTTCTTTTTTTCCCCCTGGGTTTTTTTGTTTGTTTGTTTCTGTTTTTGTTTTTTTTTTGAGAGAGAATCTCACTCTGCCACCCAGGCTGGAGGGCAGTGGTGTGATTTCAGCTCACTGCAGCCTCTGCCTCCTCGGTTCAAGTGATTCTCCTGCCTCAGCCTCCCGATTAGCTGGGACTACAGGTGTCCGCCACCATTTCTGGCCTATTTTTATATTTTCAGTAGAGACAGGGTTTCACTATATTGGCCAGGCTGGTCTCAAACTCTTGACATCAAGTGATCTGCCCACCTCGGCCTCCCAAAGTGCTGGGATTACAGGCGTGAGCCACTGTACTCAGCCCAATTTTATTTTCTTGAAAAGTTTGATCACTTCCTTTAATATGTGTTCTTTAACCGTATTTTTTTTTTCATGGTAGAGGTTGCCGTGGATGTCACTGGTATTAATGCTTCAATATCAGCTATACTGACTCAAAAGAGGACATTATTGTGATTTTAGAACTGAGATGATCAATTCCCTCTAACAGGGAATAAATGGTTAAGGCAGCTCTGATTTGGGAAATACATTTGTGAGCACTCTAGAGTTCAGTTTCTTTTTCTGCTTTTCATCTCTGAGAGAGACGCTACAGAGCTGTGAGTGGCCGGGTGGGGGTGGGAGAGGCCGCCCGGGAGCAGTGCTTGTCCTTTTCTGTAGAGTTTTATTTTGATATTTTCACACTGCTCAGAGAGAATTCCATCCAAAGGTCCTCAAGTGCCATGAAAAGGACAAGGAAAGAGCATCTTTGAACAGTGGCATTGTTAAATGCCAAGAGCCTGCCTCTCCAGTGGATAATTTTGAGATATTCTGAAACACTTTTCAAAGGCTTTGCCAAGTACTCATTGTGGAAAAGGACACATTCTATATTAAACTCTCACTGGGATCAGAGATGGCCTTGGGTAAGACTGTGACCTAGACGATGTTTGTAGCCCTCTTTTTCTTGCCTCTTCCTCCATCAGTGATGCTCCAGTCCCTTCCCCCACACCTCCTCAAGGCTTTTAGGGTCTCCCTGCCTCCTTCTTTTTGTCTTATATGATTGAGTGCCACGGAAGGGTAGATGTCAGTAACTTAGATCTTGGTGTTCTTCTGCTGCAGGCTTTTCCAGTGGAGCTACTTATTCCTCCAAACCCCACAGACCTTTAACTGCTTCTCTACCTTCAGTGTGGCTGTCCTCCATCCTCCAGTCCACCCTTTGTGCTGCAGTCAGGAAGGGACACATTATCTTGCATTTGCTTACCAGTGAGCCTTAGCTTTCACCACAGCTTGCCTTATTCTCTACCCTCTAGCCAAACCAAACAAACTGCTCTGTTTTCCTCAAACCCATCATGTTCTCAAACCCTGCATGTTCTCAAGCCCCAAGTTTTGGCTGATACAGTACCCTCTCCCTGGAATATTCTTCCTTGCCCCCTTCCTCTGTCTCCTACTCATTCCACAGACCTCAGTTTAGGGGACCAATTCTAAGAAGCCTTCCCTGGCCCTCCCCATTCAGGTTAGGTGAACCTCACAGGTATTTTTTTTGGTACTAATCCTGTTATATTGTAATTACTTGCATCTTTTTCTTTTTGCCCACCCTCTTTGGGATTTTGACTGGGGTGGCTCTGCCCAGTTATTTCTCTTTTTCTGGGAAGAGAACCATCTGCAGGGGTGGTGGTAGGTGATGGTAGGAGCAATGCCAGTGATATGGGGCTAATCCCCTGGCCAGAGATTACGACCTATGTGTTCAATAAGAAACACTACATGAATGAATGATCGGATAAATTTAGATCAATGCACTACTTTTCTCCCTATGATAGTTGCATTTTAATCCGTAATTTTCTCCCACATATAGGCTAGAAATTCCATTTTATAAGAGCTTAAGAATAAATTCATATCAATAACTTTTAATGAGTGTTTTTCATATTTGAGGTACTATGCTAGGAACTCAAGGGGCATATAAGAATGAATAATACACAGCCTAAGCCCTCAAGAAATTTAAAAATCTATTACACTTATGGTTGCAAATGTCCTTTAAAAAATAAACACATACACATATCCAAGGGGTTGAAAAATATTAAAATATTTGTTTTAAAATTTGATTTAATCTTGTTTTTGAAAGCTGGTAAAAGTGGAGAGGAAGCACCCTTAGCTTTTTAGCACCTGTTGTTTGTCTGGGACTGTGTTTTCTCATTTAATAGCCAGCAACTTATGAAGGAAGTGTTACTTTTCTCTCTCTCTTTTTAAATTTTTTTTTGAGACTTAAAAAATTTTTTTTTGAGTCTTCCTCTCTCTCCCAGGCTGGAGTGCAGTGGCCTGATCTCGGCTCACTGCAACCTTCCCCTCCCAGGTTCAAGTGATTCTCATGTCTCAGCCTCCCAAGTAGCTGGGATTACAGGTATGCACCACCATGTCTGGCTAATTTTTTGAATTTTTAGTAGAGAAAGAGTTTCACTATGTTGGTCAGGTTCGAACTCCTGGACTCAAGCAATTCACCCACCTCGGCCTCCCAAAGTGCTGGGATAACAGGCGTGAGCCACCGTGCACGGCCAAGGGGTGTTGTTTCTCATCATGAAATGAAAACATCTCTCTTGTTAAAGGTATCTTGGAACGCTTGTGTGGCTGTAGATGGCTTTTTTTCTTGTACTTGAAACAATATCCCGTGCTTAATTTCCTTGACCTGTCCATGTAACAATAAGATGTAACTTCAAATGAAAAACATTCACATAAAGAATCATTCACTAGCTCATCCCATGTAAACACATATAAGCAAACACTGACGTTGCCACTTTCAAAGCCAAAAGAAAATGCAATCACAAGTAGGGATGATAGTGGTAGGAAAGGGGCCACAGTGGTTTTCTGTGGTGTTTGGATAGAATACAGTGGTTATTGTCTAAAAGTTTTCTGTCTTGATGACCCTTTCTTGGTCCTTTGGCTAGAAAAAGCAAGCTTTTTTATGTTTCCTCTCTGACCATTGGTATTTCTGGGTTGCCAGCTTCTCCAGCACCCAATCTAGGATATGGGAGGCAAAAAGAAAATCAGAGAACTCACTGCTATGTGGCTGTTGGGATTGCGAGGTCCATAATTGGCCTGCCATATTCTCCTCACTTTTCAGAGTCTTCTTATGTTTGTTTAGATATATAACATTTTAGCTGTTCATAGCAGAATGAATAGGAAGAAGTGTGTTTATTTTATGTTGTCCCTGCCTCTCCGAATATTTGAAGCATCTAAGACAACAGAATAGAACAGTCAAGATGCTGCCACTTACCTCTTATAAAATGAGACAAATTAGGAAAAAAGAAAAGCACAGTTATCGAGGGAACAAAGCTGGTTGGTTTTCTGCAGGTCATAGCCTTAAGTTCAAATTATTTGTCTTTATCTCCACCTTGTCTAGGTTGGAGAATTAACTGGAGACAATAAACATTATTGTTGCTAATATTTTATGTACATGTATGATTATATGCATTACGATTAAAGAAATGAAAGTATAACCATTTGTTAGGTAGGAAATTACTGAATCCTTATCAAGACCTTGATGAGAATGTTGAAAAAGTAGTGATGAGGAAAATTGTGTTTGAAGTCATCCCACATACTTTTTATGAGTTAATTATAATTAGTAATACGTGCACGATATATACATCTCTTGAATATTAAAATATTTTGAAGTAGGCAGTCATATACTCATTAACAGTGTTCCATTGCATTGTGTCACATGGTCACTTTAACTGAAATCTTGTTGGAGTGGGAGGAGGAATTCATCATGGTGGAATAGAATCAGATGTTCAAATAAAGCAAGTTGATTTTGGAGCTGTATTAGAAAATTGAAAATGTTACAAAAGTGCAGAGTATAAAATAAATCAGAACTGCCAACACTGTAACCATTTCAAAGTTACAGGGTGAGGCAGAGATTATCTGGATTTTCATTTCCTGTAAGATGTAAAGGATGAAACAGGGTCAGAGAAACACCCTGGGTTTAGTGCATTGGTTGCAAAATGTTCAGAAGTTAATTATGAATATTTGCTGCCTTTAGTCATATGCTCAAATACCAACTTGTATTTTAATCACCAATAAATAATTAGAGTCTATACAATTATTGAAATACTTTGTATTTGACTGGAAAGTTTAATACGTAAAAAATAATGGGCTGCCTCTAAAATATTTTTCTTTCCTTTTTTTCTTTTTTGGGACAGAGTCTCACTTTGTCGCCCAGGCTGGAGTGCAGTGGCATGATCTTGGCTCATTGCACCTCTGCCTCCCAGGTTCAAGCAATTCTCCTGCCTCAGCCTCCTGAGTAGCTGGGATTACAGGCATGCACCACCACACCTGGCTAATTTTTTTATTTTTAGTAGAGACGGTTTCACTATGTTGGTAGGCTGGTCTTGAATTCCTGACCTCAGGTGATCTGCCCGCCTCGGCCTCCCAAAGTGCTGGGATTACAGGGGTGAGCCACTGCTCCCGGCCTTTCTTTACATTTTTATCCAACAAAAGGACTTCACAAATATGGCCTTTGCTCACAATAAGCAAAGTGAAATTATTTCTTTACTTTCAGAAGAGTATCACTAACACCTCCAGGCAAAAGTAGTGAGGACACATGGGGAAGAAAATTAATCTGATTATTAAGATTTGCTTAAATGTTGCAAAAACTGGTATTGATTATCAGTAATAAACATATATATTATATATTATGGTCTCTAAACAAAGTAGGAGAAAAATGAAAATCTGATGCTCCAAATTGTGTTGGCCAGTTAAGGGGGAGCTTTATGCTTTGGCAGAGGTGTAATTCAAAGGAATAGGTACTTAAAGAAGGACTAAGTTTTGGCATTTCTTTTTTATTCATTATTTACTAACAAAAAATAGCCACTGTAAAATTGCCTCACTGAGGCTGTAGGATCTTGAAATTTCAATTTTACCATCAAAAGTACCTTGTAGGCTGGATGTAGTGACTCATGCTCATAATGCCAGCACATTGGGAGGCTGAGGTATGAGGATTGCTTGAGGCCAGCAGTTCGAGGCTGCAGTGAGCTATGATCATACCACTGCACTCCAGCCTGGGTGATAGACCTAGACCCTGTCTCTCTCTCTAAAAAAAGTGGATTGTTTATGCAACATACTTCCTCTCTGAGTTTAAAAAATTGACAAAAGAAATGTAACCATCATGACTATACTATTCTGCATATTTCATGATAATTTGATAAGCTATCAAACGTAAGTGTTAAAAGATTCTTTTACATACTTTTCAAATGCTCTTGTGACTGGTGAGGTCACTCAAGACACTTGAGATTACAATGAGGGACAGTCCAATCAGAGAATGGGTGCTGGTTTAGTTATTTCACACTGTGTAACAAATTATCCAAAATGTAACTGCAAATAAAATTACAGATATTCATGATCTCATATAGCTTCTGAGGATCAGGAATCTAGGAGATGCTTAGAGCGTAGATTTGGTTCAAGATAACTCAAAGATATGTAGTAAAGCTTGTCAGGGCTGCAATCATCTGATAGTTCAACTGGGGAAGGATCTATTTCCGAACTTACTTATGTGACTGTTTGAGGGTTTCTCATACTTGCTGACTGTGGGCTGGAGTCTCAGTTCCTTGCCAAATAGACCCCTCCATAAGCTACCTGAGTATCCTCATGACATGACAGCTGGCTTCCTCCAAAATGAGAGAGTGAGCCCAAGAAAGAATCCACAGCTATGAATAACCTTATCTCAAAGGTGATATGCTACTACTTCTTCTTTTTTTTTTTTATTTTAATTTAATTTTTTTTTTTATTGATCATTCTTGGGTGTTTCTCACAGAGGGGGATTTGGCAGGGTCATAGGACACTAGTGGAGGGAAGGTCAGCAGACAAACAAGTGAACAAAGGTCTCTGTTTTCCTAGGCAGAGTGTTTGTGTCCCTGGGTACTTGAGATTAGGGAGTGGTGATGACTCTTAATGAGCATGCTGCCTTCAAGCATCTGTTTAACAAAGCACATCTTGCACCGCCCTTAATCCATTTAACCCTGAGTGGACACAGCACATGTTTCAGAGAGCACAGGGTTGGGGGTAAGGTCATAGATCAACAGGATCCCAAGGCAGAAGAATTTTTCTTAGTACAGAACAAAATGAAAAGTCTCCCATGTCTACTTCTTTCTACACAGACACGGCAACCATTCGATTTCTCAATCTTTTCCCCACCTTGCCCCCTTTTCTATTCCAGAAAACTGCCATCGTCATCATGGCCCATTCTCAATGAGCTGTTGGGTACACCTCCCAGACGGGGTGGTGGCCGGGCAGAGGGGCTCCTCACTTCCCAGTAGGGGTGGCCGGGCAGAGGCGCCCCTCAGCTCCCGGACTGGGTGGCTGGCCAGGCGGGGGGCTGACCCCCCCACCTCCCTCCCGGACGGGGCGGCTGGCTGGGCAGAGGGGCTCCTGGCTGGGCAGAGGGGCTCCTCACTTCCCAGTAGGGGCGGCCGGGCAGAGGCGCCCCTCACCTCCCGGACGGGGCGGCTGGCCGGGCGGGGGGCTGAGCCCCCCACCTCCCTCCCGGACGGGGCGGCTGCTGGGCGGAGACGCTCCTCACTTCCCAGACGGGGCGGTTGCCAGGCGGAGGGGCTCCTCACTTCTCAGACGGGGCGGTTGCCAGGCGGAGGGTCTCCTCACTTCTCAGACGGGGCGGCCTGGCAGAGACGCTCCTCACCTCCCAGACGGGGTCGCGGCCGGGCCGAGGCCCTCCTCACATCCCAGACGGGGCGGCGGGGCAGAGGCGCTCCCCACATCTCAGACGATGGGCTGCTGGGCAGAGACGCTCCTCACTTCCTAGATGGGATGGGGGCCCGGACGAGGTGCTCCTCACTTCCCAGGTGGGATGGCGGCCGGGCAGAGACGCTCCTCACTTTCCAGACTGGGCAGCCAGGCAGAGACGCTCCTCACTTCCCAGAGGATGGGCAGCCCGGCAGAGACGCTCCTCACTTCCCAGACGGGGTGGCGGCCGGGCAGAGGCTGCAATCTCCGCACTTTGGGAGGCCAAGGCAGGCGGCTGGGAGGTGGAGGCCGTAGCGAGCCGAGATCACGCCACTGCACTCCAGCCTGGGCACCATTGAGCACTGAATGAATGAGACTCCGTCTGCAATCCCGGCACCTCGGGAGGCCGAGGCTGGCGGATCACTGGCGGCTAGGAGGTGGAGACCAGTCCGGCCAACACAGCGAAACCCCGTCCCCACCAAAAAAACACGAAAACCAGTCAGGCGTGGCGGCGCGCGCCTGCAATCGCAGGCACTCGGCAGGCTGAGGCAGGAGAATCAGGCAGGGAGGCTGCAGCGAGCCGAGATGGCAGCAGTACAGTCCAGCTTTGGCCCGGCATGAGAGGGAGACCGTGGAAAGGAGAGGGAGAGGGAGACGGGAGAGGGAGAGGGAGACGGGAGAGGGAGAGGGAGACGGGAGAGGGAGAGGGAGACGGGAGAGGGAGAGGGAGACCTACTTCTTCTTTATTTTAGTGGTAAAATAAACCTACCATGGTACAAGGTAGGAGGGGACAACACCAAGTGGTCAATACCAGGAGGCAGGGATCACTGGGGGCCATCTTGAAAACTGGCTACCACAGGTCCACGTGGCAGATTTGCAACTTGGATTTACCTAGAACTTGTGTTAAAGCATACCTCCTCTAGTAGTCATTGCCTGTTATTGGGAAGAAATGACTAGTGACCATTCAGACAAACTGCAAGGGGCAAATGAAATTTGCTGACATTTCTCTGCTAACATTACATAGCCTCTCCATAACTTGAGTATACTGACTGTACTAAGAAATAACAATTCAACTTTTAGTTACACTTTTTATGGGTACCAAGATCCAAGAATAATTTAAAAAATATACATGATCTACGTATAGTTCTGAGAAGGGCAGAATGTGTAATAAAGTAAAACAGTATGCTGTCACAGAAAGTTAGGTGATTACCAATCCTAAGCATTTAGAAATAAAGCTTTAAAACCTTCCTATGAAAAAGATGGAAAACAAGAGACACTTTTAGCTTTCTTATTTCCCAGCTTGAATAATTTAATTGGATTTTATAATATCAGTAGGAATCAATGACTGCTTTTAGCTTTCCTACTTTGGGTGAAAGATAAGTCACTTTGAACACTCCTGGTAGTAAATTGCCAGGTGGAGAGATATGACCATTAAAATGACCATATATAGTTCTTGGCTTTTTGTAAAAGAAATTTCTAATAGTTTTCAATGTAGGAAAGTTTTCTAAAGGGTATCATATAAATCAGCTACTTGAAACTCACAAACCATAAGGTACCTGACCCAGGCAAATCACATACACAGTGGTAGGGGATAAACAGCTCTACTGCACTTACTTGCACAAATAAATAAATAAACAGCCAATTTTAAATATAATAGAGTTTTTAATCATCAAATAACGTATCCATCTGGTTAGGTCAAGACCTATTTGCAGGATAGAAAGGCTGTTTAGAAGAGTTGTGGCCAAGTGCGGCGAGTCATGCCTATAGTTCCAGCACTTTGGGAGGCTGCGGCTGGTGGATCACTTGAGACCAAGAGTTTGAGACCAGCCTGGGCAACATGGCGAAAACCTGTCTCTACAAAACACACACACACACTCACACACACAAAATAGCTGGGCGTGGTGGCACACACACCTGTAGTCTCAGCTCCTTGGGAGGCTGAAGTCAGTGGGTTGCTTGAGCCCAGGAGGTAGACGCTGCAGCGAGCTGTGATCATGCCACTGCACTGCAGCCTGGGCAACAGTGTGAGACCCTGCCAAAAAGGCAGAGTTGTGGCAACAGATGGTGACTTCTTCCCTTTTCTAATCCTCCAGGTTATCTGTGCTTACATCTTCCCTCAGTCTTAGCTAGGTAACGTATGCCCCAAGATGCTCTGCCCTTCAGGAGAGAGAATTATTGTAGGTAGACAGCTGGTGATTTCTGCCTAACTAAGAAAAGGAGATAGGAACGTATTAGCTGCTGACTTTCTTTTAGCAGTGGTTTTCCACCTTGGCTGCATATTAGAATCAGATTTTGCCGAGTGGGATCCAGGCACTAAACTTTTTTTTAAAGCTCCCCGCGTGATTTTAATGTGCACCCAAAATTGAGACTCTTTGTCTTAGGTCAGGGGGTCTCATGTCAGCGCCCATTGGAATCACCTGGAGAGCATGTTAAAGTTACAGAATGCTAGGCTCCATCCTCCAGTCTGATTCAGGAGGGCTGGGGTGGGACCCATCATTTGCATATTTAACAAGTTCCCAGATGCTGCTGATGCTGCTGTACCACGCTGACAAGTCTTAGAAAAATTTGGCTCTTGTTATATTTTTATACAACAAAAAATGGAGTTCAGCTGTGAGTGGGGTGTAGGGGGAGGAATGAAAATTGGTAAATGCAGAGGACAGATATCACTAGTCTCCCCTCTTTTCTTTCCCCATCTTCTTCAAAGCTGAAGTTAGACTGAGATCTACCCCTGCATTTCCCCTCCTCGATTTTCATCTTTCACGGATTGAGGAAACAACCTGTGAACGGCCCAAAGCCGGCTAGACCCAACCTAACCATCCGTTTTAGCGGGTCTCTTTTCTCACACAGGCCGACCGCCTCTCCGCCTTGACCCCCACCTCCACTCAAACCCGCTCCATCTATTAACGTTCTCTTCTGCCCAGCCACGCCCCCGGCGTTCTCCGTGGTTGCGCACCTGACGTACATCGTTCAAAACGTGCCCAGTGTTTCCCTCCGAGGGCACTGCGTGCCGCGCAGGCGCAAAGGGCCAGGTGCTGGAGGTGCTGTCATGGCCTGCCTCAACCCGGTGGTAAGGAAGACCTCAGGCTCTGTGTAGAGGGAGCGCCCTGGGACTCCGGGTTCACGGCAGCCGAACCCTGCACCTTTTGTTTCCCCCTGACACTTTACAGATTGTCATAAACCCTCTCTCTTCCTTAGGGGCTGGGGCTCTTCTTCACGTCTGTGTTGGAGGAAGCTGCTGAGGGCCAGTAGTTCAGCAGGAAGTTGGGCCAGCCCCGCCAAAAGAACAAGTGCCCTTTTTCTCTTTTTACCCAAACTGAGGCTATCTAGTTGGGGTGTTTAGAGGTGGAACTGATCCTCAACCCTGCTGGTTTCCTAGATACTAGAAAACCTCCAAGTTCGGTTGTGTTAATTTTACCGTGGACATTGTTAATTCCAAGCTGTATTATTTACTGCTTGAAATAACAATGTGATATCTCATGTTACCTCCCCACATGTTTTTAGTGTCTTTCACTACCCGCCCATTTCGTTGTCCTTTAACAACTTAATGCTTAAGTGTACAACCTACATTACCCTCCTACCTCTAACGGACACTTAATTTGCACAGTGAGAATTTCTAGTCTCAGTGGCACTTAGGAGACCATCAATCTTAAAAACCTGAATCAAAGAACAAAAATCAAGGATTCATCTTTATTACCAATTCATCTCAACAGACTTCACATTTCGTGAAAGGCAATGTGCCTGTCCAGATCTGTGTAATTTTATGGGTTCCGGGTATTATATATGCAGTATAACAGCTCCATTTTTAGAGACATGCTACTTTAATTATATGTGTTTTATGATAGTGCGTTTTAAGATACATAAAATACCTATACTCTGCCTGAATATAAGGTTACTATGTATGCCAATTTATCTGATTGTGAATTCTATGAAGGAGTGTCTGTATTTTAAATAGAGGAGTTAAGATGGACTAGACATAGTTTTAATAACAGGGATGCAATACAAAGTCTGTGGTCATAGAAGAGAAAATATGTTCAATACCTATTTTGATTTCTGAAAAACTGTGTTCTAATGGGTACTTTTTGACTACTGCTGTGTTAAGATTTTTTAGACCTAAGAGTTTTTTCCTTCGGTGTTAAGCGTGATCACACTAGCTGGGACTACCACTGAAGCATCAATTTAGTATGCCTTTATCAGGATAAACTGTTTTAGAAGAAGCACCTAATTTAGGGGCATTTAGTCTTAATGCATGTGCTTGTGAATAACATTATTTAAATGTTACTGATTGGCCTATTCGTATAGGTTTACCCTGGGTCTTTAGAAGGATTAAAGCATAGCTTTAAATACTAAATACTCTTAGGGGCTGGGCACGGTGGCTTACACCTGTAATCCCAGCACCTTGGAAGGTCGAGGTGGGCAGATCACTTGAGCTTAGGAGTTTGAGACCAGCCTGGCCAACATGGTGAAACCCCATCTCTACTAAAAATACAAAAAATTAGCCAGGTGAGGTCGTGCACGCCTGTAGTGCCAGCTACTCTGGATGCTGAGACAGGAGAATCACTTGAACTTAGGAGGCAGATGTTGCAGTGGGCCCAGATTGTGCTACCGTACTCCAGCCTGGGTGACAGAGCAAGACTCCATCTCAAAAAAAAAAAAATAATAATAATAATAAAAAAAAAGCACAGCTACTCTTGGCATGAACAGGAGTATTTAGGAGTATTTATTTAGTACTCTTAATGAGTACTGAATAGGGTAGGATGAAAAGGCAATCCTAGAGTGCCACAATTTTCATTTTGGCGTGATTAAGCAATTTGAAATAAGAGCAACTCAACTAAATTCCTGCTTTGCTGTTTCTTGCCGGTGGAACTTCCACTAAGTCAGTATTGTCAGCACATAGCATTGCCATTTTGGCCTGGGGGCATAGTTTATATAGATATGAAGGGCTGAGTTTTTTCACATACCCTCTTTTTTGTTGCTATAACTAGTGTTTAATCTGGGTAGAAATCTGCTTAATTTCATTGTCATGGCATGTTTGACTAGGAGGTATTTTAGAATGTTATTTGGTCTCTTCAGTATGCACACTGTGGATGGGTAAGGTTGTTCGTGCCCTTCTTAGGTTCTGGTAGGAAATCCGTTTTGGAACAGGTGTATTTGATAATGGTCCAGAATATATATTTTTTGGACTTTGTGTATTTTGGAAGTGAGATGAGCTTTAATTGCTCTATTTTAAGTGTTTACCCCAGTTTTCTGGCTTGGAGTTTATTTATATTTGTGGAAATAATATAGTGAACCCTAAAAAATTCTCCTTTGGCCACTTTGATAAAGAGGTAAATTGAAAACAGAAGGTCTATTTCTGGTTGACTTACATTAATTTCCCTTTTAAAAGGAGTTGAGGAGGTTAAATACTGACACAAAAGGCAAGTAACATGACAATAACCATGCATCTTTGAGATTATTAGCTCATATGTTATTGTAGTTCTGTAATTCAGTCTTGTAGATAGGCTGAGACTATGGGTCTGAAGCTAACACAGTTTATGGAAAGCTAAGACTATATTGGGAATAGGAATGTACATAGTAAAAGTTTTAATGGTGACTTCACAAGACTAGAAGGTATGCACTGCATATCTTTTAAGGCCAAATATGTTCTAACTTGAGAAGTCAGAACTTTAACAGGCCGGGTGTGGTGGCTCATGCCTGTAATCCCAGCACTTTGGGAGGCTGAGGCGGGTGGATCACGAGGCCAGGAGTTCGAGACCAGCCTGACCATCATGGTGAAACCCTGTCTCTCTAAAAATACAAAAATTAGCGGGGCATGGTGGCATGCACCTGTAATCGCACCTACTCAGGAGGCTGAGGCAGGAGAATTGCTTGAACCTGGGACGTGGAAATTGCAGTGAACTGAGTTCGTGCCACCGCACTCCAGCCTGGGCAACAGAGCATGACTCCATCTCAAGAATAAATAAATAAATAAATAAATAAATAAATAAATAAATAAAATGAAACTTTAACAATTGCTTTTATGTAGCCTAAACTCTACAGATCTGTAATTGAAGATGTAATTGAAGGAGTTCGGAATCTATTTGCTGAAGAAGGTATAGAGGAACAAGTTTTAAAAGACTTGAAGCAGGTTTGTAGCCGATACAACTTTTTCTTCCTGTCTTTTGTTGTTTTTTTCAGCATACAAAACTGATATAGTTCTGATCTCTCAAATTATAGTTTAGTACTTACCCATTCATTGTGCCATCAGGATGACGTTAGTTTTTAAGAAACTGAAAAAAAGAGAAGTATCATTATATGTGTATATATTTTTTTAAAGTAAACTTTTTTTTTCCCCTCTGCAGCTCTGGGAAACCAAGGTTTTGCAGTCTAAAGCAACAGAAGACTTCTTCAGAAATAGCATCCAATCACCTCTGTTTACTCTTCAGTTGCCGCACAGCTTGCACCAAACATTGCAATCGTCAACAGGTTGGATACCATTAGTAAATGAGTACTGTTAGTATCTTCAGAACAAATTCTCATTTGGGAATGTTTTTCAGTTAGACAGGGTAATGTTCTTAGGGTGAGAAGGCTTGGACACCTAAATCATTTCTATTAAATGAACACAGTATAAATCATTGCCCCATGTAATTATTGATTAAAAACTCAGGTTATTCGAACTAGTTTTTATTTTAAATATTAAATTTTACAAAGATGATAAAGCCTTTCTTTAGAGGAAAGTCACATAGTTTGTCAGCTGTTGGGAGCACCCATTGGTAATTTCAGATAATTTGACTGGGTCTAGTCAAGGATTAGAAGTGGCAGAGGGAAAGGTGAGTGCTTGCAAGTTTGTGTGTTCTCTTTCTCTTATTTTTTGTGTATATTATAAATCTGATATATTGGGAGCAAAATGGAGAGTTCAGAATATGGAGATTATTCAGGCTACCTCACTGTTTTGGATATATAAAATAATGGCTAGAAATTGATCATGTGCATTTATCTTTATTCTTGGACTTAGCAAATCTAGACTTCTGCTTTTAAGGGAAATGTTTGTCCACATTATGCGTATCAATTTAAACTGGAAGGGACTAGCTAATAAAAGATAAAACTTAAGAGTTTTCTATCCTTGTATGCTTGATTCCTTTCTTTTTCTTCTGATTCTTATAATCTTTATGTTACTCATATGTGTATATATAAATGTATACTCGCATACAAACAAGTTTTATTGGGTTTAGCTGAAATTCAGCAGAGTAGTCTGCAAGAAGTGAGGGTAGATTTTGGATTGGATTATCAGTAATAAGCAGATAGTTCTTTGCATGCTTGGGAAAATTCACATGAAAATTACATGGGCCAAGGTGAAGAGAACATTGTAAGGATGCTTGTACTTCTTCTATTACAAAGTGGGAGAATTTACATGTGGCAGCAATTCTAACATATAAAAATGAATAAATTAACAATGAATGTTGAATTAGCAAATACAAGTTTTATCGAATACTGTGTTAATAAAGTATAATTTTGCTCTGTAAGAATTAGTCTTGGCAGTTTTAATTGTTGACACATTGAAACATTTTTCATCAGTTGGGTTTTTGGCTATGCTTTAATTTTAAACTACTATTTCATTGGGACATCTCCTTCTCTGTTTAAATAACATTCCTTTGGAGTTTTGTTAATCACTGTTTTATTTATTACAGAATGCTAAAGATGTTTTTTTAACTTATGGTTGGCATGAGGGTGTGGTGGGTATGGAAGAGGAAAATACTTGACTGTCTTTTATCAGAAGAGGCCGAGGTGGGTGGATCACCTGAGGTCAGGAGTTCTAGACCAGCCTGGCCAACATGGCGAAACCCTGTCTCTACTTAAAAACAAAAACAAAAGCACAAAAATTAGCCAGGCGTGGTGGCTCATGCCTGTAATCCTAGCTACTTGGGAGGCTGAGGCAGGATAATCACTTGAACTTGGGAGGCAGAGGTTGTAGTGAGCTGAGATCGCGCCACTGCATTCCAGCCTGGGCGACACAGTGAGACTCCATCTTAAAAAAAAAAAAAAAAAGCATGGTGAACACTTCTAAGATTCTGTCATTCAAAATTGCAATACTAGATTTTGCCGCAAGATGGTAATATTACCAGTGATTTAAATAACAAAAGTCTTGCAACTAGTGTATCAAGTTTGTTTTTACTCAGCTCCTTATTCTGTATCTTAGCAGTTAGAATAATAGAAATAATTACATTTTAAATAGTTTTTCTCCTTATTCTCTTCTACATCATTTATAATGAAGAGGTTTCAGAGGAATTACATGTATCCCTTAAAAGTGCTTTATAGGCTTGTTCCTGTCTCTCTTCATCTTTAGGTACCAAACAGTAAGATTCTTGAAATAAATAGTCTCATAAAATTGAAGTACTTCTTAATTATATCTTCTCATGGTATGCTTTTAAAAGCCTGATTAAAATAACTTAAACTTCTAGAATTTTTTTATCTCTTTTGATAGCAAGTTCAAATTAAATCTACAATTCAATAAGTCATTTGCCTTTGTCTGTACCATCTTAAAACTTGTTTGCTCAGTCAAAATCACAATGAGATACCGTCTCACACTAGTCAGAATGGCTATTATTAAAAAACTGAAAAACAGATGTTGGTGAAGCTGCAGAAAAAAGGGACCACTTATGCACTGTTGGTGGGAATGTAAATTTGTTCAGCCACTGGAAAGCAGTTTGCAGATTTCTCAACTTAGAGCTACAATTCAACTCATCAGTTCTATTACTAGGCATTTACCCGAAAGAAAATAAGTTGTTCTAACAAAAAGACACCCACACTTGTATGTTTATTGCAGTACTACTCACATTAGCAAAGACATGGAATCAACTCAACCCATACATGGTGGATTGGATAAAGAAAATGTGGTACATATATACCATGGAATACTATGCAACCTTAAAAAAGAGAGAAAGAAATGTCCTTTGCAGCAACATGGGTGTTGCTGGGGCCATTATCCTAAGTGAATTAACACAGGAACAGAAAACCATATATTGCATGTTCTCACTTATAAATGGGAGTTAAACATTGGGTACATACAGACAGAAAGGTGCGAACACTGGGTACTCCAAAAGGAGAGAAGGAGAGAAGGGGGCAAGGGTTGAAAAACTACCCGTCAGGTACTATGTTCACTATTTGGGTGACAGGATCAATAGAAGCTTAAACCTCAGCATCATGTGATATACCCACGTAGCAAACCTGTACACATACCCCCTGAATCTAAACCCAGAAACTTGTTTGCTCTATCATATGTTCTTCGTTTTTTATTTGTGTAGTAATTTCCTGTATCTTCAGTTCTCTACTTTGTTTGGTCTCAGGACCCCTTTAAGCTCATAAAAATTAAGGACCCCAAATAGCTTTTAAAATGTGGGTTGTAAGTATCTATTTACTATGTTGGAAATTAAAACAAAAATTTAAAAAATATTGGTTTATTTAAAAATTTAATTACATGTTAACATAATAGCATATATTTATGAGTAATAATTCTTCGAGAACAAAAATATTTAGTAAGAAGAGTGTCATCAATTAATGTCGGCTTAATGAGGTTTGCAGAAATGAGCTGGATTCTTATCTATTTCTATTTATTTACATTTTATTGTATGTAAGGTGTTCACCATAGTGCTTTGATATAGATAGATAGATAGATAGATAGATAGTGAAGAGGTTGGTATAGTCTAGCAAATTAACATATCTGTCATCTCACATAGGTGCTCATTTTAGGTACTTTTAGTATGCCTTAAGTCTTCTCTTTTAGCAAAAATCCCAAGTGCAGCACAACATTATTAAGTATAGCCCTCATGTTATCTATTAGATATTTAGACTTATTGATCCTATGTATCTGTGACTTTGGATCCTTTCACCTACATCTTCTTATTTTCTCCCTTCCTGCCTCTGGTAACTGCTATTTTATTCTCTATGTCTGTATTTGTGGTTTTTTTTTTTTAACATATAAATGAGATCATGCAATACTTTTCTTTTTGTGTCTGGCTTATTTCACTTAGTATAATGTCCTTCAGTTTCATCTATGTTGTGACAAATGGCAGACTCTCCCTCTTTTAAAAAGCTGAATCATATTCCTCTGTGTGTGTGTGTATACAGACATACCACAATTTCTTTATCCATTTGTCCATTTGCAGACACTTCGGTTGTTTACAAATCTTGGCTATCGTGAGTAATATTGCAATGAACTTGGAAGTGTAGATATTTTTATGAGGTAGTAGTTTAATTTCCTTTGGGTATATATCCATAAGAAGGATTGCTGAATCACGTGGTAATTCTATTTTTAATTTATTTAGGAATCTCTGCACAGTTTTATACAATGGCTGACCATTCTGCATTCCCACCAACAGAGTACAGGGGTTTCCTTTCCTCTGTACTCTCACCAACACTTGTCGTCTCTTTTCTTTTTGGTAATAGCCATCCTAACAGGTGTGAGTTGATATCTTAATGCAGTTTTGACTTATATTCCTCTGATGAATAGTGATGTTGAGCACCTTTTTGTATACCTGTTAGCTGTTTTTATGTTGTCTTTGGAAAAAGATCTATTCAAGTCCTTTGCCAATTTTTGAAAAGGTTATTTGTTTTTCTGTTATTGAGTTGTGTAAATCTTTTAATATATTTTGGATATTAAGCCCTTTATCAGATATATGGTTTGCAAATATTTTCTCCGTATCTGTTGGCTGCTGTTTTATTTTGTTATTTGTTTTCTTTGCTGTGCAGGAGCTTTTTAATTTGATGTCTGTATTTATTTTATTTTATTTTATTTTTTTGAGGGAGGGTCTTGCTCTGTCATCCATGCTGGAGTACAGTGGAGCAATCATAGGTCACTGTAGCCTTGACTTTCCAGGGTCAATTGATCCTCTCACCTCGACTTCATGAGTAACTGGGACTACAGGCATACTCTATCATGCCTGGCTAATTTTCACATTTTTTGTAGAGACCAGGTTTTGCTGTGTCGTCCAGGCTGGTCTTGAACTCTTGGAATGAAGCAATCCTCCTGCCTCGGCCTCCCAAAGTGCTGGGATTACAGATGTGAGCGACTGTGCCTGGCTTATTTATTTTCGCTTTTGTAGCCCGAGCTTTTGGTGTGATATCCAAAAAATCATTGCCAAGGCCATTGTCAAACAGGTTTTCCTCTGTGTTTTTGTCTTGGAGTTTTATGGTTTAAGGTCTTATGGTTAGGTCTTTTGTCTATTTTGAATTGATTTTTATGTATGGTATGAAAATAAGAGTCCATTTCATTCTTTTGTGTGTGGAAATTCACTTCTTCCACCAACAACCATTTATTGAAGAAACTATCCTTTCCCCATTGTGTCCTCTTAGCACCCTTGTTGAAAATCAGTTGACCATATGTGTTTGGGTTTATTTCTGGGCTCTCTATACTGTTCTGCTGGTCTTTGTGTCTGTTTTTGTCAGTGCCATACTGTTTTGATTACTACAGGTTTGCAATATAGTTTTAAACAAGAAAATGTGATACCTCCAACTCTGCTTTTTTTTTCTTCCCCTCTGAATTGCTTTGGTATTTAATGTGTTCTGTTGTTCCATATGAATTTTAGACTTTTTTTTGTATTTCTATAAAGAAAGTCATTGGAATTTTGATAAGAGATTTTGTTGAATCCATATTTTGCTTTGGGTAGTATGGACATTTTAATGATATCAGTTATTCCAGTCCATGAACATGGGTATTTTCCCATTTATTTGTGTCCTTCAGTTTCTTATATCAATGTTTTATAGTTTTCAGTGTACATATCTTTTTTTTTGAGGCAGGGTCTGGCTCTGTCATCCAGGCTGGAGTGCAGTGGCACAACCTTGGCTCACTGCAGCCTCCACCCCCTGGGCGCAAGCCATTCTCCCACCTCGGACTCCCAAAGTAGCTGGGACTACAGGCATGTGCCACAACATCTGACTAATTTTTGTATTTTTTGTAGAGGCAGGGTTTCTCCATACTGCCCAGGCTGGTCTCAAACTCCTGAGTTCAAGCAATCCACCTACCTTGGCCTCCTAGAGTGTGCATATCTTTCACCTTCTTGGTTAAATATATTCTTAAGAATTTTATTTTTTAAGATGCTATTGTAAATGAGATTGTTTTTATGATTTTTTGGATAGGTAGTTATTTGTGTACACAAATCCCACTGATTTTTTTTGTTGATTTTGTATCCTGCAACTTTACTGAGTTCATCCTCTTTAAATATTTGGTAGAATTCAGCCATGAAGCCATCTGGTTCTGGGCTTTTCTGTGTTGGGAGGTTTTTAATTACTACCTCGATCTCTTTATTTTTTATATCTGTTCCTAAATTCAATCTGTTGTGATATGTTGTTTTTGTGAAAGTATAGGAAGAAAATCTAGCCTTCCACAGATACATAGTTGGAAAAAAGGGAAGCATTTTAATAGTATTTTCAGATAATTGATAACTACACTAAAACTCAACAAATGGTAGTTTCTGAGAGGTTAGCTGCATGATGGAATCTGGAACCACAAGGAACTTTTTGGAATATTTCATTAGGGTTTATTGGTATACCTTGCACTTTGAATGGCTTTTTAACACGTGTAATGTTACAGCATACATTGGTTATTTGGAAAAATTGGTTTCCTGTCATACAGTTGAAACGTTGTTCATTATACAAGTTTAAAAAAATCATATTCATTGATATAACTAGGCCTCTCATCCATTGTGGTTGATATGAATTTTCCAAAATTAAATTTTTGCTTGAAAAGTTGAGTTTTATCATTGGCAAATACATGCTGTTAGTTTTTCTTAAAGTGATGGGCATGCTTAGTTTATGTTTAAAAAAATGTCTGCCAGATACCCAGTTTGAATAACTATAGTTGCTGTCAGATATTCTTTCAAGTAAAAATGGTGTTTCTTGAAAAAAGAGGCCATGTTTTTTTTTCTTTTCAACTTTTATTCTAGATTCAGGGGTACACAGGCAGGTTTGTTACATGGGTATATTGCATGATTCTGAGGTTTGGGGTACAAATGCATAGTACCCCCAGGTACTGAGCATAGTATCCAGTAGTTAGTTTTTCAACCCTTGCCTTCCTCTCACCCTCATCCCTCTAGTAGTACCCATTTTCTCTTGTTGGCATCTTTATGTCCATGGGTACTCAATGTTTAGCTTCTATTTGAAAGTAAGAATATGTGGTATTTGTTTTTCTGTTCCTGCATTAATTCACTTAGGATACCAGCCTCCAGCAGCATTCGTGTTGCTGCAAAGGACATGATTTCTTTGTTTTTTATGAGTGCATAGTGTTCCATGGTGTATATATACCACATTTTCTTTATCCAATCCACTATGGATGGGCACCTGGATTGGTTGCATGTCATTGCTGTTGTGAATAGTACTGTGATGAACATGGGAGTGCATGTGTCATTTTGGTAGAAAGATTTCTTTCTTTTGGATATATAGCCAATAATGGGATTGCTGGGTCAAATGGTAGTTCTATTTTAAGTTCTTAGGGAAATCTCCAAACTGTTGTCCACAGTGGCTGAACTAATTTACATTCCCACCAACAGTGTACAAGTGTTCTTTTTTCTCTGCAGCCTTGCCAGCATTGGTTGCTTTTTGACTTTTTAATAATAGCCATTGTGACTGGTGTGAGGTGGTATATTCTTGTGTTTTGATTTGTATTTCTCTGGTGATTAGTGATGTGGAGCATTTTTTCATATATTGGCCACTTCTATATCTTTTGAGAAGCATCTGTACATGTCTTTTGCCCACTTTTTAATGGGGTTATTTGATTTTTTGTGAATTGTTTTAAGTTCCTTATAGATTCTGGATATTACAACTTTGTCAGATGAGTAGTTCGTGAATATTTTCTACCATCCTGTAGGTTGTCTGTTCACTCTGTTGGTAGCTTCTTTTGCTGTGCAGAAGCTCTATAGTTTAATTAGGTCTCACTTGTCAATTTTGTTTTTGTTGCAATTGCTTTTGAGAATTTAGTTATAAATTATTTTCCAAGGCCGATTTCTAGAATGGTGTTTCCTAGGTTTTCTTCTAGGATTCTTATAGTTTGAGGTCTTACATTTAGAACTTTAACCCATCTTTGTAACTGAATGCAAGTTCAGTCACTCACTGCTTGCAGAGTCCAGTTAACAAGAGGGAGGTGTGGTAGGAAGAAAGTGACTTTGCAGCCAGGTGCGGTGGCTCATGCCTGTAATCCCAGCACTTTGGGAGGCCGAGGTGGGCGGATCATGAGGACAGGAGTTTGAGACCAGCCTGACCAACATGGTGAAACCTGTCTTTACTAAAAATACAAAAATTAGCCAGGCTTGGTGGTGCGTGCCTGTAATCCCAGCTGCTCAGGAGGCTGAGGCAGGAGAATTGCTTGAACCTAGGAGGCAGAGGTTGCAGTGAGCCAAGATCATGTCACCGCACTCTAGCCTGGGCAACAGAGCGAGACTCCGTCTCAAAAAAAAAAAAAGTGACTTTATTTCCAAAGCTGGCAAGGAGGAAGTGGCTTGATTCCTGTCCAAAGCAATGATTTTGAATTTTGATGAGGGAAGGCAAGGGTTTAAAAAGGTAAAACTTGATATGGAAGGCATGTAAGAATTGTACTGAGTACAACGTCTGTGTGTCTTGTTCTGTTGGCTTTCTTGGGTTCCAGTCCACCTGGAGCATGGGCTGGAGTCATCTCAACAATGGCAAGGTTGTGGACTAGCTGCCTTGCATTTATCACTGCAGTTTTGCAGCTGGGTCCCCAGGCTTGGTCTGTTTGTCTCAAGATTAGCCCCTAGAACTTCTAACTAGGCACATAATTAGATACTAGCATACAGTTAGATAGATGTGAAGGGAGTATATGCGGTGAGAAAGGGAAGGACATGAAGTCTATTTTCAGGCTAAGGGAAAAGGCTTCTGAAGTTTGCTTCAAGGTTAGGTCTTGAATCCAAAGGGAAAGGAAAAAAAAAGTTTTAAAATGTATTTTGAATTTAAGCTGCCCAGTTACATCTTGAGTTAATTTTTGTATGTGGTAAAAGGTAGGAGTCTAGTTCATTCTTCTGCATATGGCTACCAGTTGCCCCATCACCATTTATTGACTAGGGAGTCCTTTCCCCGTTGCTTATTTTTGTCGACTTTGTCAAAGATCAGATGGCTGTAGGTGTGTGGCTTTATTTCTGAGTTCTCTATTCTGTTTCATTGTTCTATGTTTATGTTTTTGTACTGTTGCTATGCTGTTTGGTTACTATAGACTTATAGTATGGGTGAAGTTCTGTAATATGATGCCTCCAGTTGTGTTCTTTTTTGCTTATGATTGTTTTGGCTGTTCAGGCTCCTTGTTGGTTCCATATGAATTTTAGAACAGTTTTTTTCTAGTTCTGTGAAAAATGACATTGGTGGTTTGATAGGAATAGCATTGAATCTGTAGATTTCTTTAGGATGTATGGCCATTTTAATGTTATTGATTCTTGTATTCCATGAGCTTGGAGTGTTTCTCCATTTGTTTGTGTCATCTATGATTTCTTTCAGCAGTGTTTTGTAGTTCTCCTTGTAGAGATCTTTCCCTTCCTTGAGTAGATGCGTTCCTAGGTATTTTATTTTTGTGTGTGGCTATTGCAAATGGGATTGTGTTCTTGATTTGGCGTTCAGCTTGAACGTTGTTGGTGTAAAGAAATGCTACTAATTTTATACATTGGTTTTGTATCCTGAAACTTAACTGAAGACATGTATTAGTTCTAAGAGTCTTTTGGTGAAGTCCTTAGGATTTTCTAGGTATAAGACCATATTGTCAGTGAAGAGAGATAGTTTGACTTGTTTTCCTGTTTGGATGCCTTTTACTTTTTCTCTTGAGTGATTGTTCTATACCTCCAGTATTATATTGAATAGGAGTGGTGAGATTGGGCATCCTTGTCTTTTCTGGTTCTCAGGGAGAGTTCTTCCAATTTTTGCCCATTTAGCATGGTGTTGGCTGTGAGTTTGTCATAGATGGCTCTTATTATTTTGAGGTATGTTCCCTCAATGCCTAGTTTCTTGAGGGTTTTTCTTTTATCATGAAGTCATGTTGGATTTTACCAAAAGCTTTTTCCATGTATATTGAGATGATCACAGGTTTTTGCTTTTAATTCTGTTTATTGTATTTGTCAATAAATCATATTTATTGATTTGCATATGTTGAACCAACTTTACATCCCAGGAATGAAGCTTATTTAGTTGTGGTGAGTTAACTTTTGATGAGCTGCTGGGTTCAGTTTGCTAGTATTTTGTTAAGGATTTTTGCTCTGTGTTCATCAGGGATGTTGGCCTATACTTTTCTTTTTTTATCATGTCTTTTTCAGGTTTTGGTATAAAGGCGACGCTGGCTTCATAGAATGAGTTAGAGAGGAGTCCCTTCTCCTCAACATTTTGGAATAGTTTTCAGCATATTTGGAATAGTATCAGCACTACTTTGAACATCTGGTAGAATTCAGCTGTGAGTCTATCTGGTCTGGGGCTTTTTTTGGGTGGTAGGTTTTTTATTACTAATTCAATTTTGGAACTCGATATTGGTCTGTTCAGAGTTTTAATTTCTTCCTGATTCAATCTTGGGAGATTTTATGTTTCTAGGAATTTATCCATTTCCTCTAGATTTTCTAGTTTGTGTATGTAGAGGTATTCTAATAGTATCTGAGGATCTTTTGTATTTCTGTGATTGGTTGTAATGTCATCTTTGTCATTTCTGACTGTGCTTATTGGAATCTTCCCTTTTTTTCTTTGTTAATCTAGTTAGTGTTCTATCGATATTGTTTATCCTTTCAGAGAACCGGTGTTTGGTTTCATTGATTCTTTTTTTCCCCCTTAATGATCACTGTCAGAAAATCATTGATTCTTTGTATGGATTTTTGGGTCTCAATTTTGTTGTGTTTCACTCCGATTGTAGTTATTTCTTTTCATCTGGCTCTAGGGTTAGTTCTTGTTTTTCTAGTTCCTCTAGGTTTGATGTTAGATTGTTAATTTGAGATCTTTCCAACTTTTTGTGGTAGGCATTTAGTACTATACAGTTTCCTCTTAATACTGCTTTTGCTTCATCTCAGAGATTTTTGGTATGTTGTGTCTGTGTTTTCATTTATTTCAAATAATTTTTTGATTTCTGCCTTAACTTTGTTGTTTACCCAAAAGTCATTCAGGAGCAAGTTTTAAAATTTCCATGTAATTGTGTGATTTGGAAAAATCTTGGTATACATTTGTTTTTGTTTTTGTTGTTGTTGTTTTTTGCTTCCAACTGTTATTAGTCTTTTTATTCTCTTGGCAATGTCTTCCAGAGTTAACTACTTCTGTTGTAGGTGATAAAAATGTATAAGGCTCTACTTCAGATGTTGGTACTGCTGTGAGCGTGGTCTCTTCCTTTACTCAACTGAGAATTAAAACTTGATTCTTTTTTATATTCCAGTCCCAGAAGTAATTCCCTCTATAGAAGTTATCTAATGATAGTCTTATTCATCCTAGTAGTGGCTTACAACCAGGCTCTAACCTCTCCAGGAATACTATAGGATGGATTTAGCATAAACATATATTAAACTAAAAAGGATTCTTTCAAATGAGTTTAAGTGCATTTTATTTTTAGACAACCTACTTGACAAGTTTTTTGTTTTTTTTTTTTGACAGAGTCTTACTCTGTCACTAGGCTGGAGTGCAGTGGCGTGATCTCGGTTCACTGCAACCTCCGACTCCCTGGTTCAAGCGATTCTCCTGCCTCAGCCTCCTGAGTAGCTGGGATTACAGGCATGCACCACCATGCCCAGCTAATTTTTTTATTTTTAGTAGAGATGGTGTTTCACCATATTGGCCAGGTTAGTCTCCAACTCCCAACCTTGTGATCCACCAGCCTTGGCCTCCCAAAGTGCTGGGATTACAGGCGTGAGCCACCACGCCAGCCGACCTGTTTTTCTTAAAAACAATGCTTCCACTCCAAAGATATAATGGTCGAAATAAATGAAGAGCTCAAGTTGACATCAGTCCAATTTATCTTAAGTCATTGTGTCATGTGGGTGATAGGCAGCAAGCAGTTGTGATGACAGGTGATAGAGCCAAAGTAATTGCCAATTGGTTAACATTTTTCCATTTCTAAACCATCTTTAAAGAAAATCATATACAGGGTCACACCATCCTCATGGTAGAGCAACTATGCCATCTGGATTCATGTTTTTACTGGTAAAAAACTGGTAGTTGTTGAAATTAGTAAGATGTGCTTGGTTTGTTCTACAGCTTCTGTCATAAAAGGTTTTACTGTTTAGGTCTCTGTTCTTCATGTTGGCCTTTGATTGATTTTATGTAATCTTTGATGTACTTCTTGTAGGCTTCTTTTTGAAGTTTGTTTCCTGCAAGTGATGGTTCATGACAGTATCAACATAAGTGATTAATGTGCTTTCGGTACCCTCACCCTCAGGGCCTTCTGCGGAGGCATTTCTGTCAATGTTACCCTCTGTCCTACTGACTATCTTCTTCCCCACCCCCCCGTCCCACTTCCAGGCACAGCCAGTCTGCAATCTCCCAGATATTGTAAATGTTGGAGAACAGCTCATCATGGCTGATAAGGTCCGGGTAGATAATCTTGATGGCAGCTGAAGGGAGATGCGGTGGTGCTGGCTTAGCAGGATTCCAGAGATTAGAGTGAACATGATGCAGCTGGAGCAGTGCTTGGTGGGTGGGAGGAGTGGGTGGAAAAGGAGATTTCTGTTTTTATTCCTCTGTGGTCTATGAGTATGGTTGGTATGATAATTTTTTTGAACTTATTGAGATTTGCTTTATGGCTGAGCATACGGTCAATTGTGGAGTATGTTCCATGTGCAGATGAGAAAAGTATTGTTCTATGGCCAATGGGTGGAGTATTCTGTAGATGTCCATGAGGTCCAATTGGTCAAGTTTAAATTCATAATTTCTTTGTTAGTTTTCTGCCTCGATGATCTAATGTTTTCAGTAGGATTTCAATAGGGGGAAGTCCCCCACCATTATCGTATGGCTGTATAAGAGTTTTGTAGGTCTAGAAGTACTTGTTTGTAATTCTGGGTGCTCCAATTTTGGGTGAGTGTATATTTAGGATAGTTAAGACTTCTTGTGGAATTGAATGCTTATCATTATATAATGGCCTTCTTTGTTTTTTATTGTTGGTTTAAAGTCTGTTTTGTCTTATATAATAATAGTGACCTCTGCTCTTTTTTTGTTTTCTATTTGCTTGGTGGATCACTCTTCAGCCCTTTATTTTGAGCCTATGGGTGTTTTATGTGCATCTTGTTTTTTATCTAACTTGCCACTTTGTGCCTTTTTAGTGGAGTGTTTAGACCATTTACATTCAAGGTTAATATTGATATGTGAGGTTTTGTTTTTATTGAGAAGGAGTCTTGCTCTGTCACTCAGGCTGGAGTGCAGTGGCACAATCTCAGCTCACTGTAACCTTCGTCTCCGGGTTCAAGAGGTTCTCCTGCCTCAGCTTCCTGAGTAGCTGGGATGGCAGGCGAGCATAACCACGCCTGGCTAATTTTTGTATTTTTAGTAGAGACGGGATTTCACCATGTTACCAGGCTGATCTCAAACTCCTTACCTCAAGTGATCTGCCTGCCTCGGCCTCCCAAAGTGTTGGGATTACAGGCATGAGCCACTGTGTCTCTGGCTGATATGTGAGGTTTTGATCCTATCATGAAATTGTTAGCTGGTTGCTTTGTAGTTTCTGTTGTGTGGTTACTTTATAGGGTCTGTTTATAGGCCTAAGTGTGTTTTCATGGTAGCTGGCATCAGTCTTTTGTTTCCGTGATTAGAACTCCCTTAAGGAGCTCTTGTAATGGTGGTCTAGTGGTAACTAACTCCTTTAATGCTTGCATGTCTGAAAAAACCTTTATTTCTCCTGTGCTTATGAAACTTAACTTGGCAGGGTATGAAATTCTTGGTTGGAATTTCTTTTCATTAAGAATACTGAAAATAGGCCCCTAGTCTCTCCTGGCTTGTAAGGTTTCTGCTGAGAAGTCTGCTTTTAGCCTAAAGGGTTTCCTTTTGTACAGGATCTGACCTTTTTCTCTAGCTGCCTCTAAGATTTTTTCTTTAGCATTGACCTTTGACAGTCTGGGAGGGCAGGGGCCATGAAGAGTGGGGCCAGATTGGGCACATCCATCTACAGGTCCCCCAGTGGCAGGTACAAGCACTGAAGCTGAGGGAGAATCCAGTGGGCAGCCACCAGGTGCCCAGAGGTATATCTAGGCATGGAACTGGGAAACCTCCTTGGCCCCAAGTTCTCTGCACAGTGATGAGGGGCAGCCTAAAATTCTAATCCAGGGTAGTGAGTGCTCCAGATATCTGGAGATCTGCCTGGGCATGGAGTGGAGAGGGCCTTCCTGCATCAAGATCTCTGCATAGGAGGGGTGGGATGACTCAGGCTAGTGGACCAGGCAAGCAGGTGCTATGAATACCTGGAGATCTGCCTAGGTGTGTAGCAGAGAGGGCCCCCTTGCACCAGGATCTCTGCACAGGAAGGGTGGAGTGGATCAGGCTGTTAATCAAGGTGAGTGGGTGCTCCAAAGGTCTAGACATCTGCCTGGGCATGGAGTGGAGATGACCCTTCTGCAGCATGATCTCTGTCCATGAAAGATGAGTGGCTCAGGCTGCTGGTCACGCAAGCAGGTGCCCTGAATGCCTGGATTTCTGCTTGGGGGGTGGAGCAGAGGGGACCCCACTTCACCTCGATCCCAGGGGAACAGCAGGGGCACCAAGTGATGGCACATGCAGTTCAGTTTCAGATTGCCAAGCTGGCCCTGGCTGCAAGTCTCATTGCCCAGGAGAGACTGCAACTGTAGCAGCTCTCCTCCCACTCCAGGCTTGCAATAGGGAAGAGTATAATTCCAATACCTACTTCTGAGGTGCTTTCCACCTCAGAAGTGGTGGAGGCTGTGGAGGCTACTACCCTGCTCCAGAGCAGGTGCTTCAGTCTGTGGCGCAAGAGTAAAATGCTTGTATGGCCATGCAGCTGGGTTACCTAGAATGGCTGACTTTGTATGCAACCAGATTAAAAATGGCATCCTGTGCTTGGTCCTATGTCTGGGAAAGTGTCTGCAGCTTCTCCTAGTGTTTTTCCCTCACAGCGTCTCCAACCCTTTCCCCAAGTTAGCTTCAGGGATTGGGAGGAAAAAAAAAGTTCTCCCTCAGCCTGAGTTGCTCTGATCTCCTGTGGAAAGGTGAGTCACTGAGGGAGGCTGTCTTTCTCTCTCATGTACTGGGGCTTCACTTACTTTTATCAGCCAAATGCCATCACAGTGGCTGTTTGGCAGGATTCTCGTCTTTGGGATTTGGAGTATCCTGCATGATTCCATTAGATTCTCATTTTCCTTCTTGAATTAAAGCTCAAACCATTGATCTTTATTTACTATTTTGTTATTTCCAAATGGTGGAGGCCTGCTAACAGGCTTTAATCTGCCACCTGAGGAAAAAAAGGCTATATTAACTCCCAGCTTAAACAATGACACAAATGCTTTTCCTTGTACTTTTGCATGCTGCAGAAATGCTTTATCCTTCTATTTCATCTCGTAAAATATTAAAAGGAAGTATACTTGCTAGTTGAAATTTAGTATAATAATTCTTAGATTATGCAAAGGACTTTCTTACCTTAAGTGAAATATCTTTGTGGTTGTTCCTGCTGTTTTTGTCTGTTGTGTTTTTTTAACTGTGAGTAGCAATTGAGAATAAAGTGACCACTTGCAAGGTTTGGTGCTACTAACTTAATTCATGCTAAGATGTCTACAGTTTTACTTGTTATTGCTTTTGCATCATCAGTTCAAATGTCAACAAAACCAAATAAAAATACTAAATGAGAAAAAGGCATACTTTGTCTTGGTATCATGAAAATAGTTTTGACCTTATAAACACCCTGAAAATGGTCTTAGGTAGCCTCAGTGGTTTGTATATTACACTCCGAGAACTGTTGTTCTGCATGTAGGGTGACTATATGTAATTTATAATCTAGTTTTGAGAGAGAGACAAATGGGGTTCTATTAATAATTACCTCAGAATAACAGGTGTAAACTGGGACTGTCCTGGGCAAATTGGGACGTGTAGTCACCCTATGATTACCTTATTTCTAGGGGACTTCAAGTCAGCTTCTGTATTTGGTCTTCATGTCACATGATCTTTTTAAAATGATACTATCAGTCATGATGGAAGGAAGGGAAGGGAGGAACAGGGACACTGAGAGGTTTGTGGTTGCTTTCATATTTGAGCATTAAAACTCCTAAAGTATAGGTGTAAACTGTATGTCCGATTGTTCTTGAACTTAGATGTGTTGAAAATTTCAGCAATGTGGTTGGTTCTTTAGGTGATTTGAGAGTTAGAATATTGTTTGGTCATCAGGAGACATCTTTTATGCTAATGCGTATTCACAAAGAAGAAATTCACCTGTTTCTATATTTCCTGAATCATGTAATTTTATTATTAAAATTTGGATTGGTTCAAAGAAGATCCAAGAATCATAAAACTATAACTGCCGCAATGTATCAAAGAATTTTTGATGGTGAATAAGAAACAATACACTTATGAATGTGGATATTGTTATGCCATGTTAGTGTATTATAACATTCTTAAAATTATGTTTGTGGAGTTGAATTCTTGCTATGTTAAAATTTATTGTTAAATTTACTATTTCTAATGAGAACAAAGATACAATATACCAGAATCTCTGGGACACAGCTAAGGCAGTGTTAAGAGGGAAATTCATAGCACTAAATGCCCACATCAAAAAGTTAGAGAGATCTCAAATTAAGAACGTAACATCACAATTGAAAGAATCAGAGAAGCAAGAACACTTCAGCCCCAAAGCTAGCAGAAGACAAGAAATGAACAAAATTAGAGCTGAACTGAAGGAAATCAGGGCACAAAAAACCATTCAAAAGATTAATGAATCCAGGAGTTGGTTTTTGAAAAAATTAATAAGATAGATAGGCTGCTGGCTAGACTACTAAAGAGAGAAGATCCAAATAAACACAATTAGAAATGAAGGGAATGTTACCACTGACCCCACAGAAATAAAAATAACCATCAGAAACCATCAGTCTAGCTGCTGGCTAGACTAATAAAGAGAGAAGATCCAAATAAACACAACTAGAAATGAAGGGAGTGTTACCACTGACCCCACAGAAATAAAAATAACCATCAGAAACTATTGTGAACAACACCTCTATGCACACAAACTAGAAAGCCTAGATGAGATGAATAAATTCCTGAACACATACACCCTCCCAAGACTTAACGAGGAAGAAATTGATTCCCTGAACAGACCAATAAGGAACTCCAAAATTGAATCAGTAATAAATAGCCTACCAACCAAAAAAAGCCAAGGACCTGATGGATAAACAGCTGAGTTCTACCTGATGTACGAAGAAGAGCTGCTACTATTCTTACTGAAACGATTTCAAAAAATTGAGGAGGAAGGACTCCTCCCCAGCTAATTCTGTGAGGCCAGCATCATCCCGATACCAAAGCCTGGGAGAGACACAACAAAGAAACCTTCAGGCCAATATTCCTGTTGAACATCACTGCAAAAATCCTTAACAAAATACTTGTAAACCGAATTTAGCAGCACATCAAAAAGCTAATCCACCATGATCAAGTGGGCTTTATCACTGCAATGCAAAGTTGGCTCAGCATACTCAAATCAATAAATGTGATTCATCACATAAACAAAACTAGACAGAAACCAAATGCTTATCTCAATAGATGCAGAAAAGGCTTTAGATAAAATTCAACAGCCTTTCATGTTAAAAACTCTCAAGAAACTAGGTATTGAAGGAATATACCTCAAAATAATACAAGCCATCTATGACAAACCTACAGCCAACATTATACTGAATGGGGAAAAGCTGAATGCATTCCCCTTGAAAACAGCACAAGACAAGCATGCCCTCTCTCACCACTCCTATTCAACATAGTTTTGGAAGTCCTAGCTATAGCAGTCAGGCAAGACAAAGAAATAAAGGACATCCAAATAGAAAAGAAGAAGTCAAACTGTCCCTATTTGCAGATGATATGATTCTATATGCAGAAAACTCTATAGTCTCGGCCGAAAAGCTCCTTCAGGTGATAAACAACTTCAGCAAAGTTTTGGATACAAAAATCAATGTACAAAAATCACTAACATTCCTATACACCAACAATAGCCAAGCAGAGAGGTAAACCAGGATAACAAAAAGAATAAGACACCTAGCAATACAGCTAACCAGGGAGGTGAAAGATCTTTACAATGAGAATTACAAAACACTGCTCAAAGAAATCAGAAGACACAAACAAATGGGAAAACATCCCACGCTCATGGGTAGGAAGAATCAATATTATTAAAATGGCCATACTACCCAAAGCAATGTACAGATGCAATGCTATTCCTATCAAATTACCAATGAAATTCTTCACAGAGCTGGAAAACACTATTTTAAAACTCATATGGAGCTAACAAAGAACCTGAATAGCCAAGGCAATCCTAAACAAAAAGGACAAAGCTGGAGGCATCACATTACCTGACTTAAAACTATACTACAGGGCCACAGTAACCAAAACAGCATGGTACTGGTACAAACAGACCCATAGGCCAATGGAACAGAATAGACAGCCAGGAAATAAGGCTGCACACCTGTAGCCATCTGACCTTTGACAAAGTCAACAAAAGTAAGCAATGGTGAAAGCACTCCCAATAAAATAAATGGTGCTGGGATAACTGGCTAGCCATATGCAGAAGACTGAAGCTGGACCCCTTTCTTACACCACATACAAAAATCAACTCAAGATGGATTAAAGACTTAAATATAAAACCCCAAACTGTAAAAAACCCTAGAAAACAACCTAGGCAATACCATCTTGGACATAGGAACAGGCAAAGATTTCATGACAAAGACACCAAAAGCAATCACAAGAAAAGCAAAAATTTACAAGTGAGATCTAATTAAACTTAAGAGTTTCTGCACAGTGAAAGAAACTATCAACAGAGGAAGCAGCCTACAGAATGGAAGAAAATATTTGCAAACTATGTATCTGACAAAGGTCTAATATCCAGCATCTATAAGGAACTTAAACAAATTTACAAGAGAAGAACAAACAGTCCCGTTAAAATGTGGATAAAGGACATGAACAGACACTTTTCAAAAGAAGACATACATGCAGCCAACAAGCATATGAAAAAAAGCTCAATATTACTGATCATTAGAGAAATGCAAATCAAAAACACAAGGAGATACCATCTCACACCAGTCTGAATGGCTGTTGTTAAAAAGTAAAAAATGAACAGATACTGGTGAGGTTGCAGAGAAAAGGAAATACTGATATACTGTTGGTGGGAGTGCAAATTAGTTCAGCCATTGTGTAAAACAGTATGGCAATTCCTCAAAGAGCTAAAAGCAGAACTGCTATTTGACCCAGCAATCTCATTACTGGATATTCTCAGAGGAATATAAAGCATTCTACCATAAAGACGCATGCGAATGTTCATTACAGCACTTTTCACAATAGCAAAGACAGGGAATCAACCTAAATGCTCATCAGTGACTGACTGGATAAAGGAAATGTGGTACGTATACACCATGGATACTATGCAGCCATAAAAAAGAATGAGATCATGTCTTTTGTGGGAACATGGATGGAGCTGGAGGCTATTATCTTCAACAAACTAATGCAGGAAAGACAGCCAAATACTGCATGTTCTAAGTGGGAGCTAGATGATGAGAACTCATGAACACAAGGAAACAACAGACACTGGGTCTACTTAAGGGTGGAGGGTGGGCGGGGGCAGAGGAGTAGAAAAGATAACTACTAGGTACTGGGCTTAATTCCTGGATAATGAAATAATCTGTAAAACAAAATAATCTGTAAAATCTGTGACACGAGTTTACCTGTGGAACAAACCTTCACATGTACCCCTGAACTTAAAATAAAAGTTAAAAAATTTAGTATTTCTAGAACATACACATGAAGACCAAAGTTATGACACTTTTAGTTTGAGTAAAAATATATACTCATTTAAAACTTACTTTGTTATTAAAACCATCTTGAATATTAAAATTTGTTTGATGCACATTTAAAGGTATAACTTGTGAGCATATAAAAATAAGTTATTATTTTTATATGTTCAAGTATATAACTTGTTAGTTTAGTATCAAAATTAAGTAGGAGCTGCATGAAACTTCATTATAAAACTGTTCAATGCTTTTATTCCAATGTCTATAAAGAAACTTTAAAAACTCTCTTATTGTACTGTTTGATTTATTTAAATATAGAGAATTATCTTACAGGATTTATTGCAAGGTACCTAAAAGAGGATGATTGTTGCTATTTTTTCTCAAGGAATTCATTTAATTGCTTTAGACAATGTGTTAACAGATTTTTATTTCCTCTCCGGCTATTACTTAAGCTGCAGCAGCTTAAGCTTTGCTCACTTCAGCTAATGAAGACTAATACCACTGTGTTCCTGCCAGTTCAATTCTTTCTAATTTAGCTTTTCTAAAATAATGCCTGTTAATAAGCAAGGTCGTAGATGAACAGAGGATAAAAATAATTCTGTGCTTCATTAACCATCAATCTGTAGCCTTTCTTCTGTTGTCTTAACGTGGAAGGAATGGTTAGTTTAAAAAAATGTTTGCTTTTATGAGTTGTTTGTTTTATGTGACGGAGCCATTCTAATGTCAGGAACAGATCTTTGGGGCAATTTTCCTTAATGCAGTTTGTGAAAAACAGGCCATAATAAATATTACATTAACATATAAACATGCTAAAGTTTGTGTTTTTATTAAAGATGAGGGAAAATGACATTCTAACAGCTATATTTAGTCATGTTCAGGTAAAATGAACCTTGAGTATCTAAGGTATATGGTTACATTGATCAACTAAGATCCTTCTACTGTAGTTATTATTTTTTCTTTATGCTTATTTTTAAATGATAGATTACATTTACAACTAGCTGGTCAATCTTTGAGATGTATTATAAATGAAAGGCTGGTTAGCATAGAAAACTGGTAGATAATAAAGGAAAGATATATGGGACTGTAGGTCTAATGTAGGTCGAGTTGTCATTCTGGGGATTTGTTTTCTTACATATTTTTAGCAATTGTACCTGTTTTATTGCAGAGACTTGAGGAGACATGTTCTTATTCATTTGTTCCTAAAACTGTTCAGGTGTGCTTGCTTACTTGACCAAAGTACTGTAAATAACTTTTCATAAAATAATGAATTGGAATTTATGTTGAACCTATACAATTTAGAATGGGTTTATGTTGGGTTAACATATTTATGCTCAATATTATAGTCTCACGGAAATGTGCCACTTTAATAAATATTTAATAAATATTACTTGACTTAATAAGGACAATCTAGGTGTTTTGTTATGGATTTCCAAAGTACAGTATAGTTGATTACAATGAGATATTTTCTTTCAGCACTTAAAGGAGTTTATTTGTAAAGTCTTTATGTGAAGTTGTTGCAAAAAATATAATTACTTTTTACCGCACTTGGAATCAGGAAGTTTAGAATTCACCATGGTTTAACCTGTTAGTGATAGAAAATATTTTTTAAAAATAAGCTATATTTAGTGATTTTATTAAATTGGTAAATTCTAATGAATGTATATTTATTTTGTTTCCTATGCAGCATCATTAGTTATTCCTGCTGGTAGAACTCTTCCAAGTTTTACCACAGCAGAACTGGTATGTAGCTTACTTAAAATATATTTTAAAAGACATGTCCCACTGTTAGCGAGTGGTGGCAAAATGCTGAACATAGATGTAATTTCTTACCCTCCAGTTGAAAGTGAAAAGATGTGGCCGGGCGCGGTGGCTCACGCCTGTAATTCCAGCACTTTGGGAGGCTGAGGCAGGTGGATTGCCTGAGATCAGGAGTTTGAGACCAGCCTGGCCAACATGGCAAAACCCTGTCTCTACTAAAAGTACAAAAATTAGCTGGGTGTAGTGGTGGGCGCCTAGTAATCCCAGCTACTCAGGAGGCTGAGGCAGGAGAATCTCTTGAACCTGGGAGGCGGAGGTTGCAGTGAGCTGAGATCATGCCATTGCACTCCAGCGTGGGTGACAAGAACAAAATTCTGTCTCAAAGAAAAAAAAAAAAAGATGTGGTAAAGAGTGGGGTGACAGAATAGCATCTGTAGCATAGATGTAATAAAACGCAGAAGTTCCAGAATTGACATTTTCTTGCCAAGTTTTCCTGTCTTTCAGAGCAGTTGTTAGCATCTTCCAAGACTGTACCTACAAGGTTAGGAAATGTCTGAAGTTATGTTGTATGGGGTTTTAATACACTATATAATGTTATATGCTTGTTACATCCTAAATAAATAATTTTGAGGTTTTTTTTCAGATTTTTTTTCCCCTCTAGAATGGAGCAACATCATAGTTTTGACTTTAATTAAACTGGAATATTTTTGTCATTTTGTACCTTCGTGAAGTATAGCTTGTTTATATTTTCCCCCTTAGTACTTGAAGGCAGAAGATACATTTACAAGTTAACATAGAAAACCAAGTAGTTTTTCGGGTAGAGAAGAATAGCAGCTTTTCACTTTTATCTTTCTTCCATGGTACTGAGAGTAGTACATAATCTACTAACTGTTTTTTAATTTTCTTTCAGCCCATAGGTTGCCTTTGTAGGGCAAATGCTTAGTGGGCTAGTTATTTCCATTTCTTCACTAAGAACAGCCAAAACCACACACCTTAATAGGATTTTTGGAAAGAATGGTGCTGCTTTTGATAGGAGACCAATGAAGAAATACCTCTGCCTTTGGAATTCAAACAAATATTTTTTTTCCTGTTAAAATAAGTAATAAGCTTGTATTAATAAAAAGTAAAAATGGGCTGAGCACAGTGGCTCACACCTGTAATCTCAGTGCTTTGGGAGACTGAGGTACTGGGCACCATAGCAAGACCATATTAATACAATTTTTTTTTTTTTTTTTTTTTTTGAGACAGAGTCTTACTCTGTCACCCAAGTCTGGAGTGCGGTGGCATGATCTCGGCTCACTGCAACCTCCGCCTCCCAGGTTCAAGTGATTCTTCTGCTTCAGCCTCCCGAGTAACGAGATTACAGACGCCCGCCACCATGCCCAACTAATTTTTTGTATTTTAGTTGAGATGGGGTTTCACCATGTTGGCCAGGGTGGTCTCAAACTCCTGACCTCAAGTGATCCACCCACCATGGCCTCCCAAAGTGCTGGGATTACAGGCGTGAGCCACCGTGCCCGGCCTGTACAAAATTTTTTTAAAAAAATTAGCCAAGCATGGTGGTGTGTGCCTGTAGTCCTGGCTACTTGAGAGGCTGAGGCAAAAGGATCACTTGAGCCTCGTAATTGGAGATTACAGTGAGTTATGATTGCACCACTGCTCTTCAGCCTGGGCAACAGAATGAAACCCTGTCTCTTAAAAATAAAAATGCAAAACATTTATAAATAAAATAAAGAGTTCTGTAGTCTTATACTCCAAGAATAAATGTTTTAACTCTTTGATGTTTATTCATCCAGACTTCTTTCATGAAAGCTATATTAGTTTTTAGGATAAAAAGTAGGGATACTCTTTTTACTGTTTCTGTAATTTCTGTTTTCTAATTTAGTAATATAGATGGACTGCTTTCAATTTCAGTTAGTACAAATTGACCTTCGTGGATGCAGCACAGTTTAATTAACAAACTTTTGTTGGTGAACATTTAAATTATTTCCAGCATTTTTCTAATATAGTATTCTATTGATTATGCTTGTGTATATGTCTGTGTGTTTCTGTGATAATCAGGATAAATTTCTAAAAGTAGAGTTCATGGGTCAAAGGTCATTTGTATTTTCATTTTTGGTATATATATTGCAAAAATTATCCTCCAAAAGGGTTGTACCAATATACATTCATACAAACAGTAGTTTGAGAGAACCAATTTTTATCACATTCTCAACAACACTGGATGTTATCAGTCTTTCAAATTTTTGCAGGTCTGAGAACCAATGGCCCTGCAAAGCTATGTCTTGGGCAAGTTTTTTGAGTTAATGTTTATACTGTTCATTAGGACTTACTAGCTTCATTGCTAATAACTGTAGAATAGGATTCCTCTTGATCCTTAATGGGATGATCGATATTGAAAACTATTTTATTCAAAGAACTCAGCCCTAATATTAAATGTTAAGTATTGTCAAACTATTGTCCAGAATCAGATTTTTTGACTCCCTGTGAGATCAGGGAAAAAAAGATACAAGTAAAGTCCTTTTCTAACTTTCTAATATAAATTTCTTATATCTAGGGCACTTCAAACTCCAGTGCAAACTTTACTTTTCCTGGTTATCCCATTCATGTACCAGCAGGTGTGACACTACAGACTGTATCTGGTGAGAGTATATTCTAAGAATCTTTTTGTTTTCAGCATTGGTACTATTTTTTGGACATTAAGCTTCATGATTTTTAAATAAACTATATACCAGAAGTTATAAGAACTTTTAATAAAATTGATTTTAAAAGTAATGATAAATGGTGGTTTTGATTGTTATAGAGACAATCTACCACAAAAGGCACTGTACTAGGCCTGTCCTATATTTGATTCCCAGTTCTCTTTCCCAACATTGTATAGGGGTTCTTTGTATATATTTTTTCTAATTCAAGTCAGTTATCTAAATTTTAACAAATACAAAATAAAATAACTTACCTGCATTCCTGCTAGCTCTAATTACGGATTAAAGATTAGGATGATCAACCTTTGCCCCCTTTCTTATTAGGGATTGCATGGTCTGATAGGACATCCAATAGTTTGGAGGTTAACCGGTTTCTGCTTTTCCGAGCACCATCTCTTGATTTTGAAGAGGATCATACCTCTTCTTTGGGTTGTTGTAAAGTTTAAGTAAAGCACCTAACTCAACACTCAAAAATAAGTCCTTTTTTTTGAGATGGAGTCTCGCTCTGTCGCCCACGCTGTAGTGCAGTGGCGCAATCTCTGCTCACTGCAAGCTCCGCCTCCTGGGTTCACGCCATTCTCCTGCCTCAGCCTCCCAAGTAGCTGGGACTACAGGCGCCGGCCACCACGCCCGGCTAATTTTTTGTATTTTTAGTAGAGACAGGGTTTCACCGTTTTAGCCAGGAGGGTCTTGATCTCCTGACCTCGTGATCCACCTGCCTTGGCCTCCCAAAGTGCTGGGATTACAGGCATGAGCCACCGCGCCTGGCCTTTTTTTTTTTTTCTTTTATAGTGTTATTTTAGAGGAAGAAAGGAGAAGAAATTTGATTACTTTTGAAATCATTAAACTCTCTTTTGGATAGCATTGTCTTGCTATATGGCATTTTAAATATATGAAGTATATTTTACATGATTATGTTTGTTAAAATCCAGTTTTTTGGCTGATAACATTAATTTATCAAACAATGGAAGAGGTTCATGGATTAAATATTGGTGTCCTTTATGTATCTCAAAGTGTGCCATAAAAGCAATTGTGGGAAAAGTCTGGAATTAAAGCAAAACATATGTAATTAAAAAAATAAGAATTTATATATTGATTGTAGAAATCCAAAAATGTCTGAAGAATAAAAGAAAAACCCCTAGAGATAACCACCATTAACATATTGGTGTATTTTTTTCCAGCCTTTGTGGATGAGATTTTTTTTTTTTTTTGTGGTGGTTGTCAAAGGAAATTTTAATTCTATTATACTTACAATTTTGCTTTCTCCTTTTTAAGGTCACCTTTATAAAGTCAATGTACCAATTATGGTGACAGAGACTTCTGGAAGAGCAGGTATTCTTCAGCATCCAATTCAGCAAGTATTTCAACAGCTTGGCCAGCCTTCAGTAATACAAACTAGTGTTCCACAATTGAATCCATGGTCTCTTCAAGCAACTACTGAAAAATCACAGAGAATTGAAACCGTGCTACAGCAACCCGCAATTCTACCTTCTGGGCCAGTAGATAGGAAACACTTAGAAAATGCCACCAGTGATATACTTGTATCTCCTGGAAATGAGCATAAAATCGTGCCTGAAGCTTTGTTGTGTCATCAGGAAAGTTCTCACTATATCAGTCTTCCAGGTGTTGTATTTTCTCCACAGGTCTCTCAAACAAATTCTAATGTGGAGTCAGTGCTCAGTGGTTCAGCTAGCATGGCTCAAAATCTGCATGATGAGTCCCTCTCCACAAGCCCTCATGGGGCTCTCCACCAGCACGTGACTGATATTCAGCTTCATATTCTTAAAAATAGGATGTATGGATGTGATTCTGTAAAGCAACCAAGAAATATAGAGGAACCCAGCAACATACCTGTATCAGAGAAGGTATAGTTCTGTGTCCAACTTCTTGGTATCAGGGGACAGATAGTGGCCAGTAACTGGATATCCTGAATATTTTCAAGCTGTAATGTTAATCAGAATTATATATATTTTGTTTTTTTCTTTAGAAGATTATTTCTTTTTTCTAGTGATTTAAAAAAATTTTTAATTGTGATAAAATACACGTAACATAAAGTTTACCAACTTAACCATTTTTAAGTGTACAGATCAGTAGTGTTATATACATTCACATGTGGTACAACCAAGAAGATTCTTTCTTTATTGTTGTTTTTAGTATAACTGTCAGTCCTTGAAATATTCATGCTTAGCATTTCTAAATTTTTCATTTCAATAAATGAATTATAATACTTCTTCAGAGAAAATGCGTTTGTTTTAAAAGGTAATCTGTTTACCAGTCTCTTATACTGGGAAACTTATTTTATGTCTGCAGATAAAAATTAAAAGACCCAGAAATCCAGACCAGTAGTTTGTGGAATGTTTTGAGATAATTAATTATCAAATGTAATATACAAAAGAAGCCCACAAAGTTTTTTTTTTCCTGCTCTACCTAATTTTTCTGAATTCCTATATGGAAACTTTTCCCTACATGAGGGATTATGTTGCTAGTAATTTTGTTTCTCCCTGCCTACTAAAATACTAGTTTTACTTAATTTCTTTTGGTATTGAAACCACTAAAAATTAGCTTCTAGTTAACTTTTGATATTGAAAATAGGTCTGAATTTTTAATTTTCAAGGAATTCATAGTAATGGCAGAAAGACTCATGGAGAATTTTGGATTATAAAAATTAAAAAAATTGCATTCTTTTTACAAATATAAAATACATCTTGTGGCTAATTCTATTTACACAATTTAGGACATGTGAAAAATACTTAAAGGTTTTTGCTCCAGCTAGTGGTTTAGCCATCATCTAGACCCACTGTACAAATCTGTAGCAATGGATAGTTAAGCACAACCTTAATATTTTATCTTCATGATATTTAAATTTTGCTAGTTAGGGAAAGACATAGGGCATAGTGAAAGGCCAGGAACAAAGAAAATGACAATCAGAAACTATTTGGCCTGTTTTAGAATGTTTCAGATATTTATTGAAACCTGTTCAAGATCTCTGAGCAAATCTGTTTTTAGTTTTTCTATAAGTGTTCATATTAAAATGTTTTATTGAGGTTTTTTTTACGTTTTTTAACATAACATATAACACTTAGTAAATAAATGTAGGTTAAACTAATAAGTATGAAACATTTGATTTTGAGGTAAAACTAACTACAAATGTAAAATGTTTGTTTTCATCACTACTACTTTTGGAGGCACTTTTTACCTGGATTCTGTGTGAATTTTGCAGATGTTTGGTGTGATGAGTCAAGGACTTATTCTACTGTTATGTATTGTATGTCATCATGTACTTTTTCTGATATGGGGAAATAGATTAGTTAAGGGATATTAATCAAGGATTGATTGGGGGTAGTGGTTGAGAACATAAGCTTTGGAACCACAGTAGGTTCAAATTCTAGGTTCACTACTTGCAAGCAAACTATATAACATTACTCCCTGAAATTCAATTTTAGTCTTTAAATTGGCCCCTAATACCAATCTTGTAATTTTGAGAATTATCAGAGATAATATATATGAAGTATTTAAAGCTTCTGGCACCATAGTAAGCTTTAGATTAGTGCTATTATGCTCTATGAGCTTGTAATATATTGGGTAACTTTTCATGTAACTTGTTTGTTAGTTTTAAAAAAGGTCTATGTCTAACACACAAAATCCAAACGTACAAGAGTATATGTAAAATGCTTATTTATTTATTGTAAGTTACCTTTAAGATAGTAAGCAGTTTGGTAGGTTTATGCTGAACTAATTTTCAAAGACTTTACAAGTAGTTTTTCTTTTTATAAGTAACTTAAAGCAAGTTATAATCAACTATACTTGTTTACTTTTCCTGTGTTGTAAACTACTGGAGAGCTTATGGATCTATAGGTTTAAGAGGTAAGGATCTATGTTGTTTGAACATTCTGTTTCACAAAATATATTCTTGATAGCTTTTAATTCTGCCCCTTGTAATTTCTGTTCTATTTTCTTTGTCTGAATTTGACTCTTCTAGGTACTTTAAAAATGGAATCATACAATATTTGCCCTTTTGTGACTGTCTTATTTCACTTAGTATAATGTTTTCAAGGTTAGTCGATATCGTAGCATGTGTCAGAATTTCATTCCTTTTTAAGGCTGAATCATGTGAGTTTGACAATTTTTAAATTTTGTAAATATTCCTGGAATCTGTTCCTTCATCTCCACTCCTAGTGCCATTGCCCTAATTGTTTCTCATGTGGGATAATTTTATCTAACTAATTTATCAGTGTGTAGTCTCTTCTACCTCTTACTCTGCTCCTGCCAATCCATCCATCCTAGAGGTCAAAGGCCTAAGCTTCAGGGATCAGAATTGTTTTGAATCCCTTCTCTATTCCTTAATAATTGTATGACTTAGAGAAGTTACTCATTTGTAAAATAAAGATAATAGTATCTACCATGTAATTGTGGTAGGATTAGTTAAGAAAATTAATGTAAAGTGCTCAGCAGCACACTGGCACCGTGGTAAATGCTCAGTGCATGTTAGCACTCTCTTCCTGGTGGCTTCCAGAGATCTGTCCCAAATGCAGCCTGGTTGTGTCTTTTCTCCACTTAACACATCACCGACTGCCCTTCACCTATAATAAATAAACTTCAGGCACCTTAATATACATATACAAAGCATATTACGCGTTCTTTCTCTGCCAAAGTTTCCTATTTACTCTTCCTTCCTCACATGAATATACTTTACTGGGAACACCAAACCGTGAGTGATTCTTGGTTTTCAACCTTGTTATTTCCTACTTCTCTTTTTGCTTTTTGTTATCCCCTCTATTTGATGCCTGGAGTTTCTTCCCACCATCCTTTCCTCTGGTTAATTCCTGCTTATTCATTACTTCCTCCAGAAATCTTCAGTACTTCTCCACCTAATTTTTCCTTCATTATTAAATTGGATGTAGCTCTTCTGTTTTGTCACCTGAAGTATGTCTGTCATAATGTAGTTCAAAGATACATTGATATGTTCTCTTTGCATTGACAGTTACATTTATCTTTGTATATGCAGTAATCTAAGAATATATACACACTCGTGTGTAGTGGAGTATAAGCTTTTAAGGATAGGATCTAGAATTACGTTTATTTGGCTCAGTGGTTCTGAATCCTGGCTGAATGATCAAATCATTGGGCCATTAAAAAAAAGTGCAGGTCTACCCTAAGAGATTAAATCTAATTGATCTGGAATGAGGCTTAGTCATCAATATTTAAGAGCTTCTGGAGTGATTGTAATATATAGTCAAGGCTAAGAACCACTGATGTAGCTCAAAATCAATGTATGAGTGAAAAATGGAGTGAGAGGATAAGAGAATATATAACTTCTAAGTAAGAGTTTTCATTTTTCTTCTAAGTCCACACATATTCCTCTAAAATATAAAATGTCCTATCAATAATTGACTTTAGAATTCATTTAAATTGAGTAAATACTTTTTGAGTCTCTATATGCCATTGTGAAATTAATATATCAAAATCAGAGATGTTTAAACCAGATATGTGACTTTTTCTTCATTATAAGAAGAAAGCCAATTTAACAAAATAATTTTTTATATCTGTCAAAATATATTAAGATATATTTCATTCCAAATAAGAGTGGAGTGGCATGGGATGCTACTGTACATGGTCAGGCAATATATAATTATCATTGTTACTCTATTGTAATAAATTAAATTCCTGTTAAGAATTAAAGAAAATATGCCCTGCCATTACAATTATAGACCACTGAATTTGATATAGTTTACGTTGAAAATGTGAAAAGAATGTGTATTGTAGGTTAGGCTTATCTTGTTTTATATTTATCCCCACATATGGGTATGAAGTTCTGCAAATTTTTACTAGCCATTGGGAAAATAGGGTTCTTTCATTGGAGGGAAGCTTAAATTGCAAAGACTGGAAGCTGGATTTGGCGAACAAAGCTTTATCATGAAGCATCCTATTTACTTGCTTATTGTACTACCCAGTCACAGAAGCCACATACAATCAAAGACACCTTGGTTAAGCTGAGAATATTGGACATTATTGAGCTGGTTTGTTTTAGTGCAGAGAAAATAAAAAAAAAGGAAGCATTTCCTCTGTCAGATGACATCATCTGCATTAGAATTGTTGACATTTCTTTCACGTTTGGCTGGAATTCATAGATGTATCAGCAGCGACTTTCCTTTAACATTCAACAGGCTAAAAATACCAGTGTTTCTTAGGGCTGCCAACATCTGATTTTAATCATTATTTGTACATTGATACCATCAAAGAATTTTTATGTTGTGAGTTCTTTTTTTTTTTTTTTTTTAAATTGGAAACTGACATCTTTGTAATAATGAAAAGTTTGGTTAGTAAAATTTGGTACTCTATACCATTGGAGCTCCTGAGATGCTTGGCAAACATGGTTTTGCTGCTTTAGTAAAGAAAGCGTTGCTGTCTATTTCAGCACATGGCATGCATTAGTGCTAAGACACAGCCAATAATTCTAAAAGAAGTCTCATCTGCTGACATAAAACTCAAATATATTAGAGCCACGGTTTTGAATTATTGTGTTTCCCAAGACATTTATCAAAAAATGTAGGCAGAATATTAAATTCTTCATGCAGAATTTTTCTGGCTTTTCAAAGGACAATGCTTGAAGCCCTTGTTTGATCCTTGGGGAGACATTTACTATTTTTGAGAGGGAGCAAAAGCCCCCTCATAACAATTTGATCTAGAGGAGTTCATTGATGATCTATGTGGTGGACGTTTGGCTATATGAAAGACTTAAATCTTTGTTTTCATGGTCCTGTGGTATCAGTTATGGATGTTGCTGTACAACTCCTGGCTATTTTGGTCAAATTACCACTTCAGAAGAGATTGGAGTCAGATAATCATGTGAATTTTTCAATGCCTGGTGGAAGTGCTTCTGAAGAAAAAAGTTGAGAATGATAACTCTTTTGCTGTTTTGAAATTAAGTTTAGATTTGTAATTTTAATCCTCTCCCAGAGTAAAGAGGGCCTCACTGATTGAAGGAAAATGGTATGAGGCTACGTAAATTCAAGTAGAAGAGTCCTGGAATCTTCAGTATTCCTTTATAAGCTTATCCTTGTCTGGCAAGGTAACATAGAAGCTCTGATTCATTTTTCAACAGAAGATCTTGTGGCTTAAAGTTTTCAGTACTTGTTGCTATTAAAATGAAAAGCCAGGCCGGGCATGGTGGCTGCTGCCTGTAATCCCAGCACTTTGGGAGGCCAAAGCGGATGGATCACTTGAGGTTAGGAGTTCGAGACCAGCCTGGTCAACGTGGTGAAAACTCGTCTCTACTAAAAATACAAAAATTAGCGGAGTGTGGTGGCAGGCACCTGTAATCCCAGCTACTCGGGATCTGAGGCAAGAGAATCACTTGAACCTGGGAGGCGGAGGTTGCAGTGAGCCAAGATCGTCCCACTGCACTCCAGCCTGGGCAACAGAGCGAGACCCCATCTCAAAAACAACAAACAAACAGCCAATTTCAACATGTGGTTTAGGCCTAGGACAAATCTTATACTAATTGACTTTATTATTATTATCATTTATTTATTTTTGAGATGGAGTCTCGCTCTGTCGCCCAGACTGGAGTGCAGTGGTGTGATCTCGGCGCACTGCAACCCTTGCCTCCCAGGTTCAAGAGATTCTTCTGCCTCAGCGTCTCAAGTAGCTGGGATTACAGGCCTATGCCACCACGCCCAGCTAGTTTTTGTATTTTTGGTAGACACGGGGGTTTCACCGTGTTGGCCAGGCTGGACTCGAACTAATTGACTTTAAAATAACTCAAATTTAGGCCGGGCACGGTGGCTCACGCCTGTAATCCCAGCACTTTGGGAGGCTGAGGCGGGTGGATCACAAGGTCAGGAGATCAAGATCATTCTGGCTAACATGGTGAAACCCCATCTCTACTAAAAATACAAAAAATTAGCCTGGCGTGCGGCTGTAGTCCCAGCTACTCGGGAGGCTGAGGCAGGAGGATGGCATGAACCCAGGAGGCTGAGCTTGCAGTGACCCGAGATTGCGCCACTGCACTCCAGCCTGGGTGACAGAGCCAGACTCTGTCTCAAAAAAAAAAAAAAAAAAAAGTAAAATAACTCAAATTTAAAGAGGCATGATATATATACAATAAAATTCATCTTTTAAAAGGTAGCTTTTAGATTTACCATATGAATTTTGGCAAACATGAAGTTATACAACCCTACCTGAGATAGAGAACATTTTCATTACCTCCCAGTTTCCTCATGTGCCTTTGTAGTCAATACCCTCTTTCAACCCCCAGTTCCTGGCGGTCACTCACTGACCTGTTTTCTTTTGGGGTAGGTTTACCTTTTCCAGAATATTAGACACTATCATGCAGCATGCATTTTTAGCACAATACATTTGAGATTCATCCATGTTGTTGCATGTATCAGTATATTCCATTGTATGGTTATACCACATTTATTTACCAGTTTGACATTTGGGTTGTTTCCAGTTTTTGGTATTTGTGAATAAAGCCCCTGAAAGGGCCGGGCACTGGGTGATCCCAGCACTTTGGGAGACTGAGGCGGTTGGATCACTTGAGGTCAGGAGTTCAAGACCAGCCTGGCCAACATGGCAAAACCCCATCTCTACTAAAAATACAAAAATTAGCTGGGCATGGTGGCACACACCTGTAATCCCAGCTACTTGGGAGGCTGAGGCATGAGAGAGAATAGCTTGAACCCAGTGAGCTGAGATCATGCCACTGCACTGTGGCCTGGGAGACAGAGTGAGACTGTGTCTCAAAAAAAAAAAAAAAAAAAAAAAGAAACAGCCCCGAAAACATTTATATGTAGATTTTATATGTGTAAATACCTAGGAGTGGGATTGTTAGATAAGATGATAAACGTATGCTTATGAGAAACAGTCAAACTCATTTCCAAGGTGGCTGTATTTCCACCAGCAATGTATGGTGGAATTTTGCATTTCTACCAGCAATGTATAAGATTTGTTGTTGGTACACCACATCCTTGGTAGTTAACACTATCTTTTGGTAAGGAGAAGTTTTTAATTTTGATGAAGTCCAGTTTATTATTTTTATCTTCCAGTTTATTTATTTTGACTTTCAGTCCCGTATATTATTTTGACTTCTGCTTCATGTGTCTTATCAAAGGCTGCAAAGATTTTATAATACTTCTAAAAACTGTATAGTTATAGTTTTGTCATTTAGGCCTGTGATCTATTCTGGGCTAGTTTTGTATATGGTGCAAGGTTAGGATGGAGGTTCATTTTTTTTTTTGGAGACAGAGTCTCGCTCTGTCGCCCAGGCTGGAGTACAGTGGTATGATCTCAGCTCACTGGGTTCAAGCGATTCTCCTGTCTCAGTCTCCCGCGAAGCTGGGATTACAGGTGCCCACCACCATGCCTGGCTAATTTTTTGTATTTTTAGTACAGACAGGGTTTCACCATACTGGTCAGGCTGGCCTTGACCTCCTGACCTCAGGTGATCCCCCTGCCTCAGCCTCTCAAAGTGCTGGGGAAACAGGGGTGAGCCACCGTGCCTGGATAGCTCATTTTTTTTTACATATGGATATTCAATTGTTTTAGCATTGTTTGTTAAAAAGACTGCCTTGTCTCACTGAGTTAGCTGTCTGTGCACATTATGTATCTAAAGCACTTCACCTTTAGTGAAAATTACTACATCTGTGTTGGTTTATTACTGAAGGTTCACTCTGTTTCATTAATTCATGTGACTATCTTTTTGCTAGGACCACACTGTCTTGATTATGGTAAATTTATAGTAAATCAGAGAGTGTGAATCTCTCAAATTTGTTCTTTTTTCCAAATTGTTTGGGCTATTCTAATTCCTTTATATTTCCATATAAATATTAGGATGCGCTTGTCAATTTCTAAAAAGAAAAATTGCTAAGACTGATTTGGGTTTGTGTTGAATCTATAGATCAGTAAGGGGAATTGACGTCTTCACAATATTGAGTCTTCCAATTCATGGACATAAGTTTTTTTTTTAATTTAGGTTTTTGACTTCTGTTACTAATATTTTCTAGTTTTTAGCATATACATATTATACATATTCTGTTATATTTTTATCTAAATATTTCATGGTTTTTGGTGCTATTATAAATGGTACCTAAAACTGCCATCAAGAACATTTTTATTCTTATTTTTAAGCTTCATTTGCATTGCATTTTTAAAAATATATTTTTATTTTTAATTAGTTAATTCATTAGTTTGTAGAGACAGACAGAGTCTCACTGTGTTATCCAGGTTTGTCTCAAATGCCTGGCCTCAAGCACTTGTCTCACTTTGGCTTCCCAAAGTGCTGGGATTATAGACGTATGAGCCACCATGCCCAGCCTAAAATACATTTTTTAAAAGGTAGAAAAAACTGAAAATTTCTAAGGCATTTGAAGTACATTGCCACAATATTTTAAAAAGAGGTTGTGCCAGTTTTTCCTGCCACCAGTACTTTGATCAGTTTTGCCACATAGTATAGTATATCACTACTGATTTTTAAAAATTCAATTTTTCTCCTGTGCTAAAGTACACATAAAATTAACTATTTATTTTATTTTTAAATTATTTTTACAATTTTTAACTGTATAGCTTAGTGACAGTAAGTATATTCACATTGTTGTGTAGCTATCACCACCACCCATCTCTAGAAATTTTTCATCTTCCCAAACTCCATGCCCATTAAGCAGTAACTCCCCATTTCTCACTCTCCCAGTCCCTGACAAACAACAATTCTACTTTCCATCTCTATGAATTTGACCACTTTAGTTACCTCATATAAGTGGAATCAGACAGTACTTGCCCTTCTTCATTTAGCGTAATATCTCAGGGTTCATCCATGTTGTAGCATGTATCAGAACTTATCTCCTTGTTTTAAGGTGAATAATATCTCATTGTATGTATATACTGCATTTTGTTTATTCATTCAAGTGTCTGTGGATACTTGGGTTGCTTCCAGCTTTTGGCTATTGTGAATAATGCTGCTGTAAACATGGCGTACAAATATCTCTTCAAATTCCTGTCTTTAATTTTTTCGGATATATATGGAGAAATGGAACTGCAAAATCATATGACAATTCTACTTTTAATCTTATTAGGAACTGCCATACAGTTTCCATAGAGGCTGCACCAGTTTACATTCTCAACAGTAGTGCACAAGCATCTGATTTCTCCATATCCCCACCAACGCTTATTTTCTGTTTTTTTTTTTTTTTTTTTTTTTTTTTTTAATAATTGCTACCCTAAGGGGTTTGAAGTGGTATCTTGTAGTTTTGATATGTATTTCCCTAATAATTAGTGATGTTGAACATTGTTTTATGTTCTTCTGGCCACTTGTATGCATTCTTTGTAGAGAAGTCTATTCAAGTCCTTTGCCCATTTTTTTAAAATTGGACTGTTTGCTCTGTTGTTGTTGACTTGTAGTTCTTTATATATCCTGGATATTCACCTCTTATCAGATGTATGATTTGCAAATATTTTCTCCCATTTTATGGGTTGCCTTTACTCTCTGTTAATAATGTCTTTTGAGCACAAAAGGTTTTGATTTTGGTGAAGTCCATTTTATCTATTTTTTTCTTTTGTTGCCTATGCTTTTGGTGTCATATCCAATAAATTATTTTCAAATCCAATGTCATGAAATTTTCACCACCTGTTTTCCTCTAAGAGATTTATAGTTTTAGTTCTTATCTTTAGCTCTTTGATCCATTTTGAGTTAATTTTCGTAGATGGTATAAATTTAGGGTTCAACTCCATTATTTTCAATGTGGTGCTAGTTTTCCCAAAATGATTTGTTGAAAAGACTGTCCATTCCACATTGAATGGTCTTGTTACCCTTATGGAAAATTGACGTTTTATGTAACGGTTTGTTGCTGGGATCTTTATTTTATTGGTGTATACACCTGTCTATACATTAATAACACACTGGTTTTATTTTTTAATTTTTATTATTTATCGTTTCAGCTTTTATTTAAGATTCAGGGAGTACATGTGCAAGGTTTGTGACATAGGTATATTGCATCATGCTGAGGTTTGGGGTGTGATTGATCCTGTCATCCAGGAACTATGCATAGTACCCAAAACAGTTCTTCAGCCCTTGCCCTCACTTCCCCTTCTCCCTTTTTGGAGTCCCCAATGTCTATTATTTCCACCACTGGGTGTCCGTATGTGCCCAATATTTAGCTCCTATTTGTAAGTGAGAACATCTCTTTATGGTTTTCTGTTCCTGTGTTAATTCACTTAGGATGATGGCCTTCGGCAGTATGCATGTTGCTGCAAAGAACATGATTTCTTTTTTTTGGGGCTGCATAGTATTCCACGGTTTATATGTAACACATTTTCTTTATTCAGTCCACCATGTATGGGCACCTGGGCTGATTCCATGTCTTTGCTATTGTGAATAGTACTTCAATAAACATAAGAGTGCAGGTACGTTTTTGGTAGAAATATTTCTTTTCCTTTGGGTATATATCCAGTAATGGGATTGCTGGATTGAACGGTAGCTCTATTTTCTTTGAGAAATCTCCAAACTGCTTTCCACAGTGGCTGAACTAATTTACATTCCCACCAACATTGTACAAACATTCCTTTTCCTCTGCAGCCTTGCTGGAATCTCTTGTTTTTTTTTTTTGACTTTTTAATAATATCCATTCTGACTTGTGTGAGATGATATCTTATTGCATTTTTGATTTGTATTTCTCTGATGATTAGTGATGTGGAACATTTTTTCATATGTTTGTTGGCTGCTTCTATATCTTCTTTTGAGAAGTATCTGTTCATATCATTTGCCTACTTTTTAACGTGGTCATTTGATTTTTGCTTGTTGAATTGTTTAAGTTTCTTATAAATTCTGGATACTACAACTTTGTCAGATGCACAGTTTGTGAATATTTTCTCTAATTCTGTAGATTGTTCACTCTGTTGATAGTTTCTTTTGCTGTGCAGAACCTCTTTAGTTTAATTAGGTCTCACTTGTCAATTATTGTTTTTGTTGCAATAGCTTTTGAATAATTAGTTATAAATTATTTCCCAAGGCTGATGTCCAGAATGGTGTTTCTCAAGTTTTTTCTAGGATTGTTTATAGTTTGAGATCTTACATTTAAATCTTCAATCCATCTTGAGTTAAGTTTTGTATATGGTGAAAGGTAGGAGTCCAGTTTCATTCTTCTGCATATGGCTAGCCAGCTATCCCATCACCATTTATTGAATAGGGAGTCCTTTCCCCATTGCTTATTTTTGTTGACTTTGTCAAAGATCAGATGGCTTTAGATGCATGGCTTTATTTCTAAGTTCTCTATTCTGTTCCATTGGTCTATGTGTCTGTTTTTGTACCAGTGCTATGCTGCTTTGGTTACTGTAGCCTTATAATATGGGTTGAAGTTAGGTAATGTGATGCCTCCAGCTTTGTTCTTTTTGTCTGTGATTGTTTTGGCTGTTCAGGCTCCTTGTTGGTTCCACATTAATTTTAGAATGGTCTAGGGATTTTTTTTGGCTGGTAAGTTTTTTATTATTGATTCAATTTCATAATTAGGTATTGGTCTGTTTAGAGTTTCAATTTCTTTCTGTTTCATTCTTGGGAGATTGCTTTCAGGAATTTATTCATTTCCTCTAGATTTTCTAGTTTGTGTGCATAGATGTGTTTATAATAGTCTCTGAGGATCTTTTGTATTTTTGTGGGATTGGTTGTAATGTCACCTTTGTCTTTTTTATTGTGCTTATTTGGATCTTCTCTCTGTTTTTCTTTGTTAATCTAGCTAGTGCTTGCTTGTATGAAAAAGCTCTTATATCTCCTTAACTTATGAAGCTTAGTTTGGTGGGATATGAAATTGTTGGTTGGAATTTCTTTCCTTTAAGATGCTAGAAATAGGCCTACAATCTCTCCTGGCTGGTAAGGTTTCTGCTGAGAAGTCTGCTGTTAATCTGATGGGTTTCCCTTTGTACATGACTTGACTTTTTTCTCTAGTTGCCTTTATATATATATTAGCAGTGTCCTTCCATAGTCTGGTAACTATACACCTTGATAATGTTGATTTTGTATAGTGTCTTGAAGGTGTTCTCTCAATTTCTTGTATTTGGATGTCTACCTTTCTAGCAAGATTAGGGAAATGTTCTTGAATTATTCCATCAAATATGTTTTCTAGGTTGTTTAGTTTTTCTCTTTCAAGAATGCCAGTAATTCATATATTTGATTGCTTTACATAATCCCAATATCACACTATTTTTATTATTGTAATTTTGTAGTATGTTTTGAAATCAAGAAATTTAAGACTTTCAATTTGATTCTTCTTTTTCAAGATTGTTTTGGCTATTTGGCATTCCTTGAGATTTGAATTTTTGGATAGATTTTTTTCTTTTTCTGCAAACACTCTTGTTGGGTTTTTGATAGAGATTGTGTTGGCTCTTTAGATGGCTTTGGATAATATTCACATCTTAACCTTATTAATTTTTGAATCCATGAACTTGGGGTGTCTTTCCATTGATTTTTGTCTTTATTTTCTTTCAGCAATTTTTGTTGTTTTCAGCATATACAAGTCTTTTGCCTCTGTGGTTCTGTTTGTTCCTAAATAACCTATTCTTTTTGGTGCTATTGAAAATGAAATTATTTTCCTAATTTTCTTTTTGAGTTTTTAATTATTTGTTGAAATGCAGCTGATTTTGGTGTGTTGATTTTGTATTCTTTAACATTGTGGAATTTATTTATTTTTCCTAACAGTTTGTTTTTGTGTGTCTGTGTGTATGGAAACTTTAGAATTTTCTACATATAAAGGCATAACATCTGTAAACAGAGATAATTTTAGTTTTTCCTAATTTTGATGTCTTTTATTTCTTTTACTTGCCTAATCATCCTAGCTAGCACTTTTAGTACTGTGTTGATTAGAAGTGGTGAAAGTAGTTGTCCTTTCCTTCTTTCTAATCTTAGAGATTTCAGGGGTTTACCATTCAGTATGATTTTTTTTTTATCTTGAACTATCCTTGCATCCCAGGATTAAATCTCATTTGGCCATGGTGTAGGATTCCTGTAATGTGCTATTATATCTATTTGCCAGTATTTTGTTGAGGATTTTTGCATGAATATTCATCAGAAGTATTGGTCTGTAATTTTTATGTTTTGTCTTTGTCTTTGGTATCAGGGTAATGCTGGCCTCATAAAATAAGTTTGGAGATATTTTGTTCTTCCATTTTTTGGAAGAGTTTGAGGATGATTGGTATTCATCTTTAAATGTTTGGTATAATTTTCTAGTGAAGACATTTGGTTCTGGATTTTTCTTTGTAGGTAGGGTTTTGATTACTTATTCAGTCTACTTTCCAGTTAATATACTTATTAAGATTTTCTATTGCTTTCTGGTTCAGTCTAGATTGCGTATTTCTAGGACTTTGTTAATTTTTAAAATAGATTATCTGATTTGTTGTGGTGTAAGTGTTCATAGTTTTCTCTTAAAGTTCTTTATATTTCTGTAAAATTATTAATGATGTCCCCTCTTTTATTTATAATTTTATTTTATTATTATTATTATTGAAACAGAGTCTCTGTCGCCCAGGCTGAAGTGCGGTGGTGTGTGATCTTGGCTCACTGCAACCTCTGCCTCCTGAGTTCAAATGATTCTTGTGCCTCAGCCGCCTGAGAAGCTGGGATTGCAGGTGTGCTCTACTATGCCCGGCTAATTTTTGTATTTTTAGTAGAGTTGGGGTTTTGCCATGCTGGCCAGGCTGGTCTCTAACTCCTGGCCTCAAGTGATCCACCTGCCTCGGCCTCTCAGAGTGTTGTGATTACAGGTGTGAGACACCATGGCCGACCCTCATTGATAATTTTAGTTGAGTCTTCTCTTCTTCTTATCAGTCTAGTTATAAAGGTTTATCAATTTTATTGATCTTTTTGAAGAAGCAACTCTTGGTTTTGTTGATTTTTCTCCATTGTTTCTCATTCTGTGTTTTCTTTTTCTCTAACATTATTATTTATTTCATTCTGCTAGCTTTAGTTTTGATTTGTTCTCTCCTTTATAGTTTTTTAAGATGTAAAGTTAAACTGTTAATTTGAGATTGCTCTTTTAAAATGTAAGCACTTATACATGTCCCTCCCCATTGTTTTCACTGCATCCCCAAACTTTTTTTTTTTTTTTTTTTTTTTTTTTTGAGACAGTTTCACTCTGTTGCCCAGGATGGAGTAGAGTGGCACAATCTCCGCTCACTGCAACCTTTGCCTTTGGGTCAGGTGATTCTCCTGCCTCAGCCTCCTGAGTAGCCGGGATTATAGGTGCCCACCACCACTCCTGGCTAATTTTTGTACTTTTAGTAGAGACGGGGTTTCACCATATTGGCCAGGCTGATCTCGAACTCCTGACCTCAAGTAATCTGCCTGCCTCAGCTTACCAAAGTGCTGGGATTACAAGCATGAGCCACTGCACCTGGCCTGTTGCATATATCTGGGGGCTCTGATGTTTGGTGCACATGTATTTATAATTGTTATATCGTCTTGGTATATTGATTATTTTATCATTATGTGATTAAAAATTATTTTTTCCTTTTTAAATAACAGTTTTTGACCTAAAATCCATTTTTTTTCTGGTGGTAACATAGCCACTGCAGCTCTATTGGTTATCATTTGCATGGAATTTATTTTTCCATCTTTTCCCTTCCAACCTATTCATATCCTGGATCTTTAGTCTCTTATAGAGAGCATATAGTTGGATCTTGTTTTTTATCCATTCTTCTAAACTATGTCTTTTGATTGGGGAGTTTAATTCATTTGCGTTTAGAGTAATTACTGATCGGAAAGAACTAACTCTTGCCGTTTTGCTGTTTTCTATATGTATTTAGGTTTTCTGTGATTTCCTCCTTTATTACCTTCCTTTGTGTTTAATTGATTTTTGGTTTCCCTTCTCATTTCCTTTGTGTACATTCTATAGATATTTTCTTTGTGGTTACCACGGGTATTACATATAATATTTTAGGCTTATAATAACCTGTTTTAATCAGATAGTCACTTAAATTCAATCACATACAAAAAGTTTACTCGTTTACAACTTTGCCCTCCCCTACTTTGTCTTATTGTTGTTACAGATTACTTCTTCATATTTTATTTACACATTAACATAGTTTTTTAATGCTTTTGTCTTTTAAATGATGTAGAAGAATAAAATCAATTATAAACTAAAATTATGTTAACACTGATTTATGTATTTGTCCATGTATTTAACTTTACCAGATAATTTTACATTTTGTGTAGCTTCAAGTTACTATCTAGCATCTATTCATTTTAACTTAAAGGACTCCTTTTAATATTTCTTGTAGGGAAAATCTAACTATAATGAATTCCCTTGGTTTTTATCTAGGAATGTCTTAATTTATCTTTCATTTTTTAAAGGATGGTAAGGCAGAGTTTATTCAAGGGGATCCATGGCAATAGGAACTACTCTAGCTGGGTTTTGCAGCGGCAGAGAGAGACTGGAAGGAATTCCCTCCCTTATTGTTGAAAGATAATTTTGCCAGATACAGAAATCTTGGTTGATCTTTTTTTTTTTTTTTTTTTTAACACTTTAAATATATCATCCCACTGCCTTGTGGTCTTCAAACTTCGGCTGAGGAATCTGCCAAAACACTTACTGGGGATTCCTTGTACATAGATGCGTTGCTTTTCTCTTGATGCTTTAAAGGTATATATTTTTTAAATTTATTTCCAACTACCACATGTTCTCACTTATAAGTGGGAGCTAAACAACAAGAACACGTGGATACTAGGAGGGGAACAATGAACACGGGAATAATTGAGGGTGGAGTGTAGGAGGAGGGAGACGATCAGAAAAAAATACCTGCTGAGTACTATGCTTATTACCTGGGTGATGAAATTATCTGTAAACTAAACCCCCGTGACACATAGTTTACCTACATAACAAACCTGTACATATACCCCTGAACTTAAAGTAAAAGTGAAAAAAAGAGAGAGGTTTATTTAGGAAAGAGGTCTCCCTTGTAGATAGATTAAAATATTACGCATTCTAAACTGAAACTTGGCTGGAAACAGTGGCTCATACCTGTAATCCCAGTACTTTGGGAGGCTGAGGAAGGAGGATTGCTTGAGTTCAGGAGTTCAAGACCAGCCTAGGCAACATTGCAAAACCCCATCAATATAAAAAATACAAAAAAATTAGCTGGCCATGGTGGTGCCCTCTTGTAGTTCCAGCTTCTCGGGAGGATGAGGTGGGAGGATCGCTTGAGCCCAGGAGGTCAAGGCTGCAGTAAACTGAGATTGGACCACTGCATTTAAGCCGGGGCAACAGAGTGAGACCCTATCTCAATCAATCTGAATCAATCTCAATCAATCAAAACTGAAACTTAATCCTTCAAATATGTTTATTTTACTTGTCCTAAAACAATGTCCCTAGAAGTATTAAAGTGTAAAGCACTGTTATTTTCCCATTTTGAGATCTCTAATGTAAAAATGTATTTTTTGAAAATAATTTAAAACATAAAATGCTATATAATAAACATTTAAAAATTTTTTTTATTTTTATATTTTGAGACAGGGTCTTGCTGTATTGCTCAGGCTGGAGTGCAGTGGCAGGTCATAGCTCACTGCAGCCCTGATCTCCCAGGCTCAAGTGATTCTCCTGCCTCAGCCTCCTGAGTAGCTGGGACTGTAGGCACACACAACCATACCTGGCTAATTTTTAGTAGAGATAAGGTTGGTCTTGAACTCCTGAACTCAAGCGATCCTTTTGTCTTGTCCTCCCAAAGTGCTGAGATTACAGGCATAAGCCACCACACCTGGTCTAAAGGTATTGTTTTTAAATTTCAATTTCTAATTGTTTATTGCTACTATATAGATATGCAGTTGAATTTTGTAAATTGACCTAATATCCTGTGACCTCGTTAAACCCACTTAATAATTTTAGTAGTTGTTTTGTAGACCATTTGGGGTTGCTTTATGTAGACTATAATCTATTTTGATGAATAAAAAAAAATATTTCTTCCCAGAGTGTTTTTTTTTCTTGGCTTATTGCACTGACTAGGACTTCCAGTACAAAATTAAATAAGAGTGCCAAGAGCAGAAATCTTGTTCCTGATTTTAAGGGGAAAGCATTCTATCTTTCACCAAGTGCTATGTTAGCTGTATGGTTTTAATTTTTTTTTGTAGATATCCTTTATCAGATGGAAACAGTTTTCTTTAATGTAGTTTTTTTTTTTTTAAATCATGAGTTGATGTTTAAACAATTTTCCCCTCTATTGAAATAAATGGGTTTCCTTCTTTCATGTTTTGATATGGTGAGATACACTGATTGATTTTTGAATGTTCAGCTTTCATTTTATATATTGCTGGATTCAATTTGCTAAGATTTCGTTGTGGATTTTTGCTTCTATGTTCATGAGGAGTACTGGTCTGTAGTTTTGTTATTTTGTGCTGGGTATTAGGGTAATATTAGTTTCATAGAATGAATTGCTATGTATCTGTATCTCTTCTGTTTTCTGATAGAGTTTTTAGCTTTCTGAATTTAGAATTTTTCCTTGTGGGAAGGTTTTTAATGGAATTAAATTTCTTTAACTGATACGTCTCTTTAGGTTATCTGTTTCTTCTTGAGTAAATTTTGGTAATTTCTTGCAATGGATTTATCCATTTTACTTAAGTTGTAAAATTTATTGAAAGTTGATAATATATTATTTTAATGCCTCTAGGATCTATGTAACATCCCTTCTTTAATTCTTAATACTGTTTGCTTGTGTCTTCTGTCTGTCTCTCTCTCTTTCTCTCTCTGTCTGTCGTGCTAGAGGTTTTTCTATTTATTTATTTGTTTATTTATTGAGACAGAGGCTCACTCTGTTGCTCGGGCTGGAGTTCAGGTGGTATGATCTCGGCTCACTGCAACCAGCACCTCCTGGGTTCACGTGATTCTCGTGCCTCAGCCTCCCGACTAGCTGGGATTACAGGTGTGTGCCACCACACCTGACTAATTTTTGTATTTTTAGTAGAGAATGGGTTTCACCATGTTAGTCAGGCTGGTCTCCAACTCTTGGCCTCAAGTGATCCGCCTGCCTTGGCCTCCTAAAGTGCTGGGATTACGGGTGCGAGCCACCCTGCCTGGCCAGGTTTTTCAATTTTATTGATAATTTCAAAGAATGGACTTTTGACCTTACTGATTTCTCTCTCTCTTTTTTTTTTTTTTTGGTTTTTAATTTCACTTTTTTTCCCTTTTAAAATTTTCATTATTTCCTTCCTCCTGTTTACTTTGGACTTATTTTGGCCTTCTTTTTCTAGTTTCTTAAGGTGGGATATTATGCTATTGATTTGAGACGTACTTATTTTCTGATATAATAATTTAATGCTGTAAATTTCCCTCTAGGCACTGCTTTGGGTACATCTCAAAAGTTTGGACATTATGTTTTCATTTGCATTCAATTAAAATTATTTTCTAATTTATCTTATGATTTAGTCTTTGACCATTGGGTATTTATAATTGTGTTGTTTAATTTTTAAATATTTGGGGGATTTTCCAGATATCTTTCTGTTACTGGTTTCTAGTGTAATTCTTTTGTGGTCAGAGAATATACTTTATATATTTTAAATTTGTTAGGGTTTGTTTTATGTTTCAGAATATGGTTTATCTTGGCAAACATGATATGTGCTCTTGAAGCTATTTGGCTATTTTTGGGTGGGGTATTCTCTATATATTAATTAGGTTAAGTTGGTTGATTGCATTGTCCAGGGTTTCCATATCTTTACTGAATTTCAGTCCACTTTTTCTATTGACTACTGAGAGAGGAATTTTAAGTCTTCACCTGTAATTTTAGATTTGTCTATTTTTTATTTTTATTACTTTTTAGTTTAGTTTTGAAGCTATGTTTGTAGGTATATAAGTATTTAGGATTGTCATCTTCAATCGATCCCTTTATTATATTTAATGTTTTTTATTTATCTCTGATAATATTTCTGGTTCTGAAGTTAACATTTTCTGATATTAATATAGCAGTTTCAGGTTTATTTTGATTAGTGTTTGCATGGTATGTGTTTTTTCTGTTCATTTACTTTTAACTTACCTGTGTCATTGTATTTAAAGTGAGTTTCTTTCTTTCTTTCTTTTTTTTTTTTGAGATGGTGTCTCGCTCTGTCACCCAGGCTGGAGTGCAGTGGCGCGATCTCAGCTCACTGCAACCTCTGCCTTCCAGGTTCAAGCATTTCACCTGCCTCAGCCTCCTGAAGAGCTGGGATTACAGGCATGTGCCACCACGCCCAGCTAATTTTTAAAAAACATTTTTAGTAGAGATGGGGTTTCACCATATTGACCAGACTGGTCTTGAACTCCTGACCTTGTGATCTGCCCACCTCGGCCTGCCAGATAGACACCATATGGTTGGGTCTTGCTAATTTAACCCAGTATGATAATCTCTATCTTTTAAATGAGATGTTTAGGCCATTTATATTCAATATAGTTATTAATCAACTTGTCAGGGTGTGTGTGTGTGTGTGTGTGTGTGTGTTTGTGTGTGTGTGTGTTTGTGTTCTTCCTTTTTTCTGTTTTCCTGAATGCTTTTGATTCTTTTTTGCTGTGTCACATCTACTGATGACCCCTTCACATGAAATTTTTACTCTCATATTGTGGTTTTTATTGTTAGAATTTTGTGCTAAAATTCTTGTTTTTCTTTTTTCTTTATTTTCCTAACTCCCCAAACTTGTTATCTGTGCTGAAATTCTTTATTTGTTCATGGATTTTTTTCCACTTTTTTCCCTAAATTATTTGGTGTATCAATCATAGTTTGACATTTCTAACTGTCTCTGAGTCTGGTTCTCTTGATTGCTTTGCAGTGTGATGGTTGGTTTTTGTTGCTTTTAGTTTGTATTATTATTTTTGAGAAGAGTCTCACTCTGTCACTTAGGCTGGAGTGCTGTGGTGCAATCACAGCTCACTGCAGCCTCAACCTCCCTGGGCTCAGGTGATCTTCCTGCCTCCACCTCTTCAGCATGCACCACCACTCCCAGCTAATTTTTTTTTTTTTTTGTATTTTTTGTAGAGATGGGATCTTGCTATGTTTCCAAGACTAGTCCTGAACTTCTGGGCTCAAGCAATCTGCCAGCTTCAGTGTCCCAAAGTGCTGGGATTACAGGCATGAGTGGCCATGCCCAGCCTCATTAATTTTGATTGAATGTCAGACATCTTATATATAAAGAGAGACTGAAGTAAATAGTATTTATAGTTGGGAATGGACATTACTCTTCTTATAGAGAGATATGTTTGTATGTCCCATCTGTAAGGGCTGTCCCTCCTTGGATTTCAGGCTGCTTCAAGAAAAGTTGTGATTTTGTAATTTATCCAGCTTTTGTTCATTGTTAGTATGGTAGTGGCATTCTTTTCAGCTTTTACATTATGGGCTGTGGGCCCTCTAAGATTTCTCTAATTTATTCGTAACAGAATACAAATTTATCTTATTTATGTAATTTGGACTTATTTTCATTTTTGAGCACATAGCCATTAATTTTTGCATACATGTGATATTCCTTATATTTCATCTGTGAAGCAAATCTGTTTCCAATGTAGTAAAAATTAATTACATGTAAACTTACATAATTTTAGTCAATTTGAATTTTTCTACACAGTATTATTTGTTGGGTATACTTTTTTGAGGGTTCATTATTGGTAATATTCATATGGGTTTGAATCCTAGAAGGGCAGTTGTCCACTCAAAAAATAAGTTGAGTATATGCATATTATTAAAGTTGTATCTTAAGTTATTGAGATGTGTATTATTGTATTAAACATCACCCATGACTTGCAAACTCAGAAGAAATATGAATAAAGGGCATCTGTTCAAACCTTAGTAAAACTTCTTGGCTTCTGTTAGGAGCCTTCTTGACTCTGCAAATTCCCAAGACTTTCCAGGCTGATACGATGAAGGCTTTTTGGGTGCTGTATCACTCTTCATTCCCCTCTTCATAGCCCCTGGTAACCTTGATTTTACTGTCTGTTTTTATGAATTTGCCTGTTCTAGGTACCTCATATAAGTGGAATCATATAATATTTGTCCTGTGTTTGCCTTATTTCACTTACTATAACCTTTATATTTCTGATTGTAAAGGATGGAAAGTCATCCTTTCCATTTGCTTGGGCTACATTTCTATATTCCAGTCTTAAAGCTAATGTAACCTGTTGCTTATGTAATATGTGTGTCAACATTATGTATGGATTTCCAAAACAACCAGCATTATAGCATCTGGAGCTTTCACCAAGTTTTCAAGGGGCCTCTTACTTTTCCAAAGAGGTTAAGAACTACTGCTATAGATTCTGAAGCATATATAATCATATAAAACAGCCCCTGATCTTAAGGAGCTTGACATTTTATTGATCTTTGTCCTGTCTATGACAAACTAATGGGTTGGGGTGGGTAGTATTGTATGACCAATATAGAAGCCTACACTGAAGAGTGAAGCGCAGTGACTTACGCCTGTAATCTCAGCACTTTGGGAGGCCGAGGCGGGCGGATCACGAGGTCAGCAGATCTACATCATCCTGGCTAACACGGTGGAACCCTGTCTCTACTAAAAATACAAAAATAAAATTAGCCGGGCATGGTTGCGGGCACCTGTAGTCCCAGCTACTTGGGAGGCTGAGGCGGGAGAATGCTGTGAACCCGGGAGGCAGAGCTTGCAGTGAGCCGAGAACGCGCCACTGCACTCCAGCCTGGGCGACAGAGCGAGACCCCGCCTCAAAAAATAAATAAATAAATAAATAAATAAATACACAAATAAATTAGAAAATGCCTATAAAATACTTAGCAGAGGGGTTTATTTGTTAGCTGTGCTGGATGAAGGTAATGATAAAATAATAACCATCTACGTGACCAGAGGTGATTACTAAATTTCCTTTATATATTTTTTACTTTTGTTGTGCTGAATTATCTATAACATAAAAATTTGCCATTTTACCCATTTTTAGGTGTACATTTCAGTGGTACTAAGTACATTCACAATGTTGTACAACCATCCCCACTCTGTATTTCCAGTACTTTTTCATCTTCTCAAACAGAAACTCTGTACTCATTAAACAATAACTTTTCATTCCCCTCTTCATATCCCCTAGTAACCTCGATTTTACTTTCTGTTTCTATGAATTTGCCTATTCTAGGTGCCTCATATAAGTGGAATCATGTAAGATTTGTCCTTCTGTGTTTGGCTTATTTCACTTAGTGTAATCCTTTACATTTTTATTTATCCATTAAGCACAATGACATTTGTCTTTTCTATTTCATTGAATTACTGTTTAAAGTCAAATGAAATAGTTAAATCCTAATAGGTACTATATAAATTTAAGACGGTATGTATAAAAACTGGTAAATATTACCTGAAAGTAATAAACTCATTTGCTGTCTCCCTGTGATTGTAAGTGGGTTACTTTATTTATAATTTAAAAAATTATTCCTATGTTACATAGAAATGCTAGGCTTATTCTAAAATTCAAAGTTAGATTTTAATGTCATAAGAGAGAAGTTTGCTTGAACTGACCATTTGTGGAATGTTTGTTAATTTTAAATTTGGATTCAATATTTTATATACCTTATTTGACTTGAACTTTATTGTATTTCTTTCTCTTTTTAGGATTCTAATTCTCAGGTGGATTTAAGCATTCGGGTTACTGATGATGATATTGGTGAAATAATTCAAGTAGATGGAAGCGGTGATACATCTTCCAATGAAGAAATAGGAAGTACAAGAGATGCAGATGAGAATGAATTTCTAGGGAATATTGACGGGGGAGATCTGAAGGTACCTGAAGAAGAAGCTGACAGTATTTCAAATGAGGATTCAGCCACAAACAGTAGTGATAATGAAGACCCTCAAGTAAACATTGTAGAAGAGGTGAGGATGACTTTTGAGCTGAGACTTCCTTTATTAATTTATAACATTTCTACTTTATTATGCCTTGGAACCAAAAGGAATAGCAAGATTAATCTTTTCTTTACTCTTTTGAAATAAGACTTATTTGGGGCCGGGCACGGTGGCTCACACATGTAATCCCAGCACTTCAGGAGGCTGAGGCAGGTGGATCATTTGAGGTTTGGAGTTCGAGGCCAGCTTGGGCCAACATGGTGAAACCCTGTCTTTACTAATAAAACAAAAATTAGCAGGGCATGGTGGCACATGCCTGTAAACCCAGCTACTCAGGAGACTGAGGCAAAAGCATTGCAGGAGACAGGTTGTAGTGAACCAAGAAATGCCACTGTATTCCAGCCTGGGTGACAGAGCAAGACTCTTTAAAAAAAAAAAAGACTTATTATATGCTTGGATTTAAACTTTTAATCTTCAACTGTAATTTAAAACCAATAATAAATATTTGGGAATGGGCTTCTGTATTGGTCTTAACTAGAGGTAGTAGGTGATCTAGGCAATGGGAGTGGCTGTTAAAGAAGGCAGCCTAGGTAGAAACATATAGTATCTGCTCTAATTCTAGTAAATGTCATAAAATCCAGGTAGAGTGTGCTTATTAAAAAGTGTGTAAGTAGTATTAGCTATAATTTATGGCAGCCTTATATATGTGCCAGGCATCATATTAAGTCTTAAATGCCTTATCTTAATAGTCCCAAAGTCCTGTGGTTCTTACTGCTATCCTGATTTTAGATATGAGGAAACTGAGATATGGAGAGTTTTAGTAACTTGCCTAAGGTCAGTCTTGTAATTATTAAATGGCCAAACGGGATTTATTTATTTATTTATTTTTGAGACAGGGTCTTGCTCTGTTGCCCAGGCTGGAGTGCAGTGGTGTGATCTTGACTCACTGCAACCTCTGCTTCCTGGGTTCAAATGATTCTTATGCCTCAGCCTCCTGAGTAGCTAGGATTACAGGCACACCACCATGCCCAGCTAATATTTATATTTTTAGTAGAGATGGGGTTTCACCATGCTGGCCAAGCTGGTCTCGAACTCCTGGCCTCAAGTGATTCTCCTGCCTTGGCCTTTCAAAGTGCTGGGATTACAAGCATGAACCACTGCACCCGGCTCAAACAGGGATTTAAACCCAGGCTATTTGACTTTTAGTACAATTATATTCTGCTGCTCTAGGTTCCTTTATTTCTTTGTTTTGTTTTGGTTTGGTTTTTGAGATGGAGTCTCGCTCTGTCGCTCAGGCTTGAGTGCAGTGGTGTGATCACAGCTCACTGCAGCCTCAACTTACTGGGTTCAGATGATTCTCCTGCCTTACTCTCCCAAGTAGCTGGGATTACAGGTGTGTGCCACCATGCCAAGTTAATTTTTTGTATTTTCAGTAGAGATGGGATTTCACCATGTTGCCCAAGTAAGTCTTGAACTCCTGGCCTCAAGCAATCTGCCTGCCTAGGCCTCCCGTAGTGCTGGGATTATAGGAATGAGCCACCACGCCGAGACAAGTTCCTTTATTTCTATATGTCTCTTTATCTTTAAACAATTTAAAGCATCATAAAATTCCTTAATGTGATCATCTTTCGTCTTTAGGACCCTTTAAATTCTGGAGATGATGTTAGTGAACAGGATGTGCCAGACCTGTTTGACACGGATAATGTTATTGTCTGTCAGTATGATAAGGTACTGTATTTACCTTTTGGACTTTGGGTTTATTAACTGCATTTATAGTAGAAAGGTATGTAAAATGATGGGAAATAAGATGAAGAGTTACACTTCACAATTAATCAAAACAGCAGTTTAATTCTGGAAATTCTGAGTGTGTATTTTGGGTCTAGCGCTGTGCTATGTGATCTCAGTGATACCAGAAAAAGTGACAGTCCTTAAGGAAGTAATGATCTTATTGAAACAAGATGTTTCTTTTGGAAAACTAGAAAGACATACAATGAGATGGTAGGTAAATCAACAGCTAAAATATGTGACAGGTAAATCAAATGCTAAAATATGTGGAATGTAATCAAATGCTAAGATGAGTGGCAGGTAAATCAAATGCTAAGATATGCAGCACAGATAGTAAGCCCTAGAAGTGGCTAGGAAATGTAAGAAATCATTTGTAGTTGGAGTTCCCCATAAATCCATGGGTGATGTGGGGTTTTGAAATGGGTCTTGAATGACTTGTAGGATACAGGTAAATATGGAGAATAAGCATCAGATAGAATAGCCCAATAAAAAGCAGAGAAATGAATGGATGTAGTATGTACAAGGGACACTGAAGAGATAGCTCTGGCTTGAACAAAGTGTCTTTTATTGGATGTATAGTACTAGGAAGTGAAGCTGGGTGGGAGACAGAATAGGAAGCAGATTAGAATATCCTGAATGCTAGTAGGAAAAATCTGAACTTGGTCTGAGGGACACTAGCCTTCTGAGAAGGTTATTGAGAAAATTGTAATTGGGTTTAAAAGCCAGATGTGTTTGATTTGGAAAAAGCAAATGGTAAAAGTGGGTAGGGCAGACGTGAAGTGCCCAGAACCCAGACAGAGGATGGCAGTGTAAGAACATGGAGAAGTCAGAGGTTATGATGGAAAAATCGGTGGGACTTGGTCATTAGTTGAAGGTGTCTCTCAGGTTTCCAGCCTAGAGATTATGTTAGTAGCAGTCTAACTCTAGCAACTAAAAATAATACTGCTTTTTAAAAAACACTACAGCTGTGATTATGTAGTCAAATGGGAGTTTTTGTCCTTAATTCATGAATATTTATATTCTTAAAGTGGCTTTGAGATATAATGAACATAGTATACAATTCGCCTATTTAAAGTATACAATTCAATGGTTTATTTAGTGTATTCATAGATATGTATAACAATTATCACAGTCAATTTTAGAACCATTTTATCACCTCAAAAAGAAACCCCATACTTTTTGTTTCTTAGTGCAGTATTCTCCCCATTTTCCCTACTCCAAGCCTGTAGGCCTAAGAAACCACTGATCTACTCTCTATTTCTATGGATTTTCCTATTCTGGAATTTCATATGAAAGAAATTATATAATATGTGGTCTTTTGTTACTGGCTTCTTTCACTTAGCACAGTGTTTTCAAGAGTCATCCATGTTGTAACATATATCACGTCTTCGTTTTTTAAAAAAATTGCTGAATAATAGTCTATTGAATGGATATACCACATTTTCTTTTTCCGTTTGTCTTTTGAGGGACATTTGGGTTGTTTCCACTGTAGGGGAGAAAAAAGTAATACCTTTTCCTTACCCATTGCTATTTCCCTGGTTGAGGCACCTATAAAAAAGACAGATTAACAAGAGAAAATCATTCAAATTTATTTTAACGTACATTTTACTGACACAGGAAACTTTTTTTTTTTTTTTTTTTTTGAGATGGAGTCTGGCTCTGTCGCCCAGGCTGGAGTGTAGTGGCGTGATCTTGGCTCACTGCAAGCTCCGCCTCCCGGGTTCAAAGGATCTTCCTGCCTCAGCCTCCCAAGTAGCTGGGACTACAGGCGCCTGCCACCACGCCCGGATAATTTTTTGTATTTTTAGTAGAGATGGGGTTTCACCGTGTTAGCCAGGATGGTCTGGATCTGACTTCGTGATCTACCCACCTGGGAAGTGCTGGGATTATAGGTGTGAGCCACTGCACCCAGCCGACACAGGAATATTTAGAAATGAAGACCCAAAGAAACAGGGAAAACTATTTTTCTGGACAGTCATACCGAAGTATGATAGGAGGAAAAAAGGATATGATCTAATGACAATAAACTGGAGGAAACGTAGTAAGGCCTGTTTGTTCAGATTTTTGTGTCTCTGTGTCTTCAGAGATAAGGACACTTATTTTCCTTTGTGTATAGGGTAGGGACCTCTGTAATAAAGGTTTTATGACTTACTTTAAAGGAAGGTCAGATAATCCTTTTATGGCCTGGTTCAGGGGAGAAGGGTGAGGGCAAGGTCAGAAAGACTTTCCTGCTTCTGCCATTTTTTCAAATGTCAGGATGCCAGAACACATATGGGGTAATGTGTTCTGAACCCCATAGATACCTTTTTGCTGCTATGAATAATGCCTCTATGAACATTTGGGTACAGGTTTTTGCGTGGACATATGTTTTCATCTGTCTTGGCATATACTCAGGAGTTGAATTCCTGGGTCATGTGGTAACAGCTTAAGGAACTATTAGACTATTTTCCAAAGTGGCTGTACTATTTTACATTCTTATTAGCAGTGTTCGAGGGTTTCAATTTCTCCACATCCTGGCCAGCACTGGCCATAATCCGACTTTCTAATTCTAACCATTCTAATGAGTGTGAAATGGTATATCATTGCGGTTTTGATTTGTGTTTCCCTGATAACTAATGCGTATTTACATATTTAGCCTTTTTTTTTTCCAGTCACAATTTGAATATATTTAGGGGGAAACAAAGAATAATGTTTTGAATTGCTGTAAAAAGAAATCTTTTTCTCTGAAAATAAGGTCACTTTCTCCACTATAACATTTTATACAAATAGAAAACCGCAATTTAGATGCTGAATACAAATATAAACATAAGAAGGAATAGGGGATAGAAAAGGAACAGTTCTTAGTTTGAAACTTGTTTTAGTTTCTTATAAACAATATATTGCCTTCTATAAAAAAACATTATAAGGTACTTAATTATATATACATTCCATAAAGTCTCATGCAGAATTTTCTAGACCATTATGGATGTGGTATCCTTTGTTTGCCGCAATGTGGGAGATACCTTGTAATTAATTATGTAGTACTTTGTATTTTTGCGGTGTTTTATCATATATTATCTTTTGTTTCTTATAATAACCTTATGGAATAGATAGAGGTGATATTAAATATACACTGCTAACAAATCTAGTATCTGAGAACCCTTCTACTTAGTGAATATTTTAAGAACAGTGGTAAAAAATTAATGGAAAGCAGGGCATTGGGGAACCATTGAAACATTTTAAAAGGGGAGTGATGTAGTCAGAAGATAGCCAAAAGAATGTATCTAAAGGTCAAAGTGGGGTGAGGAACACTGTTATAGTGAATCTTTATGAAAGAAAAACTTTCCAGTGCTGGTCACTGGTTGATTTGTTTCAAATAGTATTGAATGTAACCCAACTCAAGTGAATTGAAAGAACTTTCAGTAGTCTCTTTTAGAGCTTTACTAATTCAGTGTGTTTTATGGGCTTAGCACGCTTTTGTTAT